>NC_000003.12:42131212-42434242 GCF_000001405.40 Homo sapiens | reverse complement strand
TTATAGAAAGATATTAATAAAATTAAAATTTAGAGAGAAGGAAAGGAGATTGATTTTGAGGAAAACAAAAAAGAAAACTTTGTCGTGCTGGGTGCACCTGTGGTCCCAGCTACTCAGGACCCCAGGAGTTTGAGTCCAGCCTGAGCAGCATAGCAAGACCCCATTTCTTAAAACAAACAAATTTTATTAGAGAGTAAAAGAAAAGTAGGCAAAAGAATAATTTCTTGAGTTCGTCTTGGAAACTTTAATATGTATATATACGTGTATATATGGTGTGTGTGTGTGTGTGTGTGTGTATACATATACGAACACACTAGTTTGTGTTTTTAAAATTGAGGTATAAGTCACATACAGTAAAATTTACAAATCTTAAGCTTGATGAATTCTCACATATGCATACACCAAGACACAGAACATTTCTATCATGTGAGAATGTTCCTTCATGCCCCTTTCCAGGCAATCCTCCTAGTCCAGGGGTAACCACCATTCTGACTTCTATCCCCATAGATTACTTTTGCCTGTTCTTGAACTCCCTCTAAGTGGAATTATTCAACATGTGTTCTTTTGTGTGTTTTTTCTTTTGCCTAGCAAAATGCTTGTGAGACTCACCTATCTTTTTGCATACTCAGTAGTTTGGCCTTTTTTATTGCCGTATTGTATTCCACAATATAAATATGCCACAGTCTGTTTATCCATTCTCCTGTTGATGGACATTTGGGTTTTTTACAGTTTTTGGCTATTGTGAATAAGTTTGTTATGAACATTTTTATACATTTTTTGGACATGCACTCATTTCTCTTAGATATCTGCCTGCTTGTGGAGTGGCAGACTAAAGTCATTGTACCAGTTTATACTTCCACTGGCAGTGTATGAGGGTAAATTCTATTTTTAAGAAAAATAATTCAGCATCAAGTAAGTATGCCTGGACGCTTGCATTTCTGGAAGACTTACCAAATGAACAGAGGGCTGAAAGTCAGAATCCCTAAGTCTAAAGTTTAAGCCCTGCCTCCCAGCCCTGAATGTTGTGCTGATAACCTAATTTTCCCATGTCCTGGTTTGTCTCTAATATAAGTGGCTTGGATCTGATCTCTAAAGTTAGCAAAATTCTGTGGGTGGCAGTATGATAGTTAAATGTTATCTCATGTTTCCTCTGTATTTCCTTTCATGATCTCTGATTCCCACACCCAGGTGGGCCAGCAAGACCCTACATCATTCCTTGCCTCAGGAAGGGAAGACACAACAAAAAGTAGGTAAGACAGACTCCTGGCTTTTGAGTTCCAAAAGCCAAACCTTTGGCAGGGAGTGGGAAGAACTCAGAGCTGAGTAATTTGAAAGACTACAGGATGAATAAAAGTAAAGATTCCATTTTCCTGCTCTGTCCAGCCTTGCCCCTCAACCTGAAAAGATTCATTGAATGGGGTATGAATAGAGATGGAAAGGAAGAAAGGAGCCAGTGATGTCCGTGAGAAAGGGTGGCAGCGCTGAAAACAACCACCATTTTATTATGTTTCACAATTTTGTGGGCTAGGAATTCAGGCAGGGCTCAGCTGGGTGATTCTTCTGTTCCATGTGGCATTAACTGGGGATACTCAGCAGTATTCAGCTGGAGAGGATGGCTCATCCAAGGTGGCTTCTCTCACATAGCAGTGTGGCTGGAAGGCTCAGCTGGGGACTCATGACTGGTGTCCCTAAACATGGCTTCTCCAGTAAAGGGGAATTCAGAGTGGTTGGGCTTCTTATATGGTGGCTCAGTGCTTCCACAGAGATTGTTTCAAGAGTCAGGAAACTGCTAGATTCTTAAGGCCTGGGTCAGGCAATAGATACAAGGTCACAGTCACAGTGTTCCTTTTGCTGTATTCTACTGTTCAAAGCCGTCATAAAGCCCACCCACATTAAAGGGGAGGAGACATAAATCTTACCTCTTGAGAGGAGGAATGTAAAAAAAAAATGTAGATAATAGCTGCTCTTGCCACAGGGGAAAATGGGTAACTATGTGAGATGATGAACGTGTTAATTTGTTCCAATATAGTAACCATTATACTACCTATGTATCTAATAACATCATGTTGTATACCTTAAGTATGCACAATAAAATGTATTTATAAAAAGAATTTGTAGCCATGATAATCTACCACAAAGGGTAGAAGCTCTCTTCCCTGCCCCCTTCCCTAGACCAAGCCCTGGTGAGGAGGAAGAACAGACTCCCTAAATTGGCTTGTAAGGTATAACAGCAGATGGGTACCACTTCTGGGGTTGTGCCTGGGAGAATAGACTCTGAGAAGAGATGGCTGTGTGACGTGCACAGAAAAATGGGGCTTTGTCTAACAGAGTTCCCTGAGTCCCAGCATGGTGTGGGAATAGAGGAATTACTCCCATATGTTCAGGAGCATGGAAGACACACATAAAGAGTTGGTCTCAAAAGGCTGGCAGAGAATGTCAGATGGGATGTTGGGCATGTCAGTCATGCCCTTGTAGATGGATGATAGTGAGAAACTACATCATTACTCCCCTCACCTCCCACCATCACACCCTCACCTTGATACCTTGGGTTTATGAAGGGCCTGGGAAATTAGACAGAGCCCAAGAGAGCAGAATGGAACTTTTTGCAGGTTGGGTTCCTTGGGCAGCAGATTCTGAGATAGAGATTAGCCTGCAGGATGTTTGCTGGGGTGTGCTCTTGGGATAAATTCTTGTGGAGGGGAGGAAACGGAAGCAAGACTGAGCAGAGGAAGAAGCTGGACTGCAATACATTCTCAATGGAGAGCTCAGCCAACCCTTCAGGTAGATCTGGAGCTGGGACGGCCCTTCAGAGTTGTCCTGAATTGGAGGAAGAGAACACCCCTTCATTGATCAGGCCTTGGTTGCAGTCGCAGGGAAAGGGAAACTGACCTTAAGTGAGGAGGCTCCCTTTGGCTAAGCCAATCCCCAAAGGGTCTGACAGCTGAGGGCTGACTGCCAGTAGCACTCCCAGCAGCCAGGAAAAATTTTTTTTATTCTTAAAGGGAGATCTGGAAGCACATTCCAGTATCTACCACTGGACTTATCATAAAAATTATGATGAACCATAAAATGATGAAAAAAGTTTCATTTCTTGCCACCTACATTTGTGAACTGTGATTCATGCCTCCAACATGTGAATTCCATGAGTTCCAGAAAAGAACCATACGAGCTGTTATTCTGATATAACAAGACTGGTGATCTTCTCCGCACCCTTTAGAAAGAGGGAAGGCCCCTCATCTTCCTTCCTTCCCCACAGTCCGTCCCAGTTCCAGAGTTACGTGTGGGGTTGGCTGAGGTCTCCATTGAGAATGCATTGCAGCCCAGCTTCTCCCTCTGTTCAATCCTCCTCCCATCTCCTGCCCTCCACAGGACTTGATCCCAAGAGCACCCCCTAACAAACACCCTGCAGGCTAATCTCTATTTGCCTATAAACTGCCAAACGTCATGTGCAAGTAAGGGATTGTTTTTTATATTTTCTCCAGTGAAAGGATACAGAGGTGCACAAGACAAGAGCTCCTTATTTCTTGGTTTTCCTAGAGCCATGAATCAAATAGGAGAGGGATGAAGAGGCTGGGAATACAACTGCCTTAGACCATACATGAGCCCCTTTGCCAGGCTGTCTGTGAGACATGTTTATTTTATGCTAGTGGCTACTTAAAATTAAATAATGTGTTATGTCTTGGACCCCTTTTCATCTTCAAAATGGGGCTGACTTGTTGTGAGCAGCAAAGACAGAAAATGAGCTGGTCAGAAAGCTGAACCAGGTGGTAACATATTGTGCAAGTGAAAACTCCCAGGTCCCTCAGGCAGAAACTTTGGGGATCCCTATCCAACAATACAGAGGAAGGATGTCTTCCTGAGGGGCTGTCTTCGTTTGTTTGGGCTGCTATAACAAAGTGCTGTAGACTGGGTGGCTAATAAACAACAGAAATGCATTCCTCGCAGTTCTGGGAGTTGTAAGTCTGAGATCAGGGGACCAGCGTGGTTGGTTCTGGTGATGACTCTCTTCCCGGTTGCAGACCGGCAACTTCTCATTGTGTCCTCACATGGTAAAAAGAGGGCAAGGGAGTGCTTGAGGGTTCTTTTCATAAAGGCACTAATTCCATTCATGGAGGCTCCACCCTCATGACTTAATCACCTCCCAAAGGCCCCGCCTTTTAATGCCATTACGTTGGGAGTCAGGATTCAACATATAAACGTGGGAGAGGGGATACCAGCATTTGACCACTGTAGTGGCCATTGGTCTGTCCATGCTGCTTGGTAGAGCTTTCTGTGGTGATGAAAATGTTCTGTTCTGTCCAATGTGGTAGCTATTGGGCACTTGAAGTGTAGCTGGTATGGTTGAGGTGCTGAATCTTCAATTTCACTTAATTTGGCTGGTCGACTCTATTGGACAGCTAGGTCTGGGGTCTTGCTCTCTAAGCATGGTTTGGGGAACAGCAGCACGGGCATCACTTGGGAGCTTGAGAGAAAATGCAGCCATTCAGGTCCCACTTCAGACCTGTGACTTAGAATCTGCATCTTATCAAGAGTCCCTAGGGGATTTGTGTGTCTAACTGAAGATGAATTTTTAAGGCTCCCTCCCCCAACAAAGCCTTACATTCTGTCATCCTATGATCCAATATGGAGGAGAGTGAACAGAGGATTGGCAAAGAATGGCAAGATTCTAGATTTCAAAAGAGAAGAACTGACTTAGACACAGGTGGTTTCCCAGCAGTGGGTCGTGAAGTGGAGGAATGTTCTGTGAAGGGGTAGCCTCTGGTGGAAATTTTGCTGTGAACACCCAGGAGAACAGCGGGGAATCCGCTCAGAAGACCTCTCCTGCTTGCTCGAAGGACAGCGGGCTCTGATCAGAATCCTCCTGGGTGATCACCCACCAGCCCTTTGAGATGGCTGGGGAAAGCCTGAAAAACCACCCCCTCTTTGTCTCTCATCTTGTCAAATTCAGAATCTTCTCAACTGATTGGAAAATATCTGTCGTGCTCTTCTTTGGGGTCAAACACATTTTATTTTATCTTTTGTGTCTCAGATGGATCCTTTTCCTTTTTCCTCTCCCCCATCCTCCACCTGATTTCTACTTTAGTTCTAGCTGTCAAGGCTGTTATTTCAACCCATTCCTACTTGTTTTAATTGCTACATCAGTTTTCTGAGAAAACCCAGAGTTACTGTGATTTCTGTCTGCCCTCCCCCACCTCCCCCACTAGGTTTGATGTCTGTCTTTTTAAACAAGCTTTCCTCGCCTTCATTCCCTTGGGGCTTGGTGCCTGTTTCTTTCTCCACATGGCAGTCATTTTCACTTTTCCTACATTCTTGTTATTTATCTGTAAGAGCCATTAAATCCCAGGCAATAACACTTGCCCTCAGTAGAAGACATGCTCAACGTCACTGTGCTCTAGTGTTCTTTTTGAGGCTGCCACATATTTTTTGAAGAAAAGTTTGTGAATATGTCTTATATCCCCAGGACCTCTCTGTTAGCAAAACAGCAAGGCTTTTTGCTGCCCAAGCTAGAAGTCCTCTCCCTTCCCCAAGCTAGGATCAGGGGAAGCCAGGGCTGGCGCCAGCTGAGTGCCACAGAGTGTATAGTGCAGGGCTGCTCAGTGAGGGCTGTGAATAAGACCTTAAATTCCATCCCATGTGTTCAGCAAGTATCCACTCACGTATTCAACATGCAATCCTTGTGTGCCTGCTGGGGGCCACAAAGAAGGCTGAGCCACAGTCTGGGCCCCTAAAAGCTCACAATTAATTGCAATACTTCCAGGGTGATGCAGGAGCCGTGGATCCCAGCAGAGGGGGAGGTGATTGCTAATGTTTTCACAAGAAGAGAGGAGGAGTAGAGAAGTGAACCCTTCCCCTGCTCCTCACCTTCCTCAATCTGAAGACAGGAAGAAGCTATGTGGCTACAGCACTCTCCATTCTCCAGTTGATCTTGGTGGTTTGGAGCTCAGTGGGAGCTGGAGAACAGGGTCAGGAAGACCAAGCCTTTCTGTAGGGAGGAGTGGTAGAAGGGAATGGAGCAGGGTTCCATCCAGGGGGTACTATGGGCAGGACTGATGGGCAGATGGCAGGGAAAGGACATTCCCTCTATTGCCCCTACTCCCCACAGGCCGGCGGGCAGAAGGGCACTACAACGAAAAGTTGCCACTGTGTATCCTAGACCCCATGTATATACTTTGCTCCACAGTTTGGGGGGAATTGATCATTCAGTGAATTCATTTTCTGGGGCCTGATTTGGATCTGTGCCTTGTAGACTCTGAGCAATAGATAATTGATCATTTCTCTTCTTCTCTCTCTCCCCATATGTATTGCTACATTTTATGGGCCCCGCCAACAGTTTCTAAGCTCTGGGCTCAGACTAGGCTGGCTGAATCTGGAGGGACTTTGAGACAATACAGGTAACCCTGCCCTACCTCAGCAATACTGAGTCATTAGGGTGACTCTGTGTGTGTGTGTGTGTGTGTGTGTGTGTGTGTGTGTGTGTGTGTGTGCGCGCATGCGCACGCGCACGCACACGCGGTTGCACCCATGCACTGGAATATTTATTTGTAAAAAGCTCCTAAATGATTCTGCAGCCATGGGACTACACCCACAAAGAGCTGGGTTGTTTCATACTTCTGGTAATTTCACCTTTATTTCTTTTAGGGTCTATTCAGCCTGTACTCATGTGCTCATGATTGGATCATGACACCTAAATGGGTTTTGCTATCTGGAAGAAGAGTGGATGCTTATTGAATATCCACTGTGGTCAGCCCTTTGACACTGTGGCAGGATGAATGGAGGCCCCAGAGGGCAGGCCTGAGAAGCTGCCCATGGAAGCTCCATGGGCTCCATGGAAGACTCGGTTTTGCTGAGTGGAGTACACTGGACTGCAGGGGGAGGTCAGGAGGTAGGTGTGTGGGGAGGGGTTGGATGTCCAGTGGGAGCATTTGAATACATTCCACTTTCCAATCCAGCTCCCTATCCTGTTCCCAAATCTTCAATAGAACCTACATTACTCACCAGTGCTTGGGAGTTTTTTCAACTTTTAATTAGGTAATATTTCAAACATATACACAATTTGGAGAAAAAATTATGAACCCACATGTACCCCATATTGACCACATTCAGTGATAGTTCATATCAATGTGCTCCCCCAATGCCCTCCCAGATTATTCTGCAGCAAATCCCAGAAAGTGTATAATTTTATTCATAAAAATTTCATTATGTATCTAAAAAGATAAATATTTATCTTTAAAAACATAATCACAATACCATTACTGCAGTTTATTTATTTATTTGTTTGTTTGTTTGTTTGTTTGTTTATTGAGACGGAGTCTCACTCTGTCGCTCAGGCTGGAGTGCAAGGGCACGATCTCTGCTCACTGCAACCCCCGCCTCCTGGGTTCAAGTGATTCTCCCATCTCAGCCTTCTGAGTAGCTGGGATTAAAGCCATGCGCCACCATGCCCAGCTAATTTTTGTATTTTTAGTAGAGACGGGGTTTCACCATGTTGGCCAGGCTGGCCTTGAACTCCTGACCTCAAGTGATCTGCCTGCCTCAGCTTCCCAAAGTGCTGGGATTACAGTCGTGAGCTACCACGACCCACCAGCCATTACTTCATTTAAATTTAGTAATTCCTTATTATATATAGTCAGCATTCATATTTCTCAGATTACTTCAAATTTATTTTATAGTTGGTTCATTTCTATTAAGATCCAAATAAGACTCATGAATTTTAATCAGTTGATAAATTTCTTTTATTCAGCAGGTTCCCTTTCAATCTCTCTTTTTCTCTCTTTTTTAAAAAATTACATGTTGAAGAAAGTAGGTTGTTCCCCTGTAGAATCCTCCATGGTCTGGATGTTGTTGATTGCATCTTCATGATGAAATAAAGCAAGTTCCTCTGTCCCCTGCAGTTATTTGGAAATTGGTGGTTTGATAGAGGCTTGACCAGATTCTGGTTCAATGCTTTTCGGCAAGATCGCTTCGTGGGCGTGCTTCCATCAGGAGGCATACACTATCCAGCACTCTATGTTTTGGGGATGTGAGCAGCTATTGAGGCTCAGTGCCCAAATCCACTAGTTCATTAGCAGTTGCAAACTGGTGATGTTCTATTTCCATCATTGCTTCTGCATTTTTTTGCAAACATTCTTCTATAAAAGGAAACTCCCCCTCAACTTTTTAGTTACCCTGAGTAACAGTGTGTACAGGGTAAGCATGACGCATTTTTGAGTCTTTTCCTTTGCTAACATTCAAAGCAATAAGTCAATTCCCTAGTACTTTGGGAGTTGTGTTTGTGAATGGCAGAGATGAACCTGACCTCTGCAGGAGGAGAGAGGTAGGGGCTCTCAAATTCTCTTAATACCTTTGTAGGAGAGGTGTTAATGCACCCATTTTTCTTTTTCTTTTCTTTTCTTTTTTTTTTTTTTTTGAGACAAGTTCTCACTCTGTCACCCAGGCTGGAGTGCACTGGCACAATCTCGGCTCACTGCAACCTCCAGCTCCCCGGTTCAAGTGATTCTCCCACCTCAGCCTCCTGAGTAGCTGGGACTACAGGTGCGCAATACCACACCTGGCTGATTTTTGCATTTTTTGGTAGAGACGGGATTTCTTTCATCATGTTGGCCAGGCTAGCACCCATTTTTCCTAAATGGGAAAATGGAGACCCAGAGGTGGCATAAGTTAATAAGTGGAGGAGCCTGGATTTTATTTTAGGTCTGTCTGGTTGCAGAGACCAAACTCTACTGCTGAGGCAAAGCCCTTTCCCTAGGGTTATAGGGAATCACCCTAATCCTGGGATCTGGCTGGCAGGAGCTTCTTCCTTCTCTGGCTTGCCAGAAATCAATAATCTGTAGTCTGAAAAAATGATATGTGTATCCCTGAGGCCTAAGAATACTCTTAATTAAAATTGCTTTTTTAATCACAATTATAACATTGTATTGTTGGATTTCAGAATACTTGTGTTGTTAAGTTGTTTCTGAGAGTTAAACCTCAGGCTAGGCTACTTTAATCAGATTTATGTGACTCACTTATTGCAGTATAATACAATGATATCATGATTTGCAATCCTGTGGTACATAATAAACATAATTGGCACATTTGAGTGACGGAAGCTTGTATTGAAAGGGACTTAATTATCATGGATTCTGGGGATTAACCGTAGGAATGAAGGGATTTACTGAAAGTGGAAGGCTAATTTCAGGTCATAAAAAACATTTGTATAGCAACACTGTGTGTTTAATTGGCAGTTGCATGAAGAACCATCAAAACATCCAGCGAATGAATGCATTAAGATTACCTATCAGTATGCTTTGTGTTGCAAGTGATTCAAGCTGGTTTGAACATGGGCTCACAGGATTTATTTTTATTTATTTATTTATTTCATATGACCATATGACAGAACTAGATTTGTTGGTTTATTTGCTCTTTCAACACAAATATGGAAACACAGACAAGTCATGCTTGCTTTTTTAAACCAACAAATTAAAATTGCGAACATGGCTAAATTTCAAATCAGATTAAATAAAAAATATTCTGTATGGAAAGCATGTAATAGCTTTTGTCTTCTTCCTCACCACCTGGAGCGCTCTTCCCTTTCCCTTCTCCCTCTGCCCCCACCTTGTCTGCCTAACTCTTACTCTTGTTAAAACCTTAGGTTACAAGTTTCTTCCTCTGCCATTCCTTCCCAAATATCAAATTCAATTTAGGTTTTCCTCTTATGTATTATCCTAGATTTTCCTGAATGCTAGTGTCATTTTTGTGCTGTTCACTACAGTGCCTGGCACATGGTGGGCACATAAAATTTATAGAACGCAGGAACAAGAGGTTAACTATGGAATCCCATCATTTAATGGTGAGGGACTGAATATATAAATGGATAATGGGCAGAACATACATGACAATAAAACTCTGACTTTAAGCAAACAGACCAGAACAATTAGAACTTGGTTAATGACTACCAGCTTTCCAAATATGCTCCCCAAACCAGTCACATAGGATGCTTCCCTTCCAGTTGGCCTGCCTTCACTTCTTCATGCCAACAACTTTTTTTTTTTTTTTTTGAGATGGAGTCTCGCTCTGTCGCCCAGGATGCAATGCAGTGGTGCCATCTTGGCTCACTGCAACCTCCACCTCCCGGGTTCAAGCAATTCTCCTGCCTCAGCCACCAGAGTAGCTGGGAGTACAAGCATGCACCACCACGCCCGGCTAATTTTTTTTGTATTTTTAGTAGAGACAGGGTTTCACCATATTGGCTAGGCTGGTCTCGAACTCCTGACCTTGGGCTCACAGGATTTATTTACTAAACTGTCCAGGGGTAGATCTGACTGGACTGTAGGGCTCAAGAGCTGTGTTCAGGACCTGGTTTCTCTCTTCATTTCAGGGCCCTGCTTACTTTATGTTGAATCCATTTTCACAAAGACTCTCCTCTGTGGTCCCAAGATGGCAACTGCCGGCTTCTAGCTTTTTTGGCTACAGACTTCTTGGTTGGTATTAATAGGAAAAGGTAAAGGGCCTTTGTTTAATTTTCAGTAAGGCTTATTGGTCCTGAATGGGTCATGAATGGGTCATGTCCCTGAGCCAATCACTGTAGCCAGGGGAATGGGATGCACTGATTGGCACAGTCTTAGGTCACATGCTCCAACCTTGAGTCCAGAGGCTGAAAGTGAGTAGATCCTAAAGGAAAAAAGGGTGGGGCTATCAGAAGTGTGAATGAAAGATGGGAAGCAAAACCAGTGAATTCCATTTTAGTTGTATCTAGGAAATTCTGAGATGGGTTCAAAGAAGGGATTCAGGGGTCTGTGGGTTCCCTGAAATTGTAGTCGCAAGTTTGTGTTAATGTCCATTTTTCAGGGAGAAGAGCCATGCTTTGATTAGATTATCAAAAGGGTCCATGACCCAAAAGAGTTAGCTATTCTGAGATAATGGTGGATATTGAACCAGACTGAATTGCTTTTTAAAACTGAGACGTCATATTTGAACCACCTATTGGAATGCTTTCCATAGAAGATGTAGTATTTGCTCTTAAGCTTTTATCAAATAAGGATGAACCCACTGGGATTATCAGAGATAGTAAATACTGATAAGACTTTTGTTTATATCATTTCTTCAGGTTCTAGAAGTTACAGATCCCTTTTTCTCCCAAGAAAGCTCTTATGGCTGGGTCCACAGGGTAACACAGGTTGCCAACCCTTCAGATGAAACAATATCTAAGGACCATAACAGGCTTTGTCAAGGTTGGAGCTGGCGACCTAAGGCTGCACCAATCAGCACATCCCATGCCCCTGGCTACAGTGGTTGGCTCTGGGACAGATTTGTTGAGTCAGAAACTCTGGGGATGGGACCCAGAAATCCGTGTTTTCACAAGCCCTCCTCTAACCTTACTCGGCACCCCAGTTTGACAACTGCTGCTCTAAGAGTCCATTAAGTGTGGAATGTCTCTTCTAGTATCTCTGTGTCTCTGTGGATAGGCTTTTGCTTTATCCACAGAGGGCAAACTCATGCCCTCGCCGGGGAGCCGGCTGCCACCTGCTCTCCTCAGAGCCTGCCTCAGTGGCCCCTGTTTGCCCAGAGATGAAGATCTGCTCATTCGGGGTGAGTAAAGGCCCTTTGGGAATTATTTCCTTGTGTTAATTCCAAAGCCTCACACAAGCTGATATTTTTCTGCTAATCCCAGGCCAGGGCCGAGCATGTGCATTGTTGACACCAGATAATGTAGTCTTCTGGCCTATACAGTGGCGGATGAGCAAACATTGGGCGGCCAGCAGAATCCCTGACTTCCTGAATGTCTGCAATCACAGATTCATTGAAGTTTAAACGCACCGAGACCTACCACAATTGCCCTTTGCGTTCGCCAGGAGATAAGGTTATCCATGAGCGATCATTGTAAATAACCACCCCTTATTTCCCCTCCAACTTGCACTTTGGATTTTAATCAGGTTCAAAGCCTGCCTGGCATTTTGCTTATTTTCCTTATCTGTATGACTCAAAGGCTAGCCCAGGGATGCTTAGACTTTAGTGTGTATGCCAGTCACCCAGGGATCTTGTTAAATGCAGATTCCGATTCAGTCAATCTGGATGGAGCCTGAGATTCTACATTTCTAACAAGCTCCCAGGTGATACCGGTGCTCCTCCAAGGTGTGCACGTCCTGTGGCCAATGGCTTTCCACCCTGGCTGCACATCGGAGTCACCTGGGGAGTTGTAGAAAGACTGACTTCCGGGTCCTACTCTCAGATGTTCATTCAGATCTAGCTGGTTCAGGGTGTGACTCCCCAGGTGACTCTCAACAGTCAGGCTTGAGAACTGTTGGGCTGACCTGCTCACCCTTCAACCTCTGCCTACTGGCTCCTCCTCAACCTGCCAGTGTGGCCTGCTCATACCCGCTCCGCACTGCACCCCTGGGCGCTCTTCTTCCTTGTCCTTGGCATTCATGGAGAGCTTGTGGTGGACCAGGAACTTTCCATACGACCTGAAGAGGTTAGCGCCACTTTCAGCCCCATTTTGCACGTAGGGATACTGAGGTTTGGAGAGTGATGTTTCTTGTCCTAGGTCACACGGGCTATTAAGAAGCAGCATCAGGACCCAGCCATATCTCTGTCTCTGGAGCATAAAAGCAGCTGAGTGCGTGTTTAAAAGGATGACCTCTGGAGGAGCCATTACTTACTAGTTGTGTGACCTTGGGTCTTCCTCTGTAAAATGGGAGGTGGTACAAGTGCCCATTTCTCAGGACTCTCAGGAGCATGCAATGAAATGACCTGTGTAAACCATGGCCCCAGGGCCTGAACCACAGGAAAGGTTTCACTATTTCTCAACACCATATGGCTTCTCCTTGGTACTTCCTATGGGCCCTTCTTCCTTGGCACTGGGGAGAAAGGTATGAGTATGAGATGGGTGTGATTTTTTTTGATTCATGTTTTCGAATGTGTTTCCTTTGCCCCATGGGGCCTTGCAATGGAGGTGGTGGATTCACCAGTGTCGGTCAGTTGATAAAATTTACACTTTAGTCACTGGAAGATAATCATATTCTGTTTCATATTAGAAACAGAAGTGTCATATACATATAAGTAATTACCCAGTTGGAGTCATTCATTCATTTACTGGTTGACTTCTGTTCGCTTAGACCTCATAAGTGATTGAAGACCACTCAGCCTGAATCCCCCAAACTGCAGGCCAGGCTTGCTCAGCTGCTTATTTTCCCCATGGCAGCTGTGTGAGGGGTGAGGAGGTGGGGGCTCTATCTCAGGTGTATCTCATGTATTCATGTAACTTTTTTTAGAGGCTCCACAACCAAGACATTCCCATTTTTAAAGTCCACATCCTGAGAAACCCTCAGTCCCAGATAAACTGGGACAGTTGATCACCATAGCCACATAGGTCTGGGGCTATGTCCCTTCTTTTCTTGACCCTGACTCCTTAGTGCCTTTCAGCCTTCTTTCCTCATGGAGGTCTCTTTGGGGTGAGGTGGTTCCTGCAAGTTTTTCTCATCCCCTTTGTGATGTGGGCTTATAAGCCCCTCATGACTGGGCACGGTGTTTCTGCCTCCCCCAGGCTGGGACCTCTGGGCGGCGATGGGTCCCTGCTTGCTCCTTCACAGTATTTCTCTTGGCACAGCCTGATGTCTTTCTCCATTTCAGGGCACTGGGGGCAGCTGAGGGTGGCTTTGTCTTGACATGGGTGACAAAGAGAATGTTCATAAAGGTAAACACCTCCACTTCCCTCCTTTAACTGGTTTTTTTCAAGGCTGCGAACAGGCTTTGCTTCTGACAGGCACTCAATGAATACACAGAAGCAGGGCTGTTTTCTTTCTGATGCCAGTGGAATATTTTAAACTAGGCAAGCAACACCACAGCTGAAAATGCTTAGATTAGAAAATAAACATGTTGCAGACTTACACAAATCCTTAGAGTCAGTCAGCAATGCTTTCAGTAGCAAGGAACAATAGTGACCAAAGGAGGCTCACACAACAGAGCTTTGCTTTTCTTGCATAGGAAAGAGTCTGGAGGTAGGTAGCTGCTGATATTGGCTCAGGGGCTCAGTGATGTCAGGCTCTGAGCTGGTATCAATGCCATCCTTAGACTCCTTATGTCAAAAAATGGTGGCAGCAGCTCTAAACATCATGCCTCAGGCAGCTGAGTTCCAAGAGGAAGCAGGGTTGCCTAGAACAGGGACCCTCTCCTTTCTTGTCTCTCTTTTACCAAAGAGGAAACCATTGCCAGACGCTCCCCTCCCCAGCACAATTCTCCTTACATCCTACTGCCCAGAACTGGGTCATACACCCACCCATAGGCCAGGGGCAGGTCCTACCTTCTTTGAGATTAAGGAATCTCTGCCCTGTACTTAAACAATTTTGGGGTTCTTTTAGGGAGGAGTGGCTTTGGCTGTGTGAACAAAATTTATTTCCAGCCCTCTGTCTTTGGGACCCAGAAGCCTTGGATTCTGGTTCTGGTCCTATGACTGCTTTGCTCATGTGTGAACAGCAAGCTGGACAGGATGCATCATCCTCAAGCCCTGATATGGCCCCTCTGGGCCACTTGGAAAGGAAGCAAGGAGGATAAGCTAGTAGTGAAAGATTCTGTGTGAGACTGCTTTTTTTATCAATGGCTTCACAGCAAGAAATGATTTTGAAACATGTAAACTAGATTGTTTTAAAGGGGACCTTCTACCTCAGATGTTTCTGAGTGTCTGTAGGATTGGCCGACCAGCAACTTTTCTTGTCTCCAGGCATTTTTTACAGATATTGTACAGTTATAGATGCAAATACAAATGTAATTATAGACTTCAGTGTCTGTTGATGTCTGTAGAACAGATGTAGATCCATCTGCTGGGGATGTCCAGCTAAGGCCCTAAGCCCTGTGACAGCAAGTGAGACTCAAGCGTTCAGGGCTGGCTGCATATCCCCAAGTCAAAGGTGGCTGAGCAGGGCCCCAATTCAGGGCTCCTGACTTCTGTAAGAAACTTGGGACTTGAACCAGCCAACTCTATCTCACTGTTGAATTATAGCTGACAAAAGGTCTTTTTTTAAAAAAAAAACAAGCTATGCAGGAACAGCTAGTGGGGTCCTCCTTGTGCATGCATTTCCATATTCTGGAGCTAAAGGCAGACTTAATATATATTCAAGTGCTCTCTGCTTGTAGGAGAAGGGGTCCCCTGAGCTTTGCTGGTGGTCTTAGGAAAAAGGAGGTTCATGACCGATGACTTTCTCTGGGATGTCAGGCCTGGGGAATGGAAGCTGAGCAGCCAGTGGTTCTGCAGCTGACAGTCATCTGCCCTCTGGTATTTCCCAAAAAAGCTTGAAGTTAGGAGGTCAGTGTGGTGGTCACCGAGCAGCTTTTGTTTAAGGCTTTGCTAAATGTTTGGCCTTTATAACGTAGTCACCTTACCCTGAGAGATTTGAGACAAAACCTTTCCCCTGATCTTGATTGTCCTGTCTGTAAGAAACCGGCCCACCTTTCCTGGCAGCGTCCTCCTTCGGTTTTTGTTCTTTCCATAATCAAATTATGTCACATGAATTGAGGTGGCTGAATGCTACTGGTTGGAGAGGGGAAGGGGAAGCAAATTCTGTTCCTCCTTTTTCTCCCTCTTCTTCTTCCCCTTTACCATCACCTCCTCCTCCTTCTCCCTCTCCTTTTTCTCCTCCTTCTTCTACCTTTCCCCCTTTCCTTCTCCCTCCTCCCTCCTTTTTCTTATTTTTATTTTTAAAACACAATGTATTGAACATTTAATATGTGTCAGGCACTATGTTAAGCATTTTACATATATTTATCTCAGTTAATTCCCCCAACAAGCTTATGAGGTAGATTCCATTATTATCCCCATTTTGCAGTGGAAGAGTTGAAGCTGGAGAAGAAAAATCATGTGCTCAGGGTTGCACAGCCAGGATGTGGGAGCCAGGACTGGCTGACTTTAGAGCCCCAGTTCTTTTTTTAAACTCTTAAAAAATTCACTTATTTTTCATGTTGAAAGGGTGGTGTGATGAGCACCTCTCTGCCCCCTGGCCAGGTTTGCTGGCTGAACATCTTGGCACTCCTGTTCCATGTGTCTCTTCTTTTCAATATATACAGACACTTCCTTTTTGCCAAGCCACCTTGGCAAAACACTTGTTTGCAGACAAATAAAATTTTACCCTTAAACACTTCAGTTGGGTCTCCCAAAAATAAGGACAATTGCCTTCCTAACCTCAATACCATTATTAACCCAAGAATATCAATTTTATTTCAGTTGCACCACTCAATGCATAGTCCATACTTGGATGCCCTCAGGTATTCCCCAAATGTCCTTGATAGCTATTTTTAAACATTAAATCCAGAATTCAGTCAAGGTTTGTTATGAATTGTCTTTGGCTATTATGAAACTTTGGCTTCCCCTGGTGAAGTATAGTCCCTACCTCCCTCCGTTCTTCATGATCCTGAGTCCTGTGGACAGTGAGTCTTTAGAATATCCAGTTTATAATTCAGTTCTGCAGTTTGTCTCTTCATGATTACTGAGGTTAAATGTTTCTGGTAAGAATGCCCCAAGGTGATGTTGCGTGCGCCCTGCATGACATCAGGGACACATAAGCTCAGGCTCTCCCACTACCTGACATCCTGGTCAGAGGGTGTCCTCCAGATTTCTCCATGTGAAGCACAGCTCTCCCTTTGTAATTCATACAGGCTGGGGAGGGAACAAAACTGTTATCATTTGGGTGTCTTTGGTTGTGAGTGACAGAAAACTCTTTCAAACCTGCTTCCACACAAAATGGGAATTTATTGTCCCAAGTAACTGGCAAGTACAAGGAGATTTCCTGGCTTTAGTTTGCTGGATCCAAAGGTTCAACATCATGTCATCAGGTGTCAGTCTTTTTCCTCCATCTCTTGCTGTTTTCCTTTCTATTGGCCTCACATACAGGCAGGCCCTTTCTCCATGATGGAAAAAGTGATCACAGCTCCAGGCTCACAAATCCTTACAGTTAGCCATGACAGGAAGAGACAGCTCACTTTAAAATGATTCCAGCCTCCAAGGCCCAGGGCTGCCACTGGCTGGGGTCTTATCCTATCTCTGTCACTGATTGGCTAGGCCTGAGTGATCACTTCCTATCCTTGGAGCTGGAATCAGCATGCATAGCCTAATTACTTCGTCTTCTCTGTGTCTCACCCTGAAGGGGGTAGGAGTATGAATGAAGGCAGTTGCCTGTGTGGCTGGACATGCGGAGCCTCGGGGAGATCCCCTGCCCCCAGATAATCCCAACCTTGGGTAGTTCTGGCACCTGCACCTGTTGATCTGAAGCTTAGGGCTCCGGGGCATGGGGGTGTATGTGTGTATGGTGGTAGCAAGGGGGTGCAAACAGTGTGGGCCCATCAGCAGAGGAGAAGGACTCAATGATTGCAAGCACAGGGTTTGGGTTGCGGGTTCAAGGCCTGGCTCCCCGATTTGTGGCTCTGTGGTCCTGCTTGTGCCAACTCTCCACATCTGTCAAATGGATCTAAGAGCACTTGTTGTGCTTTTTTCTAGGTCCACTCTTGTAAGCATCCAAAAAAATTGTGGGCATGTGATACTTTGTAAATGTAAAGGTCTTCTAGGTCTGTAGGGATATGGCCCTTCATTCTACACAGAAAGCCTGGCCATTGGTCTTGTGTTTCCAGAAATCCTTCACTCTCTTCCCATGATAACCGTAGTCAGCCCCCTTCAGGTCAGGTAGCAATCTGAGGGCTTAAAGAAAGGTGGGGTGGCATTCTGCTGTGTCAGGTGAGGAAGCTAGAAGATAGGAGCCTGATCCACCACTGTGTCCCTCACAGAATGAGTTCCCAATTTCACTTTTCAATTGAAAGTATAAATCAGATTCTTCAATTTGTCACTCTGGTTGGAAGGAACTCATTAAATTATATTGGAGATTTTCAGGGCTGCAGTTTTTACTTGTTAACAAATCAAGCAAGTTAAGGAATTATTATTTTTTAGTTACAATAGACGTCATTTGATAAAGACTCAGCCAATTAAAGCAGGGCATGGTGCTGATTACGTGCAGCAGGCAGGGTATAGGGCAGGGGACTTAAGCTGGCCAGTAGATGGGGCGTGCCATCCTGGGTCCTCTGGTATTCAAGTTTTCCCAGACACAGGAAGAACCTGCATGAGAATAAAGCTAGCATGAGGGAAAACAGAGAGATAGGGAGAGGAGATTGCTCAAAGTTTTGAGTTCTTGCATCCAGCCATGTTAAATCTGCTTTGGATTGAGTTTGTGTGTGTGTGTGTGTGTGTGTGTGTGTGTGTGTGTGTGTGTGTGTGTGTGTGTGTGTGTGTATATATAGTTAGTTAGTTTGTGTTGGGTTTCCTATCACTTGCAATGGAAAAGCCTAAGGCACTGGTTATATTTTGATTCCAGATGTAACAAAAATTTCCCAAATGATAAAATCCATAACTCCCAATTTAGAGTGCCACTCATGTACACCTTCCTCCTCCTCCTCCTTTCCTTCCTTCCTTTCGTTTTTCTTTCTTTCTTTGTTTTTCCTTCTTCTCCTCTTCCTCCCTCTCCCTCCCCTCCTTCTCCTTCTCCTTCTTCTTCCTCTTCCTCTTCTTCTTCCTCCTCCTTCTCTTCTTCCTCCCCACAATGATCCAATCTTGTGAACATAAAAGAATCTCAGGGTACATGGTTTTAACATGTGTATGTTAATATTTTAGTTTAAATTTGCATTTGGAAAGTATCTTAAGAATAAAAATGCAACACAAAAGGAGAAACATTTCCAATTATCTGAAAGAGGCAATCTCTGTGCAAAATAGTATATATAAGGCATCACCCAAGCAAGGCAGCAGGGTAGTTGGGGACAGTAACCTCTTAAGTGAGGCAACTGGTTTCTTGCAGCTTGTAACCTTACAGAAGTCATATAATCTCCCTGAGCTCAATATATTTACCTATAAGCTGTTGCTGAGAAGGTTACTGTGAGGATTACATAAGATGAGACATAAAAGACTCAGCCCAGAGTGTAGCACTCCGTAAGTATATAATAGATGCTGGGCATTATTTTTGTAAGTTGTTTCTTTTATGCAGGGTAGTAAGATGCTACATCTGTGTCTCATAGTATGGTAGACTGGGTAACCAAATTGATCCTTCTGTGGAACAAAACCAAAAATGCTGCACAAAAATTTTATGAGAAAAAGACAAAAACAAAACACTCCAGCCTAAAATTCAGTGACAGTGGAATCCCGAGAGGTAAGTGGAATACCGCAGCTGGCTTTTGCCTTGAAGGCACAGCCTTGTGATGCTTTGGGGAGGAGAGGTGGGACCCAGCCGGAGACCCCCTATAAACCTGGGGCTCCAAAGCACTCTATGTTCATGCAATGTGAGCTAGTGCCTGCCCTGGGGACTGCAAGGATGATTGCTTGTCTTAAACCTGGGCGCTGAGTGACAGCAGAGAAAGAATTTTTGTTTCTTCTGAAAAGTCTTTACCACCAGCTAGCCTGAACAAATAGACCATAAGATCGTACCCAACGGCAGACCTCAGATATTGGAACAAAAAGTTGCAGGATAAAATATGTGTGTTTACTATGGTTTCTAGAAAATAAAGCAAGGTTGAAAACCAGAGTAAAGAAAAAGCAGATTGGAAAAAGAGCTAAATGGGATGTATAAAAATGAACAATCAGATTAATGAAACAAAGGCAGGGTGTGGTGGCTCATGCCATCCCAGGACTTTGGGAGGCCGAGGTGGGTGAATCGCTTGAGCCCAGGAGTTTGAGATCAGACTGGGCAACATGGCAAAACCCTGTCACTACAAAAAATACAAAAATTAGCCAGGCATGGTGGCATGCACCTGTAGTCCCAGTTACTCAGGAGGTTGAGATGGGAGGATCACTTGAGCCCAGGAGGCAGAGGTTGCAGTGAGCCGAGATTGCACCACTGCACTCCAGCCTGGGTGACAGAGTGAGACCCTGTCTCAAATAAAAACAAAACAAAACAAAACAAATCCCAAAAAACAAAAAACAAAAAAACCCCCCACAAATTAATGAAATGGAAAACTCAATTCGTGGATTTAACCGCAAATTTAATATTCCTGAAGAGAGAATTCCTGAGCTGCCAGGTAGACCTGAATACATGATCCAGGATGCAGTCCAGGGATACAGACATGAGAAATATGAGACATTGAGACATGGAGGGTAGAGTGAGGTGACAGTGCCTGAGACTGTCTCAGAAATAATGGATGTATCTGATCGACAGATTCAGGGAACTCGACAAATTTCAGGATAGATAAGTAGAAAGAAATCCACTGGAGCAAAGGACAAAGAGAGGAAGAAGCAGCGTGCCCAGAGTATCACACGGAGTGGCATCATGGCTCTTGAGAGCAGGCAGCAGGGGCTGAGAGCACAACTTCTGGAATGGAACCCTTGCCCTGTCACCTGCCCTGATTAGACAAGTCATTCCTGAGCCTTAGTTGTTTCCTCATGAAATGTGCATAATAATCACAATAATAGTTAACTGTTGGGAGGATTGTGAGGATTAAACGACCTAATTCATATGATTCCCTTAGCCCTATGCCTGACATGTTAACAAGATTCAACAAATGTCAGCCTCCGTTCTCTGTTCTCCAGGAGGTGAAGTTTTCAGTATCTCCAAAGGCACTGAAGGGTGGGGGTGCTGGTGGGCAGGGGGCAGAGAGAACCAAAGAGGGGCGGGGCTGTCTCCAGCACACTCCACCCTGCCCTGCTGGTAGCCCCCTTGCCCATCCTCCATAGCATTTCCACATCTCTTGCTCAGTGCAGGCTTCCTTGCCCCACCCTGCTGCACCCTGGCAGGTGGGGCTTTCTTCTCTTTACCCCTACAGAACTGTGAATGGACTTCTTTTATGGTGTTTCTTACAGGGCTGCTGATGATTATTTTTTAACCTATGTAAGTACCACACTGTGCTATGAGCTCACTTTGATGTGCCCAACACTTGCCACAATTTCTAGCACATTTTTTAGGGTCTAAGAAGGATTCTCAGGTGCTTGGATGTGGCCAATATAATAAGCCATAGCTCTAAGAAAGAGAGGATTCTGCCCAGTTTACTCAGTGTATACAGCCAGTGCACTAAACCCCATTGGTAACAAAGCCTATTGCATCCAGTCACACCCAGTAACTCAACAGGGCAAATAACAGGGCAGCAAACCCTGGGGTTTTTGCCTGAGGAGGCCCCTGCACCATGAGGGCTCCTAGGTCAATTTTTCTGGGAAAGGTAAATGTCATATCGGGAAAGAAGGGCAATTCCCTTTCCTCTGGGAATAAGACCTTTGCTGGAAGTTGTGTGATTGCGGCACAGCTTGCCCAGTTGATTCCGCAGAACAGTTGGTGCTTGTCAATAGGCTCCAGAGCAGATGGCCCGTGTGCTAGGGGCCCAGACAGATGGTTGCCTGGAGGCGCAGACCAAAGCAAGAGCATGGAGCTGAGGGGATGTGTCCGTTATCAATTGCTGTGTAACAACCTCCTCACCCCAGACTTACAACAGTGGCTAAATGCAAGAAATATTCATCATTGCTTACTAGGCTGAGGGTCAACTGGACACTTCTGCTTATCTTGACTGGACTTGATTGATCATGGCTGTCATCATTCATGTATCTATGGTCAGCTGGGGGCTGGCCAGCCTAGGGTGATCTTCCATGTGTGGCAGTTAACTGTCATCCACTGTAGCAATAGGGGTGACTGGTGCCACTCATTTCTTGCAAGATGAGGCCAGGCATGTTCATGTGGTGGTGGCAGAGCTCAGGGTGAGCAGAGGCCATCAGGCTT
Source organism: Homo sapiens (assembly GCF_000001405.40). Classification (NCBI taxonomy): domain Eukaryota; kingdom Metazoa; phylum Chordata; class Mammalia; order Primates; family Hominidae; genus Homo; species Homo sapiens. Next base: position 42,412,544 of record NC_000003.12, on the reverse strand, counting down.
CCTGAGGCCTAGGATTAGTACTACCTCATTCCACTGTGATCTATTGTCAGAGCAAGACAGGCCAACCCAACCCCTGGGGTGGGGAGTGGATGGCATCCCTTGATGGGAGCAGCTAAGTTGCAAAGCCAAGGGGCACAGATACAGAGAAGACTGTAAAATTGTGGCCTTTTTTTTTTTTTTTTCAAACTGTCTACCGCTGTGGATGAGGAGAATATTTCCACTATTATGCCTTCAGAGGTGGGAGTTTCTGCAGATGGAATGTTTCTCGATTAACTGATTTCTGTGAAAACACCTTAGTTTTCTGCCAACCAGCCTCCAGCTGAGCCAACACTAAAGACTGTTGAGAAAATAGGCATGTATGGATTTAAGCCTCAGCGTTTATGGCCTGGTTTTAGTTTTTCTTTTATGATTCTTTACATTATTAATTTTCAATTAATCGACTAATTACCAGTTCTAATTGAGTCAGCCAGACAGACTAATGTGTTTTCAAAAGGCCAATTTGCCCTCAATCATCTCAATATCTCTTAACTTTTGGAGCTGAAAAGGACCTTAAAGATAACCCAGTCTGATGCCCTCAAGTCACAGATGAAGATGCCCAGGCCCCAAGAGAGGATGTCTTTGACCATGGCCCTCTGGTGACTAGGAAAGCTACATAAGGGCTTCTCCCACTGTTCCACCTAGAAGGCAGTCCTATGAGGGCCCGGAAGAATGCTGTAGCAGGCAGAATACTGATCTCCCAAAGGTGTCCTAATGAAGCCATGCCCCAAAGAGTTAAAAAAACCAATGACTAACAGAAATTCTTGAGTTTGCAGGATGGCAGGTAAGAAAAGAAACAACTTGCTGAAATACTGAAACTCCCTCTGCTTATGAGATATAAGAACTGGCTGAAATCAGCTGGAACCAAGATGGCCGACCAGAGTCTAGGCAGAACCAGCTTGCTGATGTCACAGACTAAATTTCCACCATGTGCTTTATACTAACTTTCCCCATAATTGCCCAGGGGACCCATAAAATAGTATGAAGAGATAACTGCATATGACCCAGGACTTTCCAGCCCTTCCCTTTCTTCCACCAAATCACCTACTAATCTTAGAATCCCCTAAACTTTTTCTAATAAAAATACTGCATCACAGGAGACAGATTTGAGGTTGACACTGCTGTCTCCTTGAAAATCGACAATATATTGATTATATATTTAAAATTAAATATTTATATTTCAATAAAAAGCCTTTTCTCAAACACCCAGTGTCATAGCGTTGGCTTCCAATGCATTGAATCACTTTTGTTCGGTAACACTCACCCCTGGAACCTCTGAATGTGTTAGTTTGCATGGCAAAAGAGACTTTGCAGATGTGTTTAAGGTTAAAGACTTTGAGAAGCAGAGGTTATCCTGGATGGTCCGGCTGGACCAATCTAATCATGAGTCCTTAGACAGGGAAGGGGAGGAAGAAAAGAGGGTCAGAAAGATACAATGACAGAAGAAGAGGCAAGAGAAATTCAAAGTGTGAGAGGGTTTGACTCACCCTTGCTGGCTTTGAAGATAGAGGAAGGCAACAGAGCTAAGAAATGCAGACAGTGCTTAGCAGCTGGGAATGGCCCTTAGCCGACAGCCAGCAAGGAAACAGGGAACTCAGCCCTGTGACTGCAGAAACTTTATTCTGCCAACAACCTCAATGAGCAAGGGAATGAATCCTCTTCTAAAGCCTTTGGGAAGGAGCACAGCCCTGCTGACACCTTAATTTTAGGCCTGTGAGACCCATTTCTGACTTCAGGGCTATAGAACTTTAAGATAATAAATTGTGTTGTTTAAGCCACTAAATTTGTGGTAATGTATTTCAGCAGCAATAGAAAACTAATACAAATGTGACAGTGACAGACCCTCCCTTTTTCAGAATATCCTGGTGCATAGCAACTGATGTCATAGAAAGGATTCTAGAAGAGCATGTCATGGAGAACTCTTGGGTGCAGACAAGTGGATGATTAATGAAGTAGCATCTGAAAAACCCAAGGAACCAAATGTAGGTGGAGCAACTTCCCTGCAACACACGTCGAAGCTGCTGCAGTGGCTGTTCTTCCCCTCCCCTTGGAAAGGCACCAAAAGCCAGCCTTTGGAAGGGCTGGTGGACTGGTAGGCGGGTATATGGTGGGCAGGAGGGTAACGGGCATGACAATACCCAGCTGCAGGAGAAGCTCATCAGCAAATTCACTTATTGCTTATTTGATGACAGTTCAGTTGGGAAGAGGAGGTTTTTGTTCATTCATTCATTCAACAAAGTTTCATTGAGCACCTACTCTGTATTAGGTTCTGTTCTGAGTTCTGGGGATAATGAAGAGAAAAAACCAGACCAGGTTTCTGCATTCCTGGTGCTTACACTCAGGTATGGGAGAGAGAAAATAAGCAAGTGAACAGATAAATGAGCAATGGAATTCCTGATATTGATTAATGGTATGAAGAAAATAAAGACCGTCTTCTTTGATGGGGCAGTGATCAAGGAATCTTCTTTGAGGTAGTGAGCTCGTATGTGGTGGTCAGGGCAGTCATGTTCCAGGTAGAAGGAATGGCTGGTGCAAAGGACCTGTGGTGGGAATGAAATTGGCATATTCAAGGAAAAGAAATGTGCAAGGTGACTATGGCAGAGTGAAGGTGAACAAAGGAGAGAGTGATGTAAATTCAGACTGGAGAGGTGCTCAGTGGCTGCATCAGAAAGTCTTGTCAGCCAGGTTGAGGAGTTGGGACCTTATTCAAAGTGCAAGGGGAATCCACTGGAGATTAGTGATGTGACTGGACACATGCTTTATAAAATGCCTTTCCAACTGCTGTGTGGGCAGTGGGTTTAGGGGAACAGAGAGGAGTATGTAGTAGAGGAGTGTAGTTAGAAAGTCTCCACCTTAGAGGTGATGGTGGTCTGGATTAGGATGATGGCAGAAAAGATGAGAGGCGAATAGGTTCTGGAAGAACTGTAGATGGCACACCCTGATGAACCTGATGAACTGGCTTCTGGGGGAGAGGGGAGGAGAGGACTCAGTATGCCTTCTACGAGTTGAGATGATGCCTGCCCTGTGGAAGACAGACATTACCAGAAAATGTTGTTTGCTCTGTTGGGAAATGAAACATGCATTGAGATTCACTTTTTTTAATTATTATAATTTAAGTTCCAGGGTACATGTGCACAATGTACAGGTTTGATACATCAGTATAAAAGGGCAGGGGTGCAACCAGAGCTAAGAAAAATGTCCATACAAGTAAAATCTAGTGCTGTGCATATTTAATTCACTTACTCTTCAAATCAACACAATTAATTAAGTACTGTTTTAATCTGTGTTACAGATGAGGAAACTGAGGAATCAAGAGGTTGAGCAATTTGTCTAAGATTACTGCTGGGATCACTGATATCTCAGCCACTGAGGGGTAAAGCTGGAACTTGGACCCAGGCAATCTGATTCCCAAGTCTGAGCTCTTAAATGCAAGGCCCTCCTAGATACTGTATTTGGTGTACTGGTCATGTCTGCAACTAATCATACAGCTTGAGAGTTTGAACAAACGTTTGAAAGTATGATTCTTCTAATTCATGAATACACTTATTTCTAACTTTTGCCCAAGTTAGACATTTCTCAACAGGGGGCAATTTTGTCCCATAGGAACATTTTTGTCTGACATAATTTGGAGGCAGAGCTACTAGCATCTAGAGGCCAGGTGTACTCCTAAACAATCCAATGCACAGGATGTTCCCAGAACTAAGCATATTCCAGCCCAAGTGCCAAGGTTGAGAACCCCCGGTGTAGGTGTATACAGCCAGGAAGACATGCACCTGTGAACGGTGACAAACAGGAGGGTGCAATGAATTGTCCAATTGATATATAACGATGGAGTGCTAGGGGCTATGGGGTATTCCAGGAGGAAGATGAGTTCCAATTTCCAATTGCACATTCTAGTCTGAGGAATGGGACAGAGCACAAAACAGGACAATCATCTGCAGTGTGTCATGGAAGAGACTCTGAGAGCAATAGGGGCTCAGAGGGAAAATGGAACTTTTATGGAGGATCCATCAGGATTCAAGAAGTTGGCACCCGGGGTGAGGCCTCAAGATGCAGCAACATTTGAATGGGGAAAGGCATGGTAGGGCCCTGTGCATTGGGAAGAACCATGCATGAGGGCACAGCTCCCTGGAGAATGGAGTGGGGAGGTGCAGAGGCATCCAGAGAGGGAGTGCCATGAGAATTCTGAGTTTACTTAATAGATTCGTCCTGATAAAGGGTGGATGGGGTAAAGCCAGATCATGGAGGGCTTGGAAAGCCAAGTGTGGGTTTGCTGTGGTAAGAAGAGGGGATTAGCAGTGTTCTCCAAGTGATATTTTGTACCTGCTTTGGGGACATTCCTCAGTCATGGTAGAAAACACCACCTGCATGAGTTGGCCCGGGGGGTTGGAGATGAGAAGGCTGGGCTATGACTCAGCTTGCTGTGAGGAGGTGGTGGGTTTAGATGGTGGCAGCCACTTAAAATGGAAAAGAAATGGAGAAGGTTAAACTCAAGAGTCCATTCTCTGAGTGCGCTCCCCTCCCAAGTGACCCCACTTTTAAAGATAAGGAAGCAGAAGCACTGTAAAGCTAAATGACTTGTCTGTTGTCTGGCTAGTATGTGGCAGGTCTGGGCTTGTCTCATTGCGTGGACGGCAGGGAAAAACTCAGGGGAGTTTGGTTTGTAGAAAATCTGGGGACAAGACTGTGTAAAGGACAAAGACACAACTGGGAATAAGACGCATAAGAGGCAGTAATGGACATAATTCAACAGGTCGGTAGTGGTTCTGCTGCAGTGGTGGGGCCATGATGCTTTTTTTTTTTTTAATTTCTCTTTTCTGTTTTCCAAGATGTATTTAATCACCAAAGTCTACTTTTACAATAAAGGGAAGAAAGGTCTTGAGCATCTGTATCTAATGTCAGAGTGAAATGAGTGAGATACAAACCCAGAAGGAGCCAATGGGTTTTGCTGGATGGAAAGAATTGGGGTTGGGAGGGGGCCTCAAGAGTGCAATTTCCTTAGAAAATAGGAGGTCAAGAGGAGGAGAAGGGGCAGAGTTTCAGGTGTCCCAGATTTGCAGTGACACGAAGCAGAGAATTAGGATGGGAAGAAGTGTCATGGCTTACCAGGTGAGACTCCCATTTTTCTGATGACACTGAACTGTGCTCCACCCCCACCCCCACAGTGCCCTTCTTTCCCTTCAGAGAACCAGTGTCCCTGTGACTCCACCCACTCATCTGGCCACCGTTGCCCTGACCTGCCAGGAGCCTGGAGAAGATGAAGGCATCCGTGGTTCTCTCCCTCCTTGGCTACCTGGTGGTTCCAAGTGGTGCTTACATCTTGGGGCGTTGCACAGTGGCTAAGAAACTCCACGATGGAGGCCTGGATTATTTTGAGGGCTATAGCCTTGAGAACTGTGAGTAGGCCCCACTTAGTGCTCCCTCCTCTCACCTCCTTGCCCTCCCTTCTCTGGCCAAGCATCCCCAACTCCAGCTGTCCTCAGAGTCACACACCTTCTGTTCCATCTTAGGGGTGTGCCTGGCCTACTTCGAGAGCAAGTTCAACCCCATGGCCATCTACGAGAACACACGTGAGGGCTACACTGGCTTTGGCCTCTTTCAGATGCGTGGCAGTGACTGGTGTGGCGACCATGGCAGGAACCGCTGCCATATGTCATGTTCCGGTAAGTCCCTCTTTCCATTCCGTGCGGGGGCACTGGAGGCTATGGTGCTGTGTTAGAGGCCTGCCTTCCAAATGGCCAGAGTTTACAAAGTTTTACAAAGAAGAGGGTGTGGCAGGAGCCATATCCAGGGTGGGTCCCTGGGAGGCTGAGCATTGCACTGCTGGGGGTACAGTGAGATCAGGCTGTGGGGAGTCAGGCAGGCTAACCTAGGATGGAGTGATGGAGACCCCTGTCCAAATGGGCAGAGAAGGTGTTGGGGAGTTGAGAGGAGGCTGCAGGCATCAGAGCCTGAAGGGCGGGAGCAGAGGGCACCAGCTGGCCTGATTTCACCCACGCTCGGCCACCTCTCCCTTTTTCTTTCTTTCTTTTTTTTTTTTTTTTTTTTTTTTTTTGAGACGGAGTCTCACTGAGTCGCCCAGGCTGGAGTGCAGTGGCGCGATCTCGGCTCACGGCAAGCTCCACCTCCTGGCTTCGTGCCATTCTCCTGCCTCAGCCTCCCGAGTAGCTGGGACTACAGGCGCCCGCCACTATGCCTGGCTAAATTTTTTGTATTTTTAGTAGAGACGGAGTTTCACTGTGTTAGCCAGGATGGTCTCAATCTCCTGACCTCGTGATCTGCCCGTCTCGGCCTCCCAAAGTGCTAGGGTTACAGGCGTGAGCCACCGCTCCTGACCCCTCTCCCTTTTTCAAGGGGGCAGTTGCTGCCACTTTGAAAGGCAGAACTGGTTACTGGGAGGAGACAGGAGCTGGGCATCCCAAGGGGAGCTTGCCCACTGCTCTTAGGCGGTCCCAAGTACCTGTGATTAAGGGGAGGTGGTTGCCAGGATTCACTAACTGCGTGAGCATTTATTGAGCACCCACTAAGTGCCAGGCCTTATATAGTTGCCATTCTTGTGCTTGTTAACTGCCAGCTACTCTTTTAAGCCCTTTATAAGTATTCATCTAATTAATTCATCTAATCAATCTAATTAAATACCCATGAGGTGGGTACCGTTATCCCCATTCTATGAATGGGGAAACTGAGGCCCAGAGAGGGTAAGTATATGCCCAAGACCACACAGCTGTGGGGTGGTAGAGCTGGGAGGGAAACCTAAGCAGTGCGGCTCCTGAGTTGGGGCTAAACCAAGAGGCTACATAGCTGGGCCAGGTCTCCCTCACATCTGAGGCGGTCTTCCTGCCTAAGCACCCCAGCATCCTCCCTAATGAGCAAACCTCTTTCCACGCTGATGGGTGAGAACCATTCCAGAGCCTGTGGCTTCTGAGCTGGGTCTTTAGGAGACAGAGTGGAGAGGTTGGAGTGAAGGCCTGCAGCCTTCTCATGTGGCCTGGGGAGTACCTGTCTGTGTTGGGCCCCATGATTGGCCTTTAGCTCCAGAGAGGAGTAAGAAAGTTGTCTGATTCAAGGAGAGGCAGGACTGCAACATAGGAGGAAAAGGCACAGGAACTCTGTGGGAACCTGGTGGGAATCCTAGCTGCTGCCATTAAGAATGACATGAGCGGCCAGGCGCGGCGGCTCACGCCTGTAATCCCAGCACTTTGGGAGGCCGAGATGGGCGGATCACGAGGTCAGGAGATCGGGACCATCCTGGCTAACACGGTGAAACCCCGTCTCTACTAAAAATACAAAAAATTAGACGGGCGTGGTGGCAGGCGCCTATAGTCCCAGCTACTCGGGAGGCTGAGGCAGGAGAATGGCGTGAACCTGGGAGGCGGAGCTTGCAGTGAGCCCAGATCGCGCCACAGTACTCCAGCCTGGGAGACAGAGCGAGAATCCCTCTCAAAAAAAAAAGAACGACATGAGCTTGTGTAAGTCACTTCTAGAGGTCCTCCAAATGGGGACATTAACAACCACTTACGGTTTCTGTGAACATAAAATGGAATAATGTATATAAAATGCCAGGCAGGGCCCTTAGTGAATTACAACAATCACAGTCTAGTTGGGGAGACATACACATTAAAAGTGTAAGTTAATAACATTTTTAAATTAATTAAATTGATTTAATTTAAATTGAAATGATGGTACATTCAATGTCATCCAGAGCTTCCTGGTAGCCAAGGCAAAAAGAGAAATACAGTAGGCCTGTAATTTATATTTCATAGGCAGAAATATAGATTGATAGATATCTATAAACATAGATAAATATAGATATCTATCTATAAATCTATCTACCTATCATCTATCTATCTATATCTCTATCTCTCCAGAATCCAATGGGAGACACATACAATTTTCTGTCTGTAATAGAGGTGGTACTGTGTATTGTGATGAAAATATGGTGGACTATATATCCTGAAAAACTCTCCCATTAGGTAGAATGCAAACAAAGAAAACAAAAATTCTTTTAAAGTCCCAGACTGAGTTGGCAAGAAAGTAAGAAAAATCCCTAGAGGCTAAAAGGGGAACAAGGATCCAGATAGGTTAAGTGAAGGGTTAGAACAGATCATGATCCTGGGCATCAGCTGATTCTCTGTAGCCTAATCAATATATTTTAATGGAAAAAATTTTATAAGAATTACAAGTTAAAAAATCAATAGATCTGGTAAAAAGATGACTCCATCCTGCTACCTCCTTAGGGTTGTCTAATAAAAATCTAAGGATAGATTTATTCTTGGAATTCACTGGAAGACTCTCTGATGTGAGTACCCTGTACCTTCCCTGACATCACTCTAACTTAACTGTCATATGGCAGCATGGTATCTTCCATTTTCTTTTCCCCACAGCTTTACTGAATCCTAATTTAGAGAAGACAATTAAATGTGCCAAGACCATTGTAAAAGGAAAAGAAGGGATGGGAGCATGGTAAGTCTTACATTTTTATGTAGCCTGTATTAACGACTTTCACTCATGATCTCTAATCTGAATCTTGGCTAAATCTTGGCTGTTGCGCACGTGCAGTGCCAAAACTAAAAGGCTCTGACTCACCAAGGTAAGTAGCAGAAAACCACAACCTCAAGGCCACAGAGGGAAGGAAATAATTATCAGAGAAATTGCCTTGAATTGTACTTTTTTTCCCCCAAATCTTGTTTAGGGTTATATAGAAAGCTAGGATGAACATCTTCAAACTAAATCTGTGTTTATTATGATAATCTCTGATTATTTCTATCCTTTAAGTTCCTACAAGGTTTTTGAATACGTTTAAGGTTCTTGATGCATGTTGTGAAATCCAGCAGGCCCATATTTGTTTATATTTCTACAAAAGGTTTAGTAAAATGTAGATTTACTGCACCTTCACCAATCACAACATTTTTGCGATTTAAAGGTGAATAACTGGCTGGGCATGGTGGCTCACACCTGTAATCCTAGCACTTTGGGAGGCTGAGGTAGTTGGATCACCTGAGGTCAGGAGTTCGAAACCAGTCTGACCAACATGGCAAAACCTCGTCTCTACTAAAAAAATAAATAAATAAATAAAATAAAATAAGTCGGGTGTGGTGGTGTGTGCCTGTAGTCCCAGCAACTCGGGAGGCTGAGACAGGAGAATCGCTTGAACACACAAGGCAGAGGTTGTAGTGAGCTAAGATCACACCATTGCATTCCAGCCTGGGCAAAAGAGTGAGACTCCATCTCAAAAAAAAAAAAGGTGGATAATAATTTTGTCTTATCTTCTTTTGTCTTTTATCATATCCCATTCGGGTGTTTCCCCCCATGTTTGTTATATATTACTATTGTTTTGTAATTTTTTTCTTCTTTGCTCTTTGCCTATTTTAAAATTCAAGTTATATTATTTGAAAGAGCTCTTTGTGTATTTGGTACATTAACTGATTTTTGTATATTTATTGCCAAAATAAATGCAAATCTAGTTTCCTCTTTAGCCAGATATTTGCTTAGAAGAGTCTAAAATTTACAAGTGGTTGGCCTATGTCTGACTTCTTTCACTGAGTGTTGCATTTGCTTATGTTTTTGTGTGTGGTTGTGATTCATTCTCATTGCTATACAGTATTCCATTGTGTGGATTCACCGCAGGTTACTTATGCATTCCTCTATTTGTGGGCATTTGGTAGTTTCTTCATTTTTAGTGCTGCCATGGACAGTCTATACTTAACTTTTGGTGAATATGTAAAAGGATTTCTGTTGTTTTTACTGAGGAATAAAATTGCTAGTCATAGGATAAGCATATTTTCAGATTTGGCATATTGTGTCAAACAGTTTTCTAAAGAGATTTTTATCAATGTACACTGCCATCAGAAATTATGCATTTCAGTTGCTTCACATTCTCAACCACGCTTGGTAATTTCCAGTTTATTCTCATGACTGTGTTGTGGTATTGCATTATGGTTTTACTCTGCATTTCCCTGATGAGGTTTCAAATGTTTATTGGCCATTTATGTATCCCCTTTGGTGAAGTGCCTCTTCAAATCTTTTGTCAATTTTTCTATTGTGCTGTCTTTTTCTTATTAATTTGTAGGAGATATTTATATATTCTGGATAAAGTTTTTTTGTTGGATATATGTATTGCAACTATCTTTCATTCTGTGAGTTACCTTTCTATCTTTTTTTTATAAGAGACATCTCAAAAAAAAAAAAAGAAAGAAAAGAAAAGAAATGGGGCCTTGCTCTGTCACCCTGGCTAGAGTGCAGTGGCATTATCATAGCTCACTGTAGCCTGGAACTCCTGGGCTCAAGTGATCCTCCTGCCTCAGCCTCCCGAGTAGTGAGGACAACAGGCACATGTCACCATGCCTGGCTCTTTTTTTTTTTTTTTTTTTTTAACCTTCTCAAGAGTGTCTTGATAAACAGAAGTTCTTAGTCACAATGTAGTCTAATTTATTATTGCTTTCCCTTTATGGTTATTTTAACAAATATCTGCCTATTCCTTGGTCTTGAGGATATTCTCCTTTTTTTCCTAAAAGCTTTATTGTTTTATCTTTCACATTTGGCTCTGCAATATCCTTTCTTTCTTTTTCTTTCCCTGTTGCATTGGCTAGGATCTCCAGTGAAGGTTGAATAGAAGTGACAATAGTGGCAGCCTTGTCTCATTTCTAGTCTCATAGGTAAAGAAGTTTAATATTGTGTCATTACATCTGATGTTTTAAATTTCTGGAGATACTCTTAATCAGATTGTGTTCCTTTCCATCTCTAGTTTGTTAAAGTTTTTTTTTAAATCATGAATGGGTGTTGAATTTTGGTTACCTTTATTTTTTTGCAATTCTGTGTTAGCTTATCCACCTGACTTAAAAATTCAAACTATTGTCTTTTTTTAATCTCTCTTAACTCCCATGACTTTTCCAAAGGTCATATCTGGTGACATCTTATTGAGGATGTCAGTTTTATAAAATTTACTTCTGGATCCTGCAGTATGTTATTTTCATAATAAATTTTATTATGATGTGCTGGGAGCGGTGGCTCATGCCTATAATCCCCAGCACTTTGGGAGGCTGAGGTGGGTGCATCACCTGAGGTCAGGAGTTCAAGACCAGCCTAGCCAACATGGCGAAACCCCATCTCTACTAAAAAAAAAATGCAAAAATTAGCCGGGCGTGGTGGCATGTGTCTGTAATCCCAGCCACTCGGGAGGCTGATGTAGGAGAATCGCTTGAACCTGGGAGGTGGAGGTTCCAGTGAGCTAAGATTGTGTGACTGTACTCCAGCCTGGGCAACAGAGCGAGACTCTGTCTCAAAAAAAAATATTAATAAAGAAATTTTATTATGATGCCCCCTTTTCTTTTTGTGATATTTCCGCATAGGTCCCGTGTTAGCTTTATCCTCTTTACCCTTCCTTGAATAAGGACAGAGTTACCCATATTCAGTATTTGCTAAATGGACAGGTTGTGTGGCTTTTTCTTGTCTCTGTTCACTGTTACTTGGATTATGGCCAGACCCTTTTCTCTGACGTCTACTTGGGGGTAGATTGGTGTGCACATCTCTTGGCCTAGTTTCCAGTTTGTAGATTTTGCTGGTGTGAGTGTCTTTCTGATATGCTGAACCAATGGAGTGCATGAAAATCCTCCATTTCCAGCTTACACTGCTACCATCTCCATCCACGCTGTTTATGATGGCAGGCCTACACTACCCAGTGAACTCTGCACCACCACAAACTTCCTTCTTCCCCTACCTTTTCTCCCCCCGTCCCACATTTTATAATTACCTGCCTGGTTGATTCTGGACATTGTAATCTCCAGATAGATCTAGAAAGAGTGTCATATTTCCTAAGTCCCAGATGGCACAATTTTTCAGATCTTAGTATTTCTGAAACTAGGCTTTATTTTGTAACCAATGTATTATGCCCCCAAAGCTGTTATTAAATCATTGATGAATCTTAGAATAGAAGATATCTTACAATAGAGGAAATCCTATAATAATAGCTGCAATTTCTTAACTGATTGCATTTATATGCACATCATGATTGAATCCTCACAAATCCCTCTGCTATGAGCATTCTTATCTTCATTTTCAAAATGAGAAAACCAAGGCATAGAGAAGTAGAATAACCTACTCGTGGCCACAGCAATATGATCAATCCTGGATCTGTGCTATTCCAAGCCTCAGGTCACCAGGTTATACTCAAAGAGATGGGGATGGGTGACACAGAAGACCTGTGCTGTGGTTATGTAGAAGGCAACCAAAGGACAGTTATCCAGTACTCCAGTGAGTCCAAACTCAAGGTTTCTGAGCAGAGTCAGTGTAGGGTGGTGGGGGAGAAAGGACAGGCCTGCAGGTGGACAAATTTCACTAGTGGAAGCGTAGGTGGTGTTCCTTACTATAAATCATGTGCCCTGAAGGCAGCAGAGACTTTGTCCAGAATCTGATCCAGAAGGTTATGTCTGTCTCAGAGGCTGAGCCTTTTTGTTGTTGCTTTTTTTGTTTTGTTTTGTTTTGTTTTCTGTGTCTTCAAGGTATTTTGGAACTATTAGGTTGTTGCAAAAGTCATCGTGGTTTTTGCCATTAAGAGTAATGGTGGTTTTTGCCATTACTCTTAATGGCAAAAACTGTGATGACTTTCACACCAACCTAAAAAATTCAATCAGAGATTGTTTTTCCTGCTTCTATATCTCCAGCCTCTAGCTCTGCACCTGGCACATAATGGAAACCCCCTATGTGCTCGTTGAAAAACTGAGGCTGCATTTGGGGCCACTAACCTGAAGTCATTCATAACATTTTTACTTTTAAATTTACCATTTATTATCTTTAAAAATGAAAAATAAACCATTTCCCTCTTATCAGCAGCCTCCTCAAGGGCACCAGTGTTAATATTCTTAGAAATCAGAGAAAAATGTACCCACAGATATTTTAAAACACACATGGAATCCCAGTGTCCACACTGAGCTGCACCTTGCTTTTTTTCAGCTATTAATAGAGCTCATGAATCTTGGCATTATCACTACTTAAAGGTCTCTGCCATCGCTGTAACAGCTGCTAGTACCCCACTGTATAGATGTTGCAGGTAATTTATCTGCCAGTTCTCTAATGAAGAAAATTTAGTTCGTTCCATTTTTGTTGCTGCTGTTGCTGTTTCAAAATTCTATCATGAGCATCTTGCTTTTAGAACTTTTATGTTCTTTCAATTGTATCCTTAGAGAAATCCCTTGAAGGGGATTTATTGAGACCATTTGGTGCATTTAAACGTTGGAGAGACCAGTTGCTAAACTGCCACTGGGAGAAGGGGCCCCTCCACCCACACTGCATGAAGGGGCCTGTTTCTCCTCAGCTCACCAGCCTGAGGTGTTAAAAACCTGTATGGTTTTAGAAAATTGAGATGTGTAAAGTGATGTCATTCTGTTTTGCTTTGCATGTTGAAATTACAAAGGAAGTTGAACATGTTTTCATGTGTTTATTGGCTATTTTTCTGTGAACTGTTTACTTATATTCTTAGTCCATTTTTCTATTGGGTTGATAATGGTTTTTTTCTTCATGTTGACCTTTTATGTGTCCTTTATAAATTAGGCTTATTAGACCTTTATTCATTTTATTTGCATAAACTATTTTTTCAGGTTTGTTATTTGTATTTTGATTTTATGGTATTTTTATCCTACGAGAGTTTCACAGATTCACAGAATCAAATCCCTTGGTTTTTTTCTTTTGTGGCTTCTAGATTTATGTGAAATCTCTTTCTTAGAAAGGTCTTTTGTACGCCAAAATTGTAAGCCATGTATTACAACAGTGCTGGCACACACACAAATTAAGCCCTATATTAAATTTTTGTTAAATAAGTTAAAAATAGAATATGATTTTATGTTTTTAATGCTTAAAATTTTGGCCTTCTTGGAATTTATTTTGGTATAAAAAGTGAGGTGTAGGGACTCAGGTTTATATTTTTTAAATGGCTAGTCATTGATTTCAATACTATTTATTCAGTAACCCATTTTCATCACTAATTTAATAGATTGTAATTTTAAAGTGAAAGTCCCCTTATTAATGTTAACTGACTTTGGAGTGTTTGAAATACCTTTCATATATGGTCCGAGTTTCCAGTTAATGTGGAAGCTTGGCTGATTCTTTAGAGTAAGCCCTAATGAACTAAAACCATATTTAGTGTATGGCACTGAGTGGAGCTATGCTAAGCCAGGCAGATCAAGGCCTTCTTATTGCTGAGGTTCCCAGTGAAGGAAGCTAATTAAGCTAACAGGCAGCCACGTGTTCTCCAAAGCTCGGTTGGTCAGCTCTGCAGGGTTGGGGCAGACAGGAAGGGAGAAGACTAAGATCACACATGGCCCCAAGGAGTCCCTTCTGCAATGTCTGCCCTGAGCTATGGAGAGCCTTGGGATTTCTGAAAATACCTGTGTGTATGTTTCCCTGCCACTCTGTAACTATGAGGGGCCAGAGGTCCACAGCCCTGTCTTGCACTGTGGGACCTCCTATCCTGGAAGACCCGTGGAAACCGGCCCGCTGAGGGGTGGGATGACGAAACAGGATTTCTAATGGCGTACAGCTGGCCTGAGTGACTCCCCACCCTGCAGGTAGGGACTGGAGAACCTGAAGTCTGGGTGCTGGCATGGGGACCCAGAACAAGGGAATCACTTTGACAGGCACCAGGAGAAAAGGTTAGAGAAACTCAGTGCAGCTGACTTAGGTGGGGCTAAAGAGTTGGAAGGAATTTTGGAAGGTGAAGAGCGGAGCAGGTACGTGGAAAGGTGAAAGGGGCCCTGGCCCAGGGGACAAAGGTTCTATTTGCAGGCCTAGGGTCTGCCAAAGACTCATCATGTGACTCTGGGAAAGTCACGGAACTTCTCTGAAGCTTACTTCAGAGAAGCAAATGATACCTCCGTTGCAGGGTTGGGGGAGAATTTCACAGTTCACAGTTCAGCCTCCTCATCTCACCATGTGGGGTTTATGGAATGAGTTGGGGGCTGATGTGGGCACTAGGATGGAGGAAGCACCAGTATTCAAGCCAGGATGTGATGAAGACAGCACTGGAGATGCACAAAAGCCTTCAGAATCGTGCCCACGGCAGAGGTGGAAAACTCAAAGGCTCCAAGGGGCAGGCAGGTGTAAATGGCCTGAATGGGGCTGTGAAGCCCTGGAGACCCTGAGTTCTGACTTTGAGGAGCCCTTCCTGTTCACTTCTCTCCACAGGCCCACCTGGTCCCGGTACTGCCAGTACTCCGATACCCTGGCACGGTGGCTGGATGGTTGCAAGCTGTAGCCACCTGCATGGCCCCTGCAGCACTCACCAGTTGCATCTTGTGAATGAAGGTGCTTTTCTGCTTGCTGCTTCAGTCAATCCTTTTGATGATCTCACCACTTTAAGAGTTCCAGATGGAAAAAGACAAAAGTTTGCTTCATCCGGGGATGCAGGATGCAGAATAAACCAAACTAGTTACTCAACTTGGGCCAAAGGTCTCTGCTTTGATTATGATTATTTCTGTAATCACCATTATTTACTATTATTGTGATTTATTATTATTTAATCTCATATGGAGGAATTGAAGGAAGGAAATTATCTGAAAAACAAGATGTGTCCATGAATGTCAATACTAAACAGGAAAAGGAAGAACAGGTACAGTGGAACCAAAGAGGAAAGAAGAGAGGAAGAGAGGCTGGCACAAGCAGGGCCTTCAGCCAAGGCGTGTCCACACTGGGACACACGGGGAAGGGAGAGACCACAGAATCCTCTTTGCACGTCTATGAAGGGAATCAAATGACAGTTGCTCATTTCTTATAAAAAGTCTCTGAAAGTTATAAATAACACATATTTGCATTAGAGAAATTTGGGAAAATACAGAAATGTTAAAAAGGAGAAAAATTTTCCTATAATCTCAGTACTCAAAGACAATTGCTGTTATGTTTTGGTTGCATTTCCTGCTGATCTTTTTTCTGTATAGGTTTTTTATTCTTTTTCAAAAATGCCATGATAATGTTGTAGTTAGAGAGTTTTGCATCTGACTTTTTAGAAAGAAAACAAACAAATAAGGTAAGACACTTTTCCCCTACATCTGTTTCAACTTTAAGTAGCAAGGGGCTTATTTTAAAAGCTTAGTGGCTTACAGCTTATTTCATGGGATGGAGTACAGCTGTCAGCCTGGGCTTCCTGGACACACCTGCCTGAGATCTGGTAGCAGCAGCAGCAAGAGCACAGGTATCTGCTCAGCAGGTCAGGTCACCTATGGGACCCACACCATCATGGGGGTTGGAGAACATAGTTCTTCACCTTTCAGTCCTCATACAGGAAGAAAAGAACTAGAGTAGTATGGAGAAAGCCTGTCAGTCACATGTGCTTCACCATGGTGTTGTAGTTCTTCAAAGTGAAATTTTAGTGCCAGTGAGTATTTCAGTATATGACACACCATATTTTATTTAACTTTTGCTCTACTCTTAGATGTTTTCTTTTTTTCTTTTCTTTTTTTTGAGACAGAGTCTTGCTCTGTCACCCATTGCTGGAGTGCAATGGCGCGATCTCGGCTCACTGCAGCCTCCACCCCGCAGGTTCAAGCGATTCTTCTGACTCAGCCTCCCGAGTAGCTGGGATTGCAGGCACGCACCAACAACACCTGGCTAATTTTTGTATTTTTAGTAAAGACGGGGTTTCACCATGTTGGCCAGGATGGTCTTGAACTCCTGACCTCAAGTGATCCACCCGCCTCGCCTCCCAAAATGTTAGGGGTGTGAGCCACCGATCTTGGCCATGTTAGATCTTTAGGTATTGCCATTTTAAAAACCATTACAAAGAGTGCTGAAGTCCCTGTTTGGGGCTGCCCCTTTTTATTTCTCACATTTTAAAAATTACCCCAACAACATATATTTAATGAAGAAAACCTGGGTAGCATAAGTAGTCATAAAAAAGGAAATTAAGAATATCCCCTCACTGGAAACAGAAGTTTTCATCATTGTCATGTTGCTAAAGTGGGCAATCCTGACTTAGGAAAAGAAACTTTTCGTGTGTATATCTTCCCTGCTTTCGTGTGTGTGCACATTTTTCCCCTTACAGACATGGACTACTACTAAACATACAGTTTTGTATCTTCCTTTTTTCACTCAATATTTTGTGATCTAATATTTCCAGGTCTACAGCAGGGATCCTAGCACCATTTTTAACAACGGCACAGCTTTCCATTATATAGACAAACTATGATGTATATAACTCTTTATTGTTACTCTTTGTAATTTAGAAAAAAATTGAAGAAATTAGGTAAAAAGTGGCTACGTGAAAGGCAGGCAAGATCCAAATCAATTCAGCCTTTCTTTTTGTCTTAACCTTGGTTACTTTCAGAAGGAAGAAATGGCTGTAAGTTAGAATTTCAGAGACAGAACTTTTACTCAAGTTCAGTAACGACTGTTGAGCTTAATCAAACAGTTTTGTGTGGCTTTCCCTCCTCTCTAGAGAAGAGGGTATTCTATATTCCCCAACCACACAGCATGAATCATACAGTAAAATTACTGGCAGTGGCACTTGCAGTTGAGATCAATGTGAAGCTTTGATCAACTTTTTTATTGAGCTGGGAACCCCACATTGCTTCCGAGGGTAGGTCCAAGAACGATAATGCACACGACCTCAATCCAATCTTAACCCAGAATTAATAACCTGCAATTGATGAAAACACTATCTCCTCGAGTGCCAAATCCAGCGCGCTGCCGCCTCTTTCCAGCCCATTGCTTCTGCTGCGGCTCACCATCCTCTAATGGGCACTTGTGTCAACATGGGCGTGAGGCATGAGGACAAAGCAAATGTTAGTGTATTGATTGGAACAGCCTCTCTCGGGTTGCCCAAGCCCACTGATAATGGGTGTTCCAGTGAGCACTCATTCTGGGGGCAGATCTCCTTGTCTGGTTTACAGAATGATCCAAGCTGGATTAGGAAATCTCAATAACAACAACTCCTATTATTATTACTTCTGTTACCAGCAGCTATCATATTAACTCCAACCATATAAATATTACACAGACCTTTACACGATATTTCCAAGCCTTGCAAAACCTCCTAAGGTACTTATGAAATATACCCATATTACAGATGGTGAAATTGAGGCTTAGGGCTAAATAATGTGGCTTTACTCCAGTTTGGTAAGTGATGAAGTTGGGATTGGTATCTCCTCAAAACCTATATCCCCACACAGAGCTCCCTTCCAAACCCTGGTACTATATTGGTATTAATTTTCTACTCCATTAGCTGGAAAATTGGGTCTCTAGTTTTTTAATTAAGATGCTGCACTTAAGAGGTATTAGGCAACTAGTGCAGGACAATGGTCATCGTGTTGGTGCCCAGTTCACAGGCTGGGAAATTGAGTGAATTTTCTCAACTGCACAAAATAAATCGAGAAGACAGTGTGGAAATCTACAGCATTTCTAAGCTTCTGTCATAGTAAAAATCACTTGGGGCAGGCCGGGCACGGTGGCTCATGCCTGTAATCCCAGCACTCTGGGAGGCCGAGGTGAGCGGATCACCTGGGGCCAGGAGTTCGAGACCAGCCTGGCCAACATGGCCAAACCCCATCTCTACTAAAAATACAAAAAATTAGCTGGGTATGGTGGTGGATGCCTATAGTCCCAGCTGCCCGTGAGGCTGAAGCATGAGAATCACTTGAACTCAGGAGGTGGAGGTTGCAGTGAGCCGAGATCACGCCACTGCGCTCCAGCCTGAGCGACAGAGCAAGACTCTGTCTCAAAAAAACAAACAAAAATCACCTGGGGCGACTGTTAAAATGCTGATTCCTGGGCCATGTGTCTGACCTACTGAATCCATATTTCCAGAGATGTGGTCCAGGGAATCTGTGTTTTCAAAGCTTCTCCAGATAACTCTGATCTTGGGGAAACTTGGAAGAAACCGGCTAGTGCAAAGAGTACAGGGTTGGAAAATGTCGGAAGTCACAGGGATCGTTCCTGGCTCTGCCACTTATCATTGAGCCAGTTAATTCCTTGAGCCTCATTTTTCCTACCGCAACAAAGTGAGTGACCCTGGCTGCGCTAGCTACACAGTGGTGATGTTGAGCGGGCAGCAGTGAGGCCATGGGGGTCTTCTGATTTCTGGGCCCTTCGCCTGCTTCCCAGCACCATGCTGACTTTATGAGTAAAAACGCTGCTACAGATCTGCCACCAGGAGGGCCTGGTTGTGTGTGTGTGTGTGTGTGTGTGTGTGCACGCGCACACGTCTGGTGCCATGTGTATCCTGCAGCATAGCCTGTCCAAGTCCCTTACTGGAGTAAGAAGATTGCATCTCATGCACACTCAGGACACTGCTTTCCACGATTGTCCCTAAGTTGTGGCTGGTTTTGCTTTGTATTTCAAACCCTGCACACTTCTGAGCTAAAGGTGAGCCAGGCAGCCTCTGCTCCCCATTGCTGCTTCCTCCTTCCTCCCTGAAGTGCTCTAGCTCCTTTGAAGCAAGTGTTCCTCCTGCATTCTCCTGTTCCTGCCCCTCATTCACTGAAGATTTTGGCTTTTGGCTCACTATTTTTCCACCACTACTGGAGTCATCATTCTTGGTGGCTTCAGTATTTATTTAGGCAAGTCACCAGCACCCTGGCATCTTGGTTCCTTGAGTTCATCACCTGGAAAGATCTTGTCCTCCACTTCACTTCAGCCTATCAGCCTTGCCATTACTAGTAACTCCACCACCTTAAAAATCTCAATTCTAAGACCCCACTCTTTGAACGCCACCTCATATCTTTCCATTGCATCCCTCAAGCAGCTCTCTGATGCCAATAATTCTTTGGCTCCACTGGAATCTCTAAGGATTGGTCCT
Source organism: Homo sapiens (assembly GCF_000001405.40). NCBI lineage: Eukaryota > Metazoa > Chordata > Mammalia > Primates > Hominidae > Homo > Homo sapiens. The sequence goes on along the minus strand of NC_000003.12, from coordinate 42,392,731 downwards.
ATCACCCTCACACTGTCTCTCACCTCATGTCCTCACTTCTCTCCTGCCCTGGCTTAGATTCCACAGCCACCATCATAATGATGTCATGCATGCACCCTCATCCCCTGTGCTCTTCCCTCCGACATACTCACCTGGCTGCCCAATCCTGGTTACAACCAACTTTACCTATTTTGTGTTTGCACCCAAGTAGCTGTACATATTTAAAGAAGAAAAAATCCCACAAAATCCTGTTGACTAGTGTCACTTTAAATTCTTAAAAACCATTATCAAGTGCACCTTTACATTTCTGACCTCTTAGATGACTGTTTCATGCTTTCTCCTCTCTCTTTAACTCTCCCACACCTCCTTCTTCATTCACCTTTAGCTGCTGCTGCTGCTTCCTAGTTCACTGAGGAAATAGAAGCCATCAGATAAGACCATCTGCAGCCCCATCCCCACATCTGTCTACCCCCACACTCTGCCATTCCCCATGTGGTTATGAACTGCGGGTGCTCCCAGCTAAGGCAGGCCTCTCCACTTGGTTCCTGGATCTCAATTTCCCTTGCCTTGTCTCACTGATAGGCCAGGTGCAGTGGCTCATGCCTGTAATGCCAACACTTTGGGAGGCCAAGGCAAGCCAATCACTTGAGGCCAAGAGTTCAAGACCAGCCTGGGCAACATGGCGAAACCCTGTCTCTACAAAAAAAAATACAAAAAGTTAGTTGGGTGTGGTGGTGTGCACTGTAGTCCCAGCTACTTGGGAGGCTGAGGTGGGAGGATCGATTAAGCCCAGGGGCAGAGGTTGTAGTGAGATCGCACCACTGCACTCTAGCCTGGGTGACAGAGTGAGACTCCATCTCAGAAAAAAAAGAAAAAGAGAGAGAAGTGATAATATACTATCACTTTCTCCCTCCCTGCTTGATTGCTTACACCATCAAAAAAACATATTGTAATATCTCCTACTTAAGGCAATCTCTCTCGGCCTCTGATTTCCTACCATTTCTTAAAACTGATATTGTAATATCTCCCACTTAAAACAATCTCTCTCGGCTTCTGATTTCCTACCATTTCTTTAAAAATTCCTCAAAAAACGTATCCAAGTTTCCTCTCTTCTCTGTATTACCTTCCCCTCTCTGTTCAATCCACTTTATTGGAAGCATGTTTATTATAAGTATTATGGTCTCATATTGCAAAATGCTGTGATCAATTCTTAGTCCACATCTTAGCCCTCAGCAGCATTTGACATGATTGATCATTCCCTCCTTGAAACACCAGATTCACTGTCTTTTGGGCCACCTATATTCCTGGTGTCTCCCCTCTTTCTGGTCACTACTCCTTGAGCTCCTTTATTGGTGTCCCCTCCTCTTCCTGGTCAATGTTGGAGGGACCTCGGCTCAGTCCTCAGATTTCTTCTCTGTTTTCATCTACTCCTATAGTTTCAAATAACATCAGTGTTTTTATGACTTCTAAATATGTATATATTTCTTCCCCAATATTTCCCTCAAACTCCAAATTCACATACAAAAATACCTGTTATATGTTTCATTTGACTATTGAATAGACATCTGTACATACAGTACAATAGTAGCAGAAAATGGATATGCATTGAAAGGGGCCCAGATAGCTCAGGTGCAGACTTCTTTATCCTCACAATGCTGGGTCACACTGGACATGTATTGTCTCCAGGTCTCTTATTACCATGGGTACGTATGTCAAACATCTCGGTAGCGGAGAACCTGGTTGTGGTTGGGGTATCTTAAAATGAGCTGGTCATATAAGCATGCTGTAGCTATGTGGCCAGCCTTAATAATTGAAATCCCCCTTCCAAGGCTCCACCAAAACCAGGTGCAAACTATCAGTCCAATTATTCTGGCATGCTGATTCATCTTGTTCCAAAGTAACTCACTGACCCAAGGGTACAGAACATCAGTCTTAGTTAATACATCCCATGGTATCAGCCAAGGGTTATTTGCCCTAGAATATAGGCATGTAGTCAATCTCCACCACTTGCAATTAACCTATGCTATGCAGATACCATAACAATGGGTAAAGCCATGGATGGTGGAGCTGGCAGAAGTATTGCAAGCAGGGCAGGCACATATTCCAGTAAATATAAAAATAACTGCTCCCCTTTCAGTGAGCCGAGATCGTGCCACTGCACTCCAGCCTGGGTGACAGAGCGAGACTCCATCTTAAAAAAAAAAAAATAGCTGCTCCTGCCATGATGAAAGGGGTCCAGTGTAATCCACCTGCCACAAAGTGTCCAGTTAGTCCCTCTGGGGATTGATGTTATATTAGGGTCTTTGCTATTGGTAGGTTGGGCAGGCCAGTCTTGGAGAAGAGAAATCGTTGTTGTTGAGAACATGCAAAAACTTCATCCTTGTCACCATAGCCACTTCGTTTGTTCACCAGGTGTGGCTAGGGAAAGAGGCTGCTGACATCTATAGCTCATCTTGTCCATCAGATTATTAAAAGCCTTGCCTGCTGTGGGCATCTTAAGGCAAGCATTCACACAGCATACAGATATCCTCACGCTGTGCCCATTCCAAAAGGACTATCTACAAATCCCTTTTCCAGACCTTATAGCCACCAATCTCTTAGTCTTGTTCCTTCTAAATCCCTGACCATCCAGCCAAATCATTAGCTACCTCCCATAAATCAGCATAGATCTCTACCTGTAAACATCTTTCTTTCCAGGCAAAATGAACAACCAGTGGTCTTTTTTAAAGTATTGCCCAGAGGGAGAATTTCCCTCCCCATTATGTTCCGTATAATGTGTAGCACTCTTCATCTAGTTGGTGCAGCACCCTGTGCAGATCCATTCGTGAACTTTGTCGGAGCTTTTTCTTCCTCAGTCAACTGATCATAAAGAACTCCCCATGAAGCCATAGGTGAAGACTGAGGGAGTGGAGAGAGGTACTATAGGAATCCCGCTTATGGATTCCTATAAGTAGGAAGGCACCTACTGGTGCCTTCAGGACCTGACTGAGACCAATATTACTTCTGTCACTGGATGATGCCATGCTGCTGCATACATAAAGCCACCTTTGTGACTTGGGCATCAGAGAACATCTAGTTCACAGTAGCCCGTTCAGATCATGTGGTCTCCTACAGTCAGCCCTAGGAGCGAGGTAGGAACTGCTTCTCAAAAGGAAAGTAGTTATTTCTGGAATAGGGCACAGCTTTGCTTTAAGACCCTACGGTGCTATGCTGTGACTCTCCTATCAGGGTTTTCCAGAGGCTCCGTGGAATTAGTTGCTGGCAAAATTAACAGAAGAGCTACAGGAGCAAGTCAGCCACCTGTAGGGTTTACCATTGCGCCTGTGGTGCAGGGAGTCAGAAAGTGGCTGCTGCTTCTAGGATGTCTGAAATGTGTAGGAAACTGCTGCCAACTTCCCAGCAACTCAGCAGCCTTGAGTGAGGTAACTGGCAGGGAAGCCATGGCCTACTATAAGAATTCTGGCCTGTGAATCTAGGGTCACATTTTCTGTCCAGAACAGTTTCTGTCAGAGGAAGAATGTCTGTTACCTCCCTTCTGCCTTCTAGATCTCCATGAATATATATCTGTGGTGAATCCTAGACTGTATGCAGAACCCTGTCATCATGAGCACCTCCGAGGGTCCTGGCTCCCACCACCCAGGGGAGGACATAGAAGCAGGTGCAAGTGGAGCTGGATGCCAATAGACAATGTCTTGGCCATTTGCACTTTGAAGTTAATGAATATCGTTTGTTTTGCCCAGGCACAATCATATGGCTTTCAGTCCCTCAGCAGCCTAAGCTTCTTGGCAAGGCACATAGGCCCTCCTTGCTGGGGCTCTCCAATGCCTCGCAGCCACCCTCTCTTTGCTTCCCTACCTCCTCCCCACAACTCACCCCTCCCCAATTCCCAGTCAGGGCAGCTGTCATCACAAAATGTTTTTATTATCTATTGGTCACCCGTTTTGAAGGAAGATGGAATTTTAAATTCACATGTCAAAAACAGCCTCAGCAGGACTGATTGTCATTTTTACAAGAGATCCCATCTCATCTATGCAGACACTCATTAAAAATAAGACTCACACAACTAGCTTAGCAGTTCTGAATGCTTGTTCAGCAAATGTTCAAAAATTTTACTGGTTTCAGTTTATGTCCAGGTTCCTTGGGAGCCGCCTCTCTAGTGCTGAGCATCTCAAGAAGCGTTCAACTCTGCTGGCATTCATGACTCTCTGAGGGGCCCTCTGCACATCCTGTTTAACTTCCTGAGACAGCCTGTGAATAATTGAAAAACAGCTTCTGAATAACCCCAAGCCTGGTAGAAGGAGCTTGGGTTGAATCATCAGATTGATCTGTGTCTGTGCTGTTGCTCACCAGCCGTGAGCATCCACCAAGTTGCTTGTCTTTTGGGAGTTTTTTGTTGTTGTTTGTTTGTCATTTCCACTTTTAAGATCGGGATAAAATCCAGGCGTGCTTGATTACTGGGAGGCTGATACAACATCTGACCCTTGGACTGGGGACTCCAGAAACAGTTCTTTTCTTGACAAGAGTGCGCATAGCTAGGTGAAGGATGTTTCTAACTGCCCACATTTCATTCTACACATTGTTTCCTGTATATGACTCCCCTTTTGTTTTTTCTTCTGGCCACCCACTGTCACAAATGAGCTCTGGGGAAGGGAGTCCCACTTACAGGATGATGAATGAACAGGGGGGAAAAGGAGAGATGGAGCTGTGAGAATCGCTCTCCTGCTCACGACCCCTGGAGGCTGTGATGACCGACCTTGTGGTTGCAGTGTTTGTTGCTACCTTGGAGCCTGGGAGGTGAAGACCACTGCTTGGCTGACAGGTGGGAAAGGTCTCTGTGGCCCAGTGAGATTTGTCCCAACAATCAGTTGTGGAGAGGCTTCCCCCTTTAGACAGAAGCAGGAGGAGATGGAAAAAGAGGGCCGAGCTGGGTGGGAGGGGTAGCCCTGGCTGGAGACAGGAGGACCTAGAGGTGAGGGAGGTAGGCAGATGATCCATGTTGCTGAATTACTGAGGCAGAATTTCTGAGCTTGGAAAGTGAGGCAAGTTTCATGTTCCTGGCAAATTTTCTCTTCCTTTCTCTTTTGTTCTTTTTGAACCTCCCACCCTGCACACCTGTCTAAAAGGAAATCAATGGCAGCAGGGAGAGTTGGGGTGGTGGAGCAGGGACGGCGATGAGGGGTTGGGGGGAGGCGGCATGTGGAGCACCAAGGGACGGCAGGTGTGGAGATAAGGATGCTTCACCCTCTGTGGCTCTCCCTCCACAGCCTTGGGTGAGATCTGTGTTTCGCCTTCACAGAAGTCAAACTGTTACTGTGAGAGGCAATACATGTCCTATCTTCTCTTCGTCTCTCTTATAGTTGTAAGAAGTGACACACATGAAATTCTCTGTTTGTATGAGGCCCACGCTAGGTGGTTCACATAAGTTATCTCATGAAGTCCTTCATTGCAACCTTATGAACCAGGCATTTGGATTCCAGCTCTATGACTTCCTGACCTCGGGCATGGTACTTAATCTTGTTAAGTCTCACTTCCCTCGTCTGCAAAATGGAGATAAATACAGACAACAATAGCAATGCACGAGGGATTGCTGTGAAAGTTAAATGAAATATTGCACAGTATGTTGTTATTATTATTATTGTCCTCAGGTGAGGAAATGAAGAAATAAAATATGGAGTAAAAGTAAAGTGGGTGACTGGAGTAATATTAAGCCTTGAGGTGGTGGAAGTTAGCAGAGAAATAAAACGCAAATATAAAGGCGAATTTAAAAAAATCTTTTCATTATGGAAAATTTTAAACATATAAAGACAAAGCACAGTGAACCCCCACATACTTATCAATCAGCTTCTTCTATTGTCAACTTGTGGCCAACTTGGTTACTTCTATTCCTACTCATTCCTTCAATATAAGATTATTTTGAAGCAAATCCAAGACATCATAGCATTTTATCTGTGAATATTTTAATACATGTCTCTGAGAAATAAGAAACCAAAAAAATCTGAGCCAACCATTATCAGATCCAAAAAATTAACAGTAACTTCTTAAAATTAACAAATTTTGTGGTTCAAATTTTTAAGAAACATTTTTAAAAGGGAGAGAATAGTGAAATCATCTAACTTTTTGTTACTTCTGAAAACCAACTTCATCCTTGTGATAGGCAGAATAATCGGCTCTGCAAAGATATACATGTCCTAGTCCCCCAAACCTGGAAATATGTGACCTTTTATGGAAAAAAAGGGGGGCTTTGAAGATGTGACTAAGTTAAAGATCTTGAGGTGAGAAGATAATTCCGGATATCCATTTGGGCCCAAAGTAACCACAAGGGTCCTTAAAAGAGGGAGGCGGGGGGGGGGGGGGGGGCGTGGTGGCTCAAGCCTGTAATCCCAGCACTCTGGGAGGCTGAGGCGGGCAGATCACTTGAGGTCAGGAGTTCAAGACCAGCCTAGCCAACATGGTAAAACCCCGCCCCTACTAAAAATACAAAAATTAGCCAGGCGTGGTGGCAGGTGCCTGTAATCCCAGCTGCTCAGGAGGCTGAGGCACAAGAATCTCTTGAACCCGGGAGGTGGAAGTTGCAGTGAGCCAAGATCACACCACTGCACTCCAGCCTGGGCAATAGAGTGAGACCCTGTCTCAAAAAAAGAAAGAAAAAAAAAGGATGCAGGAGTGAAGGTCGGGGGGAGATGTGATGGTGGAAGCAGGAATCAGAACGGTGCAGCCTCTTGAAGCTGGAAAAGGCAAAGAAATGGTTTATCCCCTAGAGCTTCCAGAAGGAACACAGCTCTACTGACACCTTGATTTTAGACCTCTGACCTCCAGAACCCTCAGTTAACACAATTGTGTTTTTTCGAGTCACTAACTTTGTGGCCATTGGGTACAGCAGCAATAGAAACCAACACAATTGTGTTTTCTTAGTTCATGCTTTATAATATCTACTATTTATCGGGTGCCTGACCCTCAATATTATAATCCTTTGAAAGCAGACAGGTGTTAGTATTACCGTTTTACAGAAGGGGAAGCTGAGGCTTAGAGCATTTTAATAACTTAGAGTCCACAGGGCTAGAAAGTGGTGAGGGTAGCATTTGAATCCAGGCTCTTTGTGGTCCCCATAATCCCACAGGGCCTCCCATGGTGCTGAGTGAATGGCATCATCTCTTCCTCAGTAGGGGATTTATTTACAGGCATGCCTTACTTAATGATGTGGATACATCCGAGAAGTGCATCTTGAGGCAATTTTGTCATCATGTGAATATCACGGAATGTATTTAACAAACCTAGATGGCATAGCCTACTATGCACCTAGGCTACATGCAATATAGCCTATTGTTCCTAGGCTACAGACTTGCACACCATGTTACTGTACTGAATACTGTAGGCAATTGCAACACAGTGCTAAGTATTCGTGTATCTAAACATAGCTAAACATAGAAAAGGTACAGAAAAAATATGGTATTGTAATCTTATGGGACCACCGTTTGTATGGGACCACCACTTGTTGACCAAAACATTGTTAATGTAATGCATGACTGTCCTTGAAAAGAGGCAAAAGACTTTTATTTATTTTTTTTTTTTGAAAAGAGGCAAAAGACTTTACAAATCCTGAGAGAGGGCAGATTTAATTAGGTTATTTTTTTAAAGTAATTATCACAGGAAAAACATTTAAGTTAATGTAGTTTGTTTCTTTAAATTATTAATTTCCATCAAGTTATATAAGCTCATAATAGAAAAAGCAAAATAGATTTTGTCGTGAAGATCAACACTCCTTCATTTTTCTCTCTTGTTCCACTCCTTAGGAAAGAAAAAAACATATTCAACTCTTTCAGCTGATGCTTTGGGTATTTACCTCCAATTCTCTAAAGAATTTGCTCTTTTCCTACTTCTTGGTTTGTGTGAAATCAGGGTTTGCCTTACACCAGGAAGATGGAGATCCAGCTGTCTTTTGCTCCTTACCCTCATCACACACACACACACACCCCATCCTTCCAGTATAATGCACCTTTAACTTGGGTTCCATCAATGTTTGGCTTTCACTGTGACTGTGAAAATGCTCTTCACAGCTGAGCCACAGAGTGCTCTACTATAACTTCTTTTTCCTGAACAGTGTTTTTCTTCTTTAGCGAAGCATTGTTTTTGCTTGTTTGCTTAGTTTCCTACGTACTTATCATTCATTCAACCCCAAAAGTTTCTGCAGTTGTCTAATTCTCCTCTCAGGATGTTCAGATTCATTGGGTTTTCTTTCAGTTCATCTTCTCGAAGAAACCTCCTCCTCATGACTTCTGACTGCTTGAGTCTTCACTGGTCTCTTCACCTCATGCACACCTGTCATTCTTGAATCTTCCTTTATCACCATCAATTTCACCTCTCTCCTGAGATCCCTTGTTTTCCAGAGCCTATCCCTTCTTTCTTCTTGGTTTATACCCTTGTTTTATTGAAATTCGCCCTCCACAAGCTTTCTTAGAAAGAGTGCAAGGGACTCTTGAAATTTTTTGAGATGTTGCATGTCTGAAATGTCTTCATTCCACCTTGATACTTGAGACTGATACTTCGGTTGGGTGCAGAACTCTAAGTCAAAAATAATTTTCCTCTAGAATATTGATTACATTGCTCTTGATTAGCCATAAGCCATTTTTGATTCTAGTTCTTTGTATGTCTTTTCTTTCTGGAAGGTTGTAGGATTGTCTCTAACACTTTGAAATTTCACAGTGACATGCCTCAATGTGGGGTCTATTTCCTCCAATATAATGGGGCTTTCAATCTGGAAACCTGTGTACTTCACTTCTAGAGAATCATCTTGGAATATTTTGTGGAATTTTCTTTTATGATTTTTGATTCTCCCTGGAATTCCCATTATTTGTGCATTTTGTATTTGTCATTCATTCATTCATTTAATAGTTTCTCCATTTTCTATTTCTTTCACTTTTTCCTCTACTTTCTGGGAACTTTTCTCAATTTTCTCGACTTCTTTCAAACCTTCCATTTATTTTTCATTTCTATTTTCATGTTTTTTATGTCTAAGGGCTTTCTTTGCTCTCTGAATGTTTCTTTCTCCCTTTTTTATTAGCATCCTATGTTGTTTTGAAGATGCAATTCTGGTTTTTTCTTTTTATGATACATTTTTGTTAGTTTCTTCTGGCAGCAGTCTCTTTCTTTCTACCTATTTATTTTATTTACAGTCTTCTCTAAGATGTGTGTTGATCCCTGTTTGGTTATTTATATTTAAGAAGCTGATTGGAGCTTTCAGTTAGTCAGGTTCATCAAGTTATATAAGCACATAATATAAAGAGTAAAATAAGGTTGGTTTTTTTTTTTTTTTTTTGGTGGAAATCAGTTGTTACTGGAGATACTGGAGATGATGGGGTTCACCATGGAGCCATCCGGCTGGACAGTTTCCCTGCAGGCATCACTGATGTCAGGTCTTTCACTCTGCCCTCCTAGGCTGCCCATGTTCCCCAGAGAAGGTTGCTGCAGCCTCCCACCTGGAGTATATAGGCTTGGCTGCCCCATTCTTGGAGCCAGTTTGGGAGGAAGGTTGAGGAGTAGGCTGGGTCTCATCTTTCACATGTATAAATGTTTATTTAAACCTCTTGTTTTCAGTATAATACTCCTGCCCTAAACTGTGCCTGATGCCCCCAGTTCAGAAACCCCCAGCATTGACCTCTTCAGATAACTGAATGATAGTTTTCTGCTAGAGTAGTGGGGGACAAGCACCTGGTTGTGTGGAGTGGAAAGGAAAGCTGGGGCCTAACTGACTCTTAGGCAGACTTTGAGCCACTTAGCCTCGCTTTACCCTCACTGCCAAGCATCACTGCTGCCGGTTGTTCCTGAATCTCTGAGGCCGCCTAGGGGCAACTCCGGCTGTGTCTGTTCTATGCTGGCCAAAGAGTCAGCTTTCTAGGGTCTGCTACAGCAGGTGCTATGCATGCTCTGCTTTCCCATTTCTAGCAGGCTGTCCAGTTGTCTCTTCTGCTTGTCCTTGAAAGTTTATGTATTTAAAAAATTCCTTTAAGCTAAAATGGAGGCCATTCAGGGAGGCTGTTCAGAGTAGGGACCTTGGGGTTCAGTGGATCTGGGCTCTAGTTCCAGCCCCATGGTTTACTAGCTGTTGGATCCCCTGGAAAGTTGGTCATCTCCATTTCCTGATCTATATAAACAGGGCAATCAGTAGAGAAATTGGGAATTTAATATAATGATTGGGGTTATATAAGGATTAAATGAGATGTCCCCAGTGCATGGTATACACTCAATAGTCAATACACGCTAGCTAGTGTACCTCAATAATAGCAATAATATTTTTCTTGATAAATATTAATATGACATATTAATATGACATATACTCTGGAATAGATTGGAATCCTGGTAAATAAAGATTTGTCAAAGACTGTCTCTTCCCTGGAGCAAAGACTATCTGTCAAGACTACACGCACACACACACAGAAACACAATTTCTATATTGTCTGCTATGGCCTAATTTAGCACATTCTATGATTAAGGAATATCTTTCTAAAACTTTGTTGAGCAAGGGAGAGAAATGGGTCAACCACTGGAACATTGCACAGCCCAATCCACCAAAGCAGGCTGCAAATATCAGTTGTAGTTATTAGTGAAAGACTTTGTATATACAACACTGAGCACCGTTTCTGGCAAACAGTAGGTGATCCGTATGTGTCCTATGACATTGGATCTGTGTTCTTACTTCTTCTCCTCTCTAGAATTGGCCTGCTCTGTTTTGCCATGGTGGATGCTTTAAAAGTTTTAAAGTGCTTGTTGGAATACAGTGTGATCCCTAGGATGTTTTTCCCCCTCACAGAAAGCTACAGTTTTTAGCTCATGTGCTTTAGAATAAGATGCGCAAGTCAGAGTGTAATCCACTTAGATCCTAATGAAAGTCACTGGCCAGGACTCCGCCTTTAGGAGGGAGGTCTCTCCCACTGAGTGTCTTGAAGGGTAAATGTAAATAACAGTTTCCATGACTAAAAGGTAGATTTATTTCTGTAGAATTTTATATTTTACAGTGATCTCCACCCAGTGAAACGGGGCCTAGCAAAGAAGCCAGGAAATTGCTTACCCTTTCCCATGAGACTTGGCCTTTAAAATACTTACAACTTTTGGTCACTTTTTGCCATTTCAGATAGATTTTCCTTCCAGAACATTCCAATTTATTACCTCGGTGGTAAATTCTTGCTCCTTCCGGATGTGCTGTCGTTTCAACGCTGGCTTTCATTTTCTGTAGCTTTTTTCCGAGTTCAGGATCATATGTCAGTTTTAAGCCAGTTGACTTTGATCACTTTACACAGCCGGCAAAGAATATGGCCTAGTTCATCCCTTCTTCATTATTTTTAAGTGAAATTTTAAAATAATCTCTTGGTTTAGTTCATTCCTGGGGGGCAGGGGATGACTTTCTTTCGATGAATTGATATAGATTGAAATACTAAAATCTGAAAAAAATTCAAAATTTCATGCAGGTCTTGGTATAGGCATTTATGAAATGAAGGGGGTCAAGGAATAGTTTAAAGAACAGGAAAGGTCCAACATCAGTCACTGCATCAATTAGCTTTTATCACAACAATGCTATGTAACAAACCACTCTAGACCTCAGTAGCCTACCATAGCAGGCATTTATCTTTCTCTCCCATGTCTGCAGGTGACCTGATCTAATTTGGGCTCACTAGGACTTGGCACTAGCCAGTATTGGGTTCAGGTCTGCAACATTGAGTTTTTCACTTTTCTGGGACCACTGAGCTACCCTCAGAAGCACTTCTCAAGGCAGAAGCATAGGAAGGCAAACCCAACCACACAACTATATTTTATGCCACAGCGGCTAACATTCCATTGGCCAAAGCCAATAACATGGCCAAATACAAAGTTGGTAGGCAGCAGGGGTAGACATCAACCATGGGGCCAAAATAAGACCCAGGGCCCAGCCCCACATTGGTGGAGCAAGGAAGCACACTTCCCCCATGGAAGTGTGGTGGGAAAGTGAATATTTGTTAGCAGCCATCCTTGACTAGTTTACTCCAGAAGCTCCAATAAGAAGAAATCCTGTAATGTAGATGTCTGTTCTTTTAGATCAGTGGTTCACAAAATATGGTCCCTGGGCCAGCACCATCATCATCATCACCTGGGAACTGGTTAGAAAGCTGGTCTCCGGGCCCCACCCTAGACCTACTGAATCAGAAACTCTGAGGGAGGGACAATTATGTATACAGAGAACACTCTGCTGTTTTGATTTTAATACAAAGGGATTGAGTTCACATTGACAAGGGAAGTATTATTTAACATGGTTCAGCTGCCCACTAACCATTTTCACCAAGAGAACTTGGTAAATGCAAGGGCTGCTTAGCTCCAACGTTTTATTTACTCCATGGCCCTTTAGAGGAAGCAGAAAGATCATGAACATAAATATAGGATTTACAATTTATCAGTTATGTGACTTTGGGCAAATAACTTACACTCACAAGATTCCCAGTTACTTATCTATAAAACAGGGCAGTAAACACTGTCCTTTTTTGGGAAAGTGCCTGAAATGCAGACATGGACCCCCTAGCCATAGGTGATGAATCCAGGATGGACAACTGATCTGTCTTAGGTTCCAGCCACTGTTACAGATTACTACAGGCTGGGTGGCTTAAACAACAAACATTATTTCCCACAGCTCTGAAGACTTGAAAGTCCAAGAGGTGGTGTCCGATGAGGGCCCACTTCCTAGTTTGCAGACGGCTGTCTTCTGCAGTTGCCCATCAATTGCTTACACTTTCCTGTGAGACTTGGCCTTCAAAATACTTACAATTTTCGGTCACTGCTCATATGGCAGGAAGGAGAGAGAGAGATCCTGTGTTTCCTTCCCTTTTTGTAAGAGCACTAATCCCAGGATAAGGGTCCTACCCCCATGAGCTAATCTAATCCTAATTACCTCCCAAAGGCCCCACTTCCAAATACCATCACATTGAGGATTAGGATTTCAACATATGAGTTTTGGGAGGGCACAAAGATTCAGTCCATAAGAGGATCGGAGTGAGTCAATCTGATTGTCTTTTTGAGGAGTTTGGGATTTTGCAATGAGAAACACAGAGGCTGGAAGACAGCAGAGCTGAGTTTCTTTGATGGCAGAGTTCTGGAGAGGAGAGACATAACTCCCAGTGATGAAGCAGCTGGGTCTTCTCTTGGTTCCTGGCCTTCTGGAATTTGTGAGATAACATGAGGGCTTCTAATAAACTTCCCTTTTGCTTGAGCTAATGTAGTAGTTTGAGAATATGGCTGGCCACATTCTTTGATATCCCTCCTCTCAAGAGGCAAGGTCAATGCCCCTCCCCAGATTCTGTTAATTGGTAATTGAATAACTATTAGAATACAGTGGAAGTTACATTGTGCCATTTTCCAGGCCCAGGCCTTAAGAAACTGGCACTCACACTTTCTTTCTCATGGTGCTTTTCTCTTAGAACCCAGCCCCTATGTTGAGGAGATGTCCGAGCTGCCCACAGGGGCACCCAAGTGGAGAAGAATGAACAGCCAGCACTGACTAACCAGCAATATGAGTGAGGCAGTTTGGAAGTAGATCTTCCTGCCTCAATCCAGCTGTCCCAGTTGATGCCATGTGGAGCAGGCATAAGCTGACCCTGCTGAGCCCTGCCAAATCACAGACTTGTGAGCAAACAATCATTGCTATTGGTATAAGCCACTCAGTTTGGAGTGGCTTGTTATGCAGCAATAGGTGAATAGAGTCACCAGCTGCAGTTTTCTTTTCTGTTGCTCACAAGCAGAAGAGCAGCAGCACAGAGATTAAGCACTTAAGCTCTGGACTCAAATCCTGCTTTGCAACTTGCTAGGTGCGATTTTTGGGCCACCTGTGACATCTTTATGTAATTCAGTTTTCTCACTTGTCAAATAAAAAGAGAAATAGAAAAACAGTGGTTTTTCATCAGATTGCTGCGAGAATGAAGTGAGATTATGCATGTAAAGTATTTAGTGTGGGTCACCAGCACAGTGAACAGTAAGCACTAAATCTACACGTTAGTTGCACTCCATCTTACTAATATAGAGATGAGTTTCAGGAATGGGCTGCAAGGTAGTGCACCTTAACACGTGGAACCAGCTGAGTTGAGGTGCACTGGGAAGAAGTGAGGCATCCCTAACCCCAGCCTGGGGTGCTGGCAGTCCTTTTACATACAGGGACAATGCAATCCATTAAACAACCTTTTATTGTCTCCCAGAAGCCAGACCATGTGTTCAGTGGTGGAGACTTGGGGACAGACCAGCAAAATATCAGAGTACTTCAGGGATTAGAGATCGTCTACAGACTTTAGTAAGTGACTCAAGAAGGATACAAACTCCAGACAAGCTGGGATGGCCACTTGAAAGCAGTGTGACAGCAACAGAATGGATATATAACTTTGGCAAAGGAAATTCTTGCTGTCAACCCTCTGAGGCCACTGGGAGTTAAACAGTTGGGCCTTGCTAAATTTCAGAGGCCACATTCTCTGCTACCTGTAAATAAGTGCCTTGATGAACACTGTAGGCCCCTGTAATAGAGATGCCTGGGAGAAACTAGGGGAGATGGGAATGGAATGCTGATTTTGTACCAATCTCAACACTTCCTGTTGGGACACTGGGGACTTTGCCACCACCAAAGTGGCTGTTGGCTCACAAGTTCTGCTCCCCTGGGAACAGCTCATGAATCCTGTGTGGATGAGCCCTCATAGGCTTTGTCTACAAAAAACATACCCACCCCCTTGGCCATCCCTGATAGATCCAGGGGAGAACCCAATCTTGGCTGTATCTATCACAATCTTTGTCCTTGAACTGAGAGACATAGACCTTGGCGAGCTGAGTCATGGTAATGTCAGTGCACCAGAAAGGCAGTCAGCAAACCCACTGCTGAGTCCACAGATCTGCCGAAGGCTCCTGCCTTTCTCCAGCCTTGGTTGGAATTATGGTTGAAGTGATTCTGAGGTCCTTTAAGATGACTAAGCTGCACAGGACCTTACCATGTATCTGTTGGCATGTATGACTTGGGGTGAAAAATATCAGGCCCAGATAATAGTCAAATTACCTCACTTTCTGCAAGCTAAACACAGTCTAACTGCATTAGTGACACACACACACACACACACACACACACACACACACACACACAGAGAGTCATGCATCACTTAATGATGGAAACATGTTCTGGTAATTTCATCGTGTGGATATCAGACAGTGCCTTTACACAAACCTAGATGGAATAACCCACTACATACCTAGGCTTTTGTGTTTTTCCCTATCACTCTGTGGGACATAGTATTTGCCTAGTATCCCTACATGTAAGGAAGAGAGAATAGGATAAACTCAGAATGGCACCTGGTATACCCAAAGAACTGCTTGGGGGATAGTTGATTTTCAAGCTAGCTGGAATTGGTTTCTCTCTTTTGCCACCTAAGGAAACTTATTATAACAGAGATTTTTTCAACCCAGAAAATGATCTACCCCATAGGCAGACAGTGAGGGTTAAAGGAGATTGTATAGTCAAGTTGACTAGCCTAGTTCCTGGACAAATTATGCTCAACACACACCCTATTCCCTATTCCCTGCTTCTCCTGGACACATGCTCGGGAGACTCACTTGTCACCAAAAGGTCAGACTGCTCTGGAATACTGTCCTACTGCTTCAGGATCCTGCAGCCCTTTGCCCCATCTCATTTCCATGCCTAATGCAATTTTAGAGCATGATGTGTAGTAAGCATGGCTAAAAATTCTGGAAGATTTATTACATTCCCTTGTTCTATAGATCAAGGACAATTTTTAATAAATCCTTGCTTTTGCTGAATGATTTAATATGCCATTGTCTAGGCAACAGAATTGTCTTCAATTAGATTTTAAAACTAATATAGGAAGAAACTTTCCCCTTTCCTTGCCAACATTATTAGATAAGGCCATAAGTCCTGATCAAGAACAAAATTTGCTGGTGCCTCATGGGGACCTTGAAACCGGATTCTCTTTTGCAGCAGTATGGCTCCCTACCTTTTATTCCAGGGCAGGCACCCTGTTGAGGTGGTTGAGGCTACCAGTGGGAAGTGCCCACAGCCACATAGGGCCAGGTGCTGCTCATATAGAGAGATCCGCCCCCGCCAGAGGAAACTGACTTTGGAGAATGAGTCACTCGTTGGGGTCTGGCCCTCAGCCATGTAAGCTCAGAAATTCAATCTTTTAAGTTCCAGAAGTTATTGGATGCTTGAATAAACAACCACTGAGGGACCTGAGAACAAACTGGAAAGAAAATTGACTAATTCTGAGCAGTCTGGAGGTTCACATCAGCCAGATGAGCACATGTTCTCCCTGGAGGCATTGATCTTGGGAAGCCATGTTATCCCAGAGTGGCTTCCTACCCAGGAACTGGCAATGAAGGGCTATTGATGTAAAGTGATGTTTTAATGGCCCCAGGCTTCCCAGGGCAGAGGGTGGGGGGGCACCAACAATGTTCAGCCTCTACTTCCCCACCTTCAGGCTTCCCTGGTCAGCCATGGCCTCCATCAATGGTCCCATTCTCCCTGCGAAGGGTGGATTCCACTGCAGGCCTGGAACTTGTTCTTGGGCCTCTGCACTTCTGCACATTCCTTAATGAGCTGATTTTATGGCTTAACTCTCAGGACATCCTTAATTCCTTCATTTCCACAACCTTGAGGGGTCTGTTTTAGTCGCCCTTATGTGGGTAGAATCTTGGTTTTGATGGCACATGAAGGTGGGGAGGATTGTGGATTTGGGTGGCAGGCGGTGCCATTCTGAGTAGTGTGATAACAGGAGTCACTGTGAGGTGCTGTCGATACACACCTCAGAATCATTAGCTCCTTTAATCCTTCCCACAATCCTGTAAGGAAAGTACTAGTATATTTCCCAATTGACTGAATTCATTCCATCTTTATAACAATGTCTTAAAAGAACATCCAATGTCCCCGCTCCTGCTTTCTGCTGCTGCTGGTGGAGCCTGAAGATAAAGAGGGGGAGTCAAAGGGCTAAAGAGAAGCATAATATATTCTTTAATAAGGAGAACTCTGATGAGCATATTCCTCATGCTTTCTTGTTCATATTACAGAGCATATTTTCATGAATGTGTTCTCCTTATGCCTCCTCAGCCCCCAGCCTGCCTCTCTAGTCCTGTCTCCCCGGCTCTTCCCTCAGCTTCCCTCTCTCTGGGTACTTCAGTCTTCAGTCGAAGAGCAGAGTGCTAAGGCAGACACAAGTTGCATATTTCATAAAATCCTATTATGTAGACAAGATGAAAGCTGGCTAATGAGAACAGAATACTTAAAAGAATCAGATAATTTGGTGGCTCGCTCATTTGGCAGGATGGCTCCCAGTGTACTGGGCAAACTTAGCCATTTGGCTTGACTTTTGACTGTCTTTAGGTAAAGTAACCAGGGCTTGTTTTCCAAATAAGGAAAGCAGAAGCTAGAGAGGCTGAGGAAGTTGCTGGATGTCACAATAACAACGGTTAGATCGACTATTCTACAAAAGTCTGTCTGAAGCTGAGTTGGTGTCTTTGTGCCATTCAGCAGGATAAGAGCACAGGAGAGAAGACAGGATAGAACTCAGAATGGCTCTTGGTGTAGCTGAAGAACTGCTTGTGGAGGCGGGGGGATCCTTGATTTTTAGGCACCAAAAAGTCAGATACTAGGCCAGGTACAGTGGCTCACACCTGTAATCCCAGCACTTTGGGAGGCTGAGGTGGGCGAATTGCTTGAGCCCAGGAGTTCAAGACCAGACTGGGCAACATGGTGAAACCTGGTCTCCACTAAAAATACAAAAAATTAGCTAGGTATGGTGGTGCACCCCTTTAGTCCCAGCCACTCAGGGGAGCTGAGGTGGGAGGATGGGTTGAGGCTTCAGTGGGCTGTGATCATGCCACTGCACTCCAGCCTGGGCAACAGAGTGAGACCCTGTCTCAAAAAAGTTTTAAAAAAAGTCAAATACTATGAATGCCAGAAAGGAGAGAAAATAATTGAGGAGCAATTAGAAAAACTTAATTTATTGTAAGAAAATACACAATGCAAGGTGTGATGCTCTGTGGCTCCTGTCACTTGGCACCAGTGGCGAGGATACAGCAGGGACAGGTGGGGACTGAGGTGAGCTGAAGGGAGGGCCGTATCAGTGTTGTTGATTCTGTAATTTTTCAAAAACAGCTAGAAATCCTGATTTTGATATTAAATCTCCCAAGTCGTAAGTGTAACTTCAAATTAATTCATACTGGCTCAGGATATCGGTGGCCTCGACAGTTGGTTGGCATGAAACCATCACTAAATCCCAAAGCTGGGTGAAAAGTACTGTGCTGTGGGGGATGAAAATTCTGACTACAGTGAAGAATAGATGAAGAGGTCAAGAAGTACTTACAAGAATAACATTTTACCACTAAAAAGAAATCCATTTCAACTATGTCACCCCCTGCACTTGGAGTGAATAATTTAAAGTACAGGTTTTGGAACCAGAAAAGTCTGTTGCTGAATCCCAGCTCTACCACTGATTTGCTCTGCAACCCACAGCAAATCGATCAACCTTTCAGTGCCTTTGTTTCCTCACACCTTAATTCCTGAGCTTTCAATGCAATAAGATATATGAAAAGCAAGATAAGGAGCAGATGGAAGGTTCTTAAACAATGGTACTTGCTAAAATAGCAATACTGAGAATTATCATTGTGATAATAATGATAACTATTATCAGTAAATTTATAAACCTCGAGGAACGCTCTACTGGGAACTCGGTTTCTAAAAGTTATTTTCCTGGGTGTTTTTTCCATGAGGATGATGAGGCATTTTGGTCTTACTTTTTCATTTCATTATCCTTACATTTAGAAGTCACAAAGCCTAACCCATATATATATACATATTAGCAAATATATACATGTATTTTTATTTCTGTCTGCAAAGCATTCAGGGAACTCAAGTAATCCATTGAAATTCAAACCCAGTGGGAATTTCTGACACTGGACTTTAACAGCTTAAGGCATCTCAAAAAGCTTCTATCTACTGACCTTTAAGGGAAGGTGTGCTTTGGGAGGATTCACACAGAATTCAGCCACTTTCTGATGCACAGGGCTTCTTAATTCCATTCTTCATCCCTTCCTGATTGTGCATGTCTTAGTGTGCTATTCAGCTTAGCCCAATCTGTAGTCATTGCCGGCAATGAGAAAAGTGGTCGTTCTTAAGGTTCTCCCCCAAGGACCTGCACACACACATGCACACCCTCCCCCACGCCCATGCTATGGCTAAAGCTAAACAGCTTGTACTAAGAGCTGGGTAAGGGTGTGTGTGTGAAATAGTAACCCTTGTGTTTTGGAAAGAGTAAGAAATTCTCTCAACACAGTCCCATGTTGCCCTAGGTCATCCCAATAGAGAGAAAGCTGATCTGCTACAAATGTGGCTGGCACCCAGGAATATAGGGTTTGGGGCTTCCAAGGCAGCTGATGACAAATGTCCAGGACCCTCACCTCATTCCTGACTCAGTTTCCACCTCCCCAGGCTCTCCGCACCAGCTCCAAGCTTTTAGGTTTTGCATCCTAACTCTTTTTTTGTTTTTATTTTGAGACAGAGTTTTGCTTGTCCCTCAGGCTGGAGTGCAGTGGTGCAATCTCAGCTCACTGCAACCTCTGCCTCCAGGGTTCAAGCAATTCTCCTACCTCAGCCTCCCGAGTAGCTGGGACTACAGGCACTCGCCACCATGCCCTGCTAAAATTTTTTTTTGGTTTTTGTGGAGACAAGGTCTCACCATGTTGGCCAGGCTGGTCTCAAACTCCTGACCTCAAGGGATCTGCCCTCCTCAGCCTCCCAAAATGCTGGGATTACAGGCATGAGCCACCACACCCAGCCATGCATCCTAATTCTAGCCCAGTTCAGACATAGTATGACAGCCCTGGTTTCTCCTGATGAGCTTTGGACCCTTGTAATACATGCTGTGGGTGCCCCACAGTGATCTTTCCCATGCACATGGACCCCATATGTCAATTGCCAGCAGCTGCAACTTGCTGCCCAAAGCAGGCTTTCTCAGGCTTCTTAAGCCCATTAAGCTGTTGCAAAGAGCAAGTTGTGCTGGAAAGTTAAGCCCCACTCCCCAGCAGCCATGACCACTGGTGGGTGGGAGTTGGGGTGGATAAATACCTCAACTTCCTCACCCTTTGCTGGGGGGGACAATGCTGAGGCATGCTCCACCCTGACTCTTAAAGGTGCCCAGTGGGACTGAACTCTCACTGTTCTCAGGGTAACCTACACATTAAAGCCTGCTGCATCACTGTCTTCCTTTCTGTAACTCACTTCCCCACTGTCATACTGGTGTTTCCCAGAATCACCTCCAAATCAACTCCTTGTCTCAGGGTCTGCCTCTGGCAGCCCTCTTTCTTATTTTATGCAGTAACACAGTATTCACTAACCATCACTATATGTCAGACACAGTATTCATCTCACATCAACTCTTTGAGGCAGGTGCAGTGATCACTCGCACCTGACAAATGAGAAAATGGAGCCCACAGAACCAGCAAGTGGCAGAGTTAGGATTTGAATTCGAATCTTTCTGGTTCCAAAAGTCTTTCCTATCCCATCACATGATGCTCACCTGATTCTTTTCACTCTGGGTCTCTCCCCTGCCTGACCAAGCCCTGGCTACCAGGACAGAAATGGACGTGGCTGACCAGTTACTATGACACCAATTATCACCAGAAGTAGGAAATTGTAGTTCAGGAACCAATTGTGCTGAGACAGCTGGCTCCAGCCCACAGAGGCAGGCAGCACTATTATTTTAAGAATCCTCCTGGCCACAGAATAGCAGCCTTTGTGACTGTGGAGGTTGGCACAGGAACGGTGATGCCCGCCCTATTAACAGGCTGTGTAGGAAGACCCAATGGAAAAACCCAGCTTGGAGGCTCTCTAGTCTGTTTTGCCATGGAAACTTCTACTACTTGTAAGGAATAGAGAACTGACAATTTGGAAGTCTGGAGTCCAGTTCCCATCCTTCCCTTTATTGTCTGCATGGGTTTCAGATTCCTGCTTCCCTACACCAAACCTCAGTTTCATGGATTATATGTACTGAGCCTGCAAGCATAGGCCATTGTGGTCCCATCAACTGTAACATTAAGAACTGAGTGAATTTTAAGTGTTGGGTGCTTCATTTGGATGTTTCTCAATAATATTTGGTCTGTGGTTGACACCCAGGTCTTGGCAGTTGTCCAAGACCCAACTTCATCTTTGGACAAGGTGAAAAAATCATGGCTATGTTTCATCCAGATCAAAAGAACCACGTGATTGGCCAGGAATATATTTCTATTATGTACTCAGATTCTAGAAAAGATGGGCATTTGTTCATTCCTGCATTCAAATAACCCTTTAGAGTACACCCTTGTTCCAGGCCCTGAGCTTGGCATATGAATGCAAAAGTAGACAACACAGGACCCTTGATTTCAAGTGTCAGGAAATCCCACTGGAAAGTGATTAATGGGGATGAGTGACATTGAAAAAGATTTGGGATTTCTCTGCCACCCCTGAGTGCTGGTCTCCATAAATTCTCCTCTAGTAAGGCAATAAACCACAGCAGCTCTTTAGAGAAAGATAGGCACCATCCAGACTAGGACAACTAGGGCAAGTGCATCCAGTATTACAGAGGGGAGATGGGAGTTCCAGGGGAGAATCAGGAAGGACTTCCTCGAAGAGGTGATGTTTAGAAGATTCACAGGACTCAGCAGTTGAAGATAGAGAGAATGCTGCCACCAGACCAAATGTGTGCAAAGTCCTCCAGGGAGGAAACAGGGAAACCTGTTCAGGACACAGGTTGTTTCGGTTGGATGCAGCCGAGGCTCCCTAAAGACAAAAGGAGATGGGGAAAAGGCTGGAAATGACCATTCAGATCGTATGAGGAAGGTTCTGAATTCAGATGGAGGCATAGTCAATTCTGGAGAGGAGATTTAGTAGACGAACTCTACCAGTCAGCATTCTGAGTTGCAAGCAACAGAAATCCATTCCCACTAACTTTAGCAAAGAGAGGAATTTATTAGAAGAATGTAGTAAAGCCTGAAGATTTGAAAGAAAAGCTGACTAAGTGGGCCTCAGAAGATACAAGTATCGGGACATGTAGAAGGAAATAGTGGTAGTGAGTAATGAGCAGTGTATTAGTTAGGTATTGCTGCAATAAAGCTGCCTAACAAATAGTCCCCAAATCTTAGTGGTTCACAACAACAAACATTTCATTTTTCTTTTTCATTGGCCTGGAGATTGGCTGGCATGACTCTACTTCAGGCCACAGCTGAGTTTAGGTCTGTAATACGTATCTCTTTGTTCTCCCTGGACCAGGGGCTACCTGGGACTTTTATTTTCATAACAGAGGGCAGAAGAGCAAGCCAAACCACAGAAGAATATTTAAGGCCTGTGTTCTGATCAGGCTCAGTAATATTCCCTTGGCCAGGGCATGTCCTGGAGAAAGAGAAGGAAAAATAAGGAGGTGGGAGTCCATGGTTGGGGGTGGGTGGTGTCTGTGTGGGAAGGGGGTGGGGTTTCAAGGGAAAATGCTGTAACTACTAAATAGGGGCAGTGTTGCCAGTGGGATTGCAGTATACTGAAGTCCAGCAAGCCAGCTAGAGTCCCTTCCTCTACTCAGAATCTTAGTGACTCCAGAACTCTAGTTACTCCAGGTTTTCCTTACATCTGATGATGGATGCAGAACATCCTGGAAGTGTTAATATTATCCCCCAGCTTCACAGCGTGGGAGCCCCTGGAGTCTTTGTTTTGTTTTGTTTGAGATGGGGTCTTGCTGTGTTACCCAGGCTGGATTTGAATTCCTGAGCTCAAGCAGTCCTCCCACCTCTATCTCTCGAGTAGCTGGGATTACAGGTATGCATCACCACGCCCAGTACATATTCCTGCTCAGACCCAGGTGATAAAACTGAACTCGAAGGGAGCAGCCTGCATCCCCAAATGCTTGCATGAAGCCTCAAGCCTTGTGGCCCCCCAGAACTGACCAGGGTCCCAAGAGATCAGATCATGCAGGGGTTGTGGGGTAGGGGAGTTAAAACCTCTTTTCTGGATCCAAGTCGAAAGCATTCCACTTGCCATTGCCCCTCCGGATGGGGAGCAAAGCTCCCAAAGTTTGATGCTGAAGCCATCAGCCCTCCCCAACTCTGTGTCTGGGCCTCCGAGAGCCTGGGGTTCCTCTGGGAGGACAGCTTGGCGACTGCATCCTGCTAGGCGCTGCACCTTTGGCTGCTCTCTAGTTCAAACATAAAACTTTTTATTCCAACTGGTGATTTTCCTCTCTTGGCCAGGGCCAAGTCTTCTGTTTCTATAAGCAGAGCCCTGGTTGCTAGGTGACAGCCTCACTTCAGGTTCCAGAGGCAGCTAAAGCAGAAATGAACCAAAGAGATCTGAAGCCTTCACTTTAAAGACAAAATATGAAACCAAAAGAGAAAATAAGACCCTAAATTAATTGGAGAGTTACATAACAACCAGACATTGTTCTGATGCCCTCCCTACCATGCCGCCAAGACCAGTAGGATATATTTAAATGTATTATTTTTCAAAATAGGAAAAAAGTAGGAAGTTAAACTGATAAATATAGTTGGCTTTTGACTGAGAAAGGAAACTTCTAATTACATAGCTTTTCTAAGCCCCACAGATCAGATCTATACCTTCATTAGGCTTTGAGTCTTTGTGGAACTTATTAAAACAATTAAATCTGCAGAGAACTGCAGCCATCAGCATTTCTCACAGCTGTGCTGGGGATTTAAGCTTTTCATTAAAATTGGATGGAGGCTTGCAAATCAATAAGAAATAGATGAACATTCCAAGTGAAAAACGAGTAAAGAATGTGAATAGGCAATTCACAATAGAACCACAAGTGGCCAATAAACAAATAAAAAAATTGCCAAACTCATTAGCAGCTGAGGGAGTACATTAAAACAATAACGAGAACACATTTTTAATCTACTAAATGGCAAGTATTTTTTTAAATGATAATATACAGATGGGTGAATATACTATGGGTGAACTGCCATTTTGCTGTACTTGGTTAGAATGCAGTTAGAGAAGACCTTTCTAGAAAGCAATCTGGGCGCATATTGAAAGTCTTAAACATATGCACACCTTTTGGCTGAGCAATACGGTGCCCTTATTTACAAAAATGTTCTCATAGCATTATTGATAGAAATTTGAAAAAAAAATCTATCCAACAATGGAATATTAGCTAAATAAAAAGAAATCACTTAAATACATGCATAAGTATTCTCAGATTGTGAAAGGGAAAAAAAGCAGGTTATAAAATTCCATATATGTCATGAGTTCATTTTGTAAGTGAAAAAGAAGGTGGTATACACCTGCATAGAATACTATCAGCTGGATGTTCTAAAACGTTCTCAGCCCATGGAAACTTTAGTATCTCAGCAATTCTTTACAAAGCCCCTAGACACCCCTCGACATCCTCGCCCCACCAAATAAAAACCCAACAGTTTTATTTGTTAAGTAGTTGGATCCAAACAACTTAATAGTAGTAGTTAATCTGTGACCGATAGCTATTACTATATTTCCATTAACTATTTGAAATACCCCATAAGTTTACTGCAGAGCCCTGGGGCTCCGCAGCAACTAGTTTGGAATGCAGCTGTAAACCAAAATGGTCCTAATGGTTAAGAAAGAGTGTCTGGAACTCAGGCTGCCTGTGTTGGAATGTGGGCTCTCGTTTGCTAATGAGTGGTCCTGTGCAAATTGCTTATCTTTCCCATGACTCCGTTTCCCCATCTAGCAAATGCAGCTAAGAGTACCTGCCTCTTAGGATTCTTGTGAGACCTGTGAAATGCTGGGTGCTCCACTCTCAGCAAGAAATATCAGCCACTGTTAACTCTTGCAGAAGACTGTAGGTGACTTTTATTTTTTTCCTTATGCTTTGTTGGGTGTTCCAAATATTACATAATAAACATGTGTTTCTTTTGTAATGAATATTTTTTAAATGTTTAAATTAAAGAAAGATAGCATTTTAGTTCACCCTGTCCCGAGCACTGTACCCAGCAGAGCCAAGGACAGAATAGGTCACACACCTTGGCAATCATTCAAGAAAGCCCCTCATATCCTGCCTCGGGAAGGCAGGGCTTCCTTTGGGCATCTTATTCTTTAGAAACACTGGACAGCTTAGCTGCCTATTCCCCAGCTACAGGCATCCCAGCCTTTGCCATGGCTCCCATTGCCACCTCTGCTGGGAGCACCCTTGACCCTCCTGTGCCTGGCCCGTTCTCATGCCCTCCAGCCAACTCAGTCCTCCAGCCCAGTCTTGATAGGCCTTGGAAGCTGTACTTGATGACTTCATCTTTACTATATTGAAATTTTCCATGTCTGTGTCCGCTTATTCTTCCCACCCCATGCTTCCTTGATGGGGAGCTATATGAGTTTCATCTGCCTGTACTTAATAAACATTTGTTGACTTGAACATTTGCTTCTTGGAGGGGCCCAAGTGTCATATCAGGGATTTATATTTGTTGTTGTTATAGTCCTTGGGGACAAGGTTGCCCTTGGCACACTCAATTTTGTCAGAAGGGTAGGGATCCTGGTAGGGGGTCAGTGGGCAGGCAGCTGTCTTCTAGGGTATGTGTGTGGGGTGCTTTATTGGGTCATCGAGGCAACCGGTGCTTCAGCCCTGGGCTTAGGGAAGCATTGACTATTTCTGAGAGTGAATGGCTAGCTAGAAGGAGCTGATCCCCATGGCACTGGTCTAAGGCCACCAGGCCATCATATCCACACAAGCCATCCACAACTGATTGCTGTCTATTCACTTGATCACTCGGCAAATGGTGATTAAGCACAAGCTATAAGCACAGCCCTGTACCAGAAACTAGAAACAAGATCAGAGGTGGGGTCTAGGTCTCATGGGGAGACAGACACAGACACCAGTGTGGGTTGTTCATAGGTTAATTATTTCCCAATCACTTCTTTGTGTTTTCTGTCTCTCCCACTGGAATGTTGTGTTTGCAGTTGCATACCCAGGGCCTTAAAGCAGGGCCTGGCACATAGTAGGTACTCGGCATGTTCGTCTAATGAAATGAGTAAACAGCATTTGAGTGTGAGGGCTGTGAGCCCCAGCCCAAGCCATGGCTGCTGGGATGGAAGTGTGAACAAAGCCTGCTGAAAACCAAGGCTGGAGATGGAGAAGAGACAGAGAAAGGAGGGGATCGTTTGGTGTGAGGAGGATTAAGACATTCCTGCCTGGAGGGTGACACTGGAGTCAAGATGTAAGGAGGAAGAGAGAAAGGGGAAGCAGGATCCCAGGCAGTGGGAACAGCTTGAGCAAATCAAGAGTGAGGGCTTCTGGGGAGGGAGACCCAGCGCAGCAGTGGCATAGCTTCTGCCTGGTGCCGCCACAACCTCCCCTCCTCAGGACGTGTGCCAGGGAAGAAAGGCAGCCTCAGGCCCACTCAGTGCTCACTGCTCTACTCCCCGTGTTCTGGCAATGGGCAGTGGCTTCCAAGGCTGGGGCCTCACAAGGTGGATTCTGAAAAGATCAGGTCAAAGTTTTGACAAATGGGAGACACACACGAGGGCCTGCAGTTCAGAAGCACTTCCTGGAGGTCCTGAGACAAGCCCCAGGGACAGGCCAACTGGTCTGGCATCCTTTCTTCCCATCAGCCTCCCAATGTGGACAAACATGGCCTTTTATCTAGTGGCCTGGGGAGAGAGAAGTCTCCTTCCCCTACCCTTCCACAATCCCCCACTCCCTAACCCCAGTGCCTGGAACAGAGCAGCCTCTCCAGAAGTAGGTACGTTTAATTCAATAGAGTAAAATCTTCCCAGTTGATATGAAATTGGAGGTAGAGGGCTTGGAGTGATAAGGTGGAACTTCTAAGTAGCTGTTTTACTTGTTTAAGTTTTAAACAAAAGTTGTCATTATTTCAATATAGAGTATATGTTTATTACAGAAAATTAGAAAAATGCCAATAAGTAAAAATTTAAAAAATGTAAACATCATGTTTCTACTACTTAACTGTTACTGTTGTAACTTTTGTCTAGAGCATACCCTTTGTGGTAGATTAAAATATTGGTACCAATTCTCCATTCCCCTGTAGTAGTAGTATATATCCACACCGTGTCGTGGCCTTGTGGTGGGTGGACTAAATCACCCTGCCCCTTGATTTTGCACCTAGCTACGTGACTTGCTTTGGCCAATGGGATGTTAGCAAACAGGGTACAATTAGAGGCTCGATGTGTTCTCACATGGTTGACCTTGCCGATTTGCACTCTAGCCTCTCACCAAGAAAAGGATGTGCCTCAGGTAGGAGTTGGTCCAAGGAGGATGAGATGCACATGGAGTAGATCTAGGTTCAACCTTCAGCCCAGTCAAGGCCAGCCTAGATAACTACAGAGAACCTACAGATGAGAGAGCGTGAAATAAACTCTTATTATTGCATGCCACTGAAATTTATTTTGTTACACAGCATTTTGTGGCAATTGGTGACTGATACACCCTTTAAGATATTTTTCTATACACATTTGTAAGCCAAAATAAAATCATACTATGCAGTTTTGTAAGCCACTTGGTTCCAATCTTATATTTAGATAAATTTTTATTAATACTCAAACCATATTCAAATTTCCCCAAATTACCATAAAATACCCTTTATAGCTGGTTTATCCAAACCAGTTTCAAATCAAGGACCTGACATTGCATCTGATTATGTCCTTAAATCTCTTTTAGTCTAGCACAATCCCCTTTTGTATGACACTGACATGTTGAAGATGAACATAGTTTGGCTAGAGTATGCTGCATGCTTCATAGCACAGCACTTTGGGGAGCCATAATGCCCAGATGACCCTTTTGTCTAGCTCTCACATACAAGACAAGGCAAGACCAAGGCTAAAACCTGACTGGTTATATCAGTAAAGTCACAGTAGGCCACTTTTAGACTTAGGCAGCTTATTACCTACTAAGACAGTGAAAGGAAGTATGCTAAAGGTACCAGTTACCCATGGTTCTTGTCTCACACGCCAAAAAGATGACACTGAGGCTGGGCGTGGTGGCTCATGCTTGTAATCCTAGCATTTTGGGAGGTCAAGGTGGGAGGTCCACTTGAAGCCAGGAGTTCGAGACCAGCCTGGCCAAGATAGCAAGACCCTCTCTCAAAAAAGAAAAAGAGGCAAGCACAGTGGCTCATGCCTGTAATCCCAGCACTTTGGGAGACCGAGGCGGGCAGATCACCTGAGGTCAGGAGTTTGAGACCAGCCTGGCTAACATGGTGAAACCCCGTCTCTACTAAAAATACAAAAAAATTAGCTGGGCGAGGTGGCGAGTGCCTGTAATCCCAGCTACTTGGGAGGCTGAAGCAGGAGAATCACTTGAACCCAGGAGGCAGAGGTTGCAGTGAGCCAAGATCGTGCCACTGCACTCCAGCCTGGGCGACAAGAGCAAGACTCCGCCTGAAAAAAAAAAAAAAAAAAGAAAAGAAAAAGGAAAAGAAAAGGTGACACTGAAACAAAAGGGGCCAGATAATTGCAATGCAGGTTGTAGGACACCCCATTGCTGAGGAGCCAAATGTAGACTGTAGCTAAGTAGAGTTATATTCTGCAGCAATGTTCTGAGGCAGGGAGCAACAGGGGTGGAGCAGAAAGCCCCATACCTCATCAGTGCCGGGGAGGCCATGAGAAGCTCTCCCATGACTGCCTCCCAGGGGAGATAGGGAGGTAGGTGGGAGATGGCCCCACAACCGCTCTTTTCTTGCCTCTTACCGTCTTGTGTTCTGGGAGGGTCACAAGGTGTTCTACCAAGACTCAGATTAGCTGTGGCTCAAGCCTTTGCCTGTGTGGGTCATGCCAGGTCACCGCATCACAGTGGAGCTGTTTTCCTATACCTTCCTGACTGAGCCTAAATTTCACTGTTGGGAAAGGGTGATGATGGTCTGAGTCCTTCACTAGAGATGATCCGTGTAATGTTCCTATGGCACCATACGAATGCTTAGTCCCATCAACCATTCATCTGATGATTGTAATAATAAATACTTCTTGCTTGAATCAACCATTTTCATAGTGCTGGTGAAATGATGCTTTTTCTGTCCGCCCTTCCTTCTACATCTGTTACCTCAATTCTTCTGTGACATAGAGCTTTCCTTCAGCAACTTGGGCTATCTGGTTCCTCTGAAACAAAGTTTCAACAGAGAATGTGGGATTGATGCTTGATTTTTACAACTGCATTTTCCAACATTTTATTATAAGGAAATTTCAAATACACAGCAAAGTTGAAAGAATAATACTGTGAACACTCCTATACCCACCAACTAGATTGAACAATTGTTAACACTGTCTATATTTGATTTATCTCTGTGTGTATATATTTTATTTTTGCTGAAAATAGATTGCAGCTATCACGATACTTCACCCCTAATTATTTCAGCATGCATCTCCTTAGAATAAGGATATTTTTCTACATAAACACAATGTCTTTGTGACTCCTAAGATAATTAACATTAATCCCTAATGTCACCCAACATTAGACCCAAATTTAAATTTCCCCAACTGTTCCCCAAAAATGTGTTTTATGGCTGTTTAAAATAAATAAGTGAAGTTTAACCAAGTTTCATGTATTACAATGGTTATGTCTATTTATTTTATCGTAGAATAATCTACTTTTTTTTCCCATGGAATTTATTTTCAAAGAGACCATGCCAGCTGTTTTATAGAATGTCTCACATTCTAGATTAATTTAATTGCTTCTTCACAGTTCACTTGACTTGTTCTTCTACCTCCCTGGGTTTCTTTTAGATTCAAATTTTGTCCAAAAGCTTGACTGGATCTCAGTTAAACAATTTTGGCATTCTGGGTAATGCTGTTTCCTTCATGTTGCATCTTTCAGGAGATATGTAGTGTTAGGTTTTCCCATGGTAAAGGATGCTAGGTTGAATCACTTAGTTGAGTTAGTGACTACCAGATTTCTCCATTATAAAGGCACATTTCCCCTTTGTAATCTATGGGGTGATACTTTGGCAGTGTAGATATGTATTCTCCATCAGCCTTTCATTATCTGCTATGGCCTGAATATTTATGTCCCCCCAAAATTCATAAATTGAAACCTAATTCCCAATGTAATGGTATTAGGAGGTGGGGCCTTTGGGAGATGATTAGGTCGTGAGGGTGGAGCCCTTGTGAATGGGATTAGTGCCCTTATAAAAGAGGCCCCAGAGAGCTGACTTGCCCCTTCCAACATGTGAGGACACAGCTAGAAGGTTCCATCTATGAAACAGAAAGCAAGCCGTCATGAGACCCCAAATCAGCTAGTGCCTTGATCTTGGGCTTCCCAGCCTCCAGAACTGAGAAAAATATAATACATTTCTGTTGTTTATAAGCACCCAGTCTATGGTACCTTGTTATAGCAGTTCAGTGAACTAAGATAACCTCCATGAATTGCCCGAATTGGTTATTACACTGGGGATTGTCAGATGGTGCCTTTCTAAATCTATTGTTTCTTCTGTTTATGAACTGGCATTTTTCTGTAAAGAAGAGCTTCCCCTAATTAACTGAGGATGAACTAATGTTCCTACACACAAATAAGCAGGATGGATGTCTTTTTTGTTTTTTAATTATAATTTTCAGAATAAGGACTTGGTATATTCGTTATCTTCAAGGGCAGCAATTAATATTTTTTCTTTTTTCCCCTCTCTTATGGTTCTCTGTTTATTCAGTGTTTTATAATAAATTGTAGTCATTGTCAAACTGTTTCAAATTTGGCCACTGGGAGGGCGTGCCAACTGGCTCTTGTGACATGTTCCTAATGTACACCTCACCAAGATCCTCATTAGTTAAAATTCTTTTAATTAAAAAAGGAATACAACAAAAGGGAACCCTAATAGAAACTATGGACCTTGGGTGATAATGGTGTGTCAGTATAGGTTCATCATTTGTAATAACTGCACCACTCTGGTGTGGGAGGTTGATAGTGGGAGAGGTCGTGTATTTGTGGGGCAAAGGGTATAGGAGAAATCTCTGTACCTTCTCAATTTTGCTGTGAACCTAAACCCTGCTCTAAAAAGATAAAGTCTATTATTTATTTTATTTATTTAGAGACAGTGTCTCACTCAGTTAACCAGGCTGGAGTGCAGTGGCGTGATCACAGCTCACTACAGCTTCAACCTCCTGGGCTCAATCCACCCTCCCAACTCAGGCTGACAAATAGCTGGAACAACAGGTGTGCACCACCACACCCAGCTAAAAAAAAAAAAATTTTTTTAAGAGATGGGGTTTCACCATGTTGCCCAGGCTAAGTCTATTTCTTTAAAAGAGGAATACCTTAATTTTTTTATTAGAAAACATTAAATAATAATTATATAGAATACAATATAGAAGTATAGAAGTCTTTCACCTCTCTTCTGTCCTTCCTACCCTCCCTTTCTCTCAGTCCCTTCTCAGAAGTAAACACTGGGAGCCATAGAAGACACCACTGTATCTTCACCCTTGGTTTGCTATGAAGATGTGACAAAGAATGAGGAAGACCTACATGTGTTCCTATGGAGTGACTACAATACATGTTGTCAGATGGAAAAAATCAAGCTGCAGAATAGTGTATATCGTATGTTACCATATGTAAAAGAAAGGTGGAGAAATAAGAACATATACACACATATGTTACATACACATATTCATTTGCTTAGTTTTACAAAAAGAAACACTGGAAAGATAAACTAGAAACTAATAAAAATTGTTGCTCATGGGAGGTGGAATGGGAAAAGTGAAGGAGGGGATACGAGTGGAAATGAGACTTCTCTGAATATGGCTTTTCACATAATTTTGACTTTGCATTCAAATTTTACATATTCACAAAATAAATTAAATCAAAAAGAAAGAAAAGACAAACTTGAAAATTGAAAACATATCAGGCTTGGCTAAAGGAACCTAATTGCGTACCAAATTAGTAACACAGATATGACGAGAAAAGAAAAAAATTCAGACATCTCTGATACAGTTCTCTGGTTCTAGTCCTCTGTGAAAAATATTCCAAGAGTAAAAAAAAAACTGCATATAAATATTTAAGGTTACTTTGTAATTGTATTAGTACTGGTAATAGTGGTTTTTAACTTTGGAAAATTTTTAAGTATATTGTAAGATTAAAGCAAAGAAGTAAATTCCTGAAACTATTCTATCTATGTATATTAGAGAATAAAGAAAATAAGTAAATATATTCTAATAGTATTAAGAATCAAAAGATTTTTAGAGTAAGAAAAAAGCGATTTATATACAAAATACAATAGATTTAATGAAAACCTGAAATGTTACATTTGAATTGGAGTAAATATAAACTCATAATTGTATATATTATATATAATACGTATATTTTTATTTTTTCTCTGTCAACTGAAAGGCCCTAGAAGCAATAACACCTCAGTATACCAAGTCCCCAAATCTTAGCTTCTAATAACAGTACTGACCGGGTGCCACTGGTGGCTCACGGCTATAATCCCAGCAATTTGGGAAGCCAAGGTGGGCAGATCACTTGAAGCCAGGAGTTTGAGACCAGCCTCGCCAACATGGCAAAACCCCATCTCTACTAAAAATACAAAAATTAGCTGAGCGTGGTGGTGGGCACCTGTAATCCCAGTTACTCAGGGAGCTGAGGCAGGAGAATTGCTTGAACCCAGGAGGTGGAGGTTGCAGTGAGCCGAGATCGTGCCATGCACTCCAGCCTGGGCAACAGAGCGAGACTCCATCTCAAAAAATAAAAATAAAACAGTATCCTTCCCCACTCAAATGAATGATGGCTCTTTTGGGAAATAGCTGATTCCAGGGAAATACAAGAGGAATCTCATAAGTCTGGTTGGTCCAGAAATGCTTAAAGATGAATGGGACAAAGTTTGTCTGAGACTGAGGGAATTTTCTGCACACGGGACTTCCAGTTTTAAAACTGGAACAAGTAGGTCACTCTATCAAATCCCCTGTGGATGGACATTTGGATTATTTCTAATTTTTGCTATTATAACTAATGTCACTATAAAAAACCTCCTGCACATGTTGCTTTGTATCCGTGGACGTGTATCTTAAAGGTGAATTTCTGGAAGTGGGATTGCTTAGGTTGGCTAAAGAGTAAATGAGTCTGTAGCTTTGTTAGATGTCGACAAGTTCTCCTCTGCAGGAAGTGTACTCTCTTGCCTGCCATTATTTGCCCCAGTGCAGGGACCTGATCCAGCAGGAACAGAATATCTCATGCCACACTTAGGAAGAAGGATGCAAATACCCCTGAGATTTACTTGTAGAGAGTATAAATGACTAATATCAGCCTCTTTCCTGAGTAATGATTTTGATGGTGGGAAAGGGGGCAGGGAGGAAAAGATGCATTGATATCCTTGTGGGAGGCCCTAAATCCAGACTTCTCCTGCTTACAGGTTTTCCCTGGACTAGACCTGTGCTTTCTGCCTGAATTTCTTACCCTCTGATAACTTAGGCAAATGAGATCGCAGATTCCAACCCTTTAACTCTATAACCCATTCTCTTTGGCATCCAGACCCCCTCTACTAATTAATACAAGGCATTCTCATTTCCCCAGGTCTTCCTTTTTGGGCCCTTTGCTTATTGGTGCTATTGGATTGGTACCTAGGCAGCACAAGAGGGCCTCCCTTCTCCATCCCAGCCTTCCCACCTGTACTGGGACATGGTGTTTCTTCTCTTAGGACTGTCAATAGATATTCAAGAGAGGACCCTGTGTCCATTTACAAAATAGCAAAATGCTTCCCTAGTCCTGCTGTTCCCAATTTTTTGTTTTCCTCCCAGCAAATATAACATTTACATATTGATAGTGAAGGAAATAACGTATACAGTGGTCCAAGACAAAGTGCCTTGAATCGGTTTAGGTTAGCAAACTACAGAAAAAAACAGGATACACTAGGCCCCTGCTTGGATAGTCAATGCCTGCTTGTCGCGCACCTCCCTGCACCACCCCCGACCCCGTTAGTTGCCCCCACCCAAACCAAAAAAGTTTAGTCTAAGATGAAAGTTTACTAGCCTGCAAGATAGCTCACTTTGTCTATTCTCATCAGCCTGCCCAGCTACTTAAGTCATAAGTCAAATACTTAAAGAGCCCCTGAGCTGACTAGGAATGCAACGCATTGTGGGCTGCAACAAAATGCAGCAAGACAACCCCAAAGAAAACACCTAAGCCCCAGCCCAGCAACTGATAGGTGACGTGTGGGAAGATTGTGACCCCATAGTAGTCAGCCTATGAGGAACTGGGGGAGGAACCTGTGCACTAGGGGGTAAATTGTTTGTTGTGACTGTGCTGGGTGTGCCTGCCCATCAGACACCTGATCTTGCAAGATGGTCCTTAAAAGTCTCACTTTCGCTGTTCTCCGGGTCTCTGAGTCCATTCTTTAAATTTGGACAAGTGAGTTTGTTTCTCACAATAGGCATTCCCAAATTTTATGAAACCTCAAATTATGCAAGTAAATGAAGCAATAGGCATGACAGCCTTTTTTGGCCCAATCCTCACAAAAGCATCTCATATACTTGTGTGAGATTCAAGGCCCAGCTATGGCCCTGTTAGGACAGGCTCTGTTTGTATGACACCCAGGTTCCTGGACATAACTTCCTTCCTCTCCCCATCAAGAAAGCATGATATTATCGAGAGTGAGCTAGACTTATCAGTATTTACAGGAAGCAATCTCCAAGCATAATGTTGAGTGAAAGACAAGTTGCAAAAGGAAATAGAGTGTGCTAATATCTCTTGAAGACTCACAAAACAATGCATTGTTAATGAAAGACTACTTATGAACAGAACTAACATTCAGGGGTCAATGCTGGGTAAGCTGAGTGGTATATGGTTGGTTATCACTCTGGTTGGTGCCATGCTCCATACATGCTCTTAAATATCTTCATATTTTGTCCCCCCAACCATAGTAGCAAACTATGAAAACAAGGATGAAAAAAATATACAGCATTAGAATGGTGAGTACTTCAAAAATGTCAGGAGGAGAGAAATGAGGCACAGGGAGAGAATTTAGCTTTACTTGCAACTGATTTTTGTTTCCATTCTCTTTTCTTTTTTTTAGTATTTGAAGAAATACAGGCATCATGGAGATATTGCAGGTGTCAGAACAAAATGAATTGTACAAATTTTTTGGTTTCCCAATGCATGTAAATGTTACATTTACACTATATTGTAATTTATTAAGT
Organism: Homo sapiens; assembly: GCF_000001405.40. Taxonomy (NCBI): domain Eukaryota; kingdom Metazoa; phylum Chordata; class Mammalia; order Primates; family Hominidae; genus Homo; species Homo sapiens. The sequence goes on along the minus strand of NC_000003.12, from coordinate 42,357,633 downwards.
ATACAATGACAGTATGTCTAAAAAATGTACATGGCTTAATTTAAAAATGCTTTATTGCTGAGAAAATGCTAATGATCATCTGACCCTTCAGCAAGTCATCTTTTTGCTAATGGAGGGTGTTGCCCTGATGTTGATGGCTGCTGACTGATCAGTTGGTGGTTGCCAAAAGTTGGGGTGGCTGTAGCAATTTCTTAATATAAGACAACAATGAAGTTTGCCTCATTGATTGACTCTTTCACGAAAGATTTCTCTGTAGCATACAATGTTGTTTGATAGCCCTCTAACCATAGCAGAACTTCTTTCAAAATTGGAGTCAATCCTCTCAAACCCTGCTGCTGATTTATCAACTAAGAATATGTAATATTCTAAATCCTTCGTTGTCATTTCAACAGTGTACACAGCATCTTCACCAGGAGTAGATTCCATCTCAAGAAACCACTTTCTTTGCTCATTCACAAGAAGCAACTCCTCATCCACTCAAGTTTGATCATGAGAATGCAGCAATTCAGTCTCATCTTCAGGCTCCACTTCTAAATCTAGTTCTCTTGCTATTTCCGCCACACCTGCAGTGACTTCCTCCACTGAATTCTTGAACTTCTATAAGTCATCCTTGACAGCTAAAATCAACTTCTTCCAAACTCCTGCTAATGTTGATATTTTGACCTCCTCCCTTAAATCGTGAATTTTTTTTTTTTTTTTTTGAGACGGAGTTTCAATCTTGTCACCCAGGCTGGAGTGCAATGGCATGATCTCGGCTCACCGCAACCTCTGCTTCCCGGGTTCAAGCAATTCTCCTGCTTCAGCCTCCTGAGTAGCTGGGATTACAGGCATGCACCGCCATGAACAGCTAATTTTGTATTTTTAGTAGAGATGGGGTTTCTCCATGTTAGTCAGTCTGATCTTAAATTCCCAACCTCAGGTGATCTGCCCGCCTTGGCCTCCAAAATTGCTGGGAGTACAGGCCTGAGCCACCGTGCCTGGCCAAATTGTGAAAGTTCTTAATGACATCTAGAATGGTGAATGTTTTCCAGAAGGTTTTCAATTTATTTTACCCAAATCCATCAGAGGAATTACTATTTATGGCAGCTATATCCTTATGAAATGTATTTCTGAAATAATAGAATTTGAAAGTCAAAATTACTCATTTCACTATTTCATGAGCTTCAGAATGGATGTTGTGTTAGCAGGTATGAAAAAAACATTAATCTCCTTGTAAATCTCCATCAGAGCTCTTGAGTGTCTAGGTGTATTGTCAATGAGCAGTAATATTTTGACAGGAATTCTTTTTTTCTGAGCAGTAGTTTCAATAGTTGGTTTAAAATATTCAGTAAACCATGCTGCAAACAGATGTGCTGTCAGGCTTTGTTGGTTCATTTATAGAGCACAGGCAGAGTAGATTTGGAATAATTCTGATGGCCCCTAGCATTTTCAGAATGGTCATGAGCATTGGCTTCAACTTAAAGACACCAGCTGCATTAGCTCTTAACAAGAGAGTCAACCTGTCTTTTGAAGTTTTGAAGACAGACATTGACTTCTCCTCTCCAGCTATGAATGTCCTAGATGGCATCTTCTTCCAATATAAGGCTGTTTGGTCTACACTGAAAATCTGTTCTTTAGTGTAGATGCCTTCATCAATGATCTTAGCTAGATCTTCTGGATCTCTTGCTGCAGCTTCTCCATCAGCACTTGCTGCTTCACCTTGCACTTTTATGTTATGAAGATGGCTTCTTTCCTCAAACTGTATGGACCAACCTCTGCTAACTTCAAAGTTTTCTTCTGCAGCTTCCTCACCTCTCTCAGCCTTCACAGAATCAAAGAGAGTTATGGCCTTGCTCTGGATCAGGTTTTGGCTTAAAGAAATATTGTGGCTGGTTTGATCTTCTACCCATACCACTAAAACTTTCCCCATATCAACAATAAAGCTATTTCCCTTTCTTATAATATGTGTTTACTGGAGTAACATTTATAATATTCTTCAATAATTTTTCCTTTGCTTTCACAGCTTGGTTAACCATTTGACATAAGGGGACTAGCTTTCAGCCTATTTCAGGATGAGGAGGAACATGCCTTCCTCACTAAGCTTAATCATTTCTAGCTTTTTATTTAAAGTGAGAGATGTGCAACTCTTCCTTTCATTTGAACACTTGCAAGCTATAGTAGGGTTATTAATTGGTCTCATTTCAATATTGTTGTGAATCAGGGAATAGGGAGGCCAGAGGAGAGAAAGATTGGAGAATGGCTGGTTGGTGGAGCAGTCAGAACACAGACAACATTTGTTAAGTTCACTGTCTTCTATGGGTGTGGTTCATGGTGCCCCTAAACAATTACAATAGTAACTTCAGAGATCACTGATCATAAATCATCATAACACATATAATAATAAAAAGTTTGAAATATTGTGAGAATTACCAAAATGTGACATAGAGACACAAAGTGAGCACATGCTGTTGGAAAAATGAGACCAATAGACTTTCTTGGCACAGAGTTGCTGGAAACCTTCAATTTGTGAAAAACACAGTATTTGAAAAGCAAAATAAAGCAAAGCTCAATAAAATGAGATATGCCTGTATTTCAAAATATTACTGCTTGTTAAATGTGCATGTAGATGTTTTATATGATTCTCTACACTTGTCCATATTTTAAAAATATTTCAGAATTAGAATATTTGTATGCATATATATTTTAGAGTGAGAAGAAAGTCAGAATGCAAAGGAGTGAGAATGACATTTTAGGAATGGACTTAAGACCTCTAATTTGTATAAAGGATGAAAAGGAGGAGGTGGGAGAGAAGGAGGAGGGAGAAAAGGAGGAGGAGGAGTGTGAGGAACAAGAGGAGGAAGGTAAGGAGGAAGAGGAGGAGGGTGAAGAAGAAGAAAGGAGGAGGAGGAAAAGGAGTAAATTCATTCCCAAACACCTGCACTCTAACTCCATTAGTTACAAATTCCCTTGACCATCCATAGTGGGCTGGTAACAGATGGGGCAGTTCAGCAACCACTGAAAAGAGTTAAGCTGACCTGTAAGTCCTGGATATGGAAAATGTCCAAGATGTATTCTATTAAACGAAAGAAGCAAGCACTGCATAACATTCATTGTGTGGTCGACTGTTCCCAGTGATTTCCTCGGGGAAGGGGTGGGGAGTAGGGAGGCAGTGGTGGAGGAGTTCCTACTTTTTTCTAGATAATTATTCATTTCTTAATGTTTTCTATTAAGAATAAGCTCATCTATTGCCTTTTTAATTGAATCCATTTTAAAGTGGTGAGGATAATGGGAGAAGTACAGGCAAAAGGCCTTAAAAGAAACAAGAAAGACCTCATAGAGGAGGCAAGCCACCCTGAGGCACAGGTAGAATCTGGGATGCACAAGTAGGGTGGGAGAAGGGACAGCAGACCAGAGACATGGAGCCAGAGAGTGGGGATGGCTTCTAGGAAGGGTGTGTGGACCTGGGATGTAGGCTGGGGCCAGATTACACTGGATTGCATTATCAGACTAGGAAGCTTGGTTTCCACCTATTCCTTCCCTCCCTCAAACAGACTCCTGTCTTGAGGAGCCAGGGCTGTCCAGGCAGAGCTGGGCCCACAGACTGCAATGAACTCAGCCCAAGGGCTGCTGGGAGATGGGCCAAGGTAAAGATCAACCCCAAATGCCATGTTCTGGAACATGGAGGTGGGTGGGAGGAGGAAGGTAGGCAGGGCCAGTGCATCCTTACCCAGCTATGATCAACTGCTGGGCACTTGGCTTGGAGCTGGGAATGAAAATACAATCTGCTAATTAAGCTAATTGTTTGAAAGGCATTTTTTTTTTTTGCATAGTCATCAAAAAGAGGCATAATGAGCATAAAAACAAAGGGATCTTTTATTTTTCATTCATGCCTTAATCATCATTTCAAGTACCCTAGCCTGGTCAGTATAATTATAGGCTCTTGGTACAGAACTAAAGCTAATTTCCCAAAGGACATTGAGTTCACATCTCTGTTCTGCCAGAAAGCTGGCCCTGTTCTCTCAGGAACTTCTGGAATTAGGAATGCTTCTTCTCTCTGTGCCCAGACTTGGATGCCTTTTGATCGCATGGAGATGGATATTTCAGATCACCAAGAGACAGAGACTCTAAGAAGGCTTCTTTCTCCCTACACGGAGAAATCATTTTGTGATAGAAAAACTCAGTGCTGTAGTGAGGGCCATGGGGAATAGGCAGCCAAAAATGACAACTGTCCCCCCAGTCGGTGTTGGTCTGAGGACTGCAGAGCAGGATGCAGGGTGGTCTCGCCATAAACCTGGACGCTGATGGGTGGTGATGGAGAATTAGGCAGAATGAACACTTCTGCTGTCACCAGACTCATTGATAAGACCATCCTGAGGCAGCTGAAAGTGTTCACCCATATCCCATCAGAGACCCTTGCTATTTCAGCGCATGGTGTCAGCCTGACTGCCATCAGCCATCTTTGTTGCCTGCAGGAGGGAAGGAGTGGGAAGAACCAGGGAATTACCATCTGGGCCAGTCCTTAAGCCATGACTGGCAGGTGTGAATTCCCCAGCTTTGTTACCTTTCACTGTTTCCCAGAGTTTCCTCTTAAGCTTAAGCACCAGTTCCATATTGCAGTAGCTGGTGTGACAGCACACACTTACTAGCTGCCTTCCCTTGCTCAAATATCTTTCTTCTTCACCTACCCATGTTCCTTCCACTTCCCAAATAAACTACTTGCACTCATATCCTTATCTGAGGGTCAGCTTCTGGGGGAGCTCAAACTAAGACCCATGTGTGAACCTTGCTGTGAGCAACTATGTCCATATTCCCTCACACTTTAGAACATTCATTTCCTCCTAGACCTTCTGAGTCCTTGTTCACCACCCAGCCTTCTGAACTTTGCTACAGGTTTTCCTGCTGTGTCCCGCATCCTGGGGATGTGCCCCAGGAGCCTCTATGGGCAGAGGACTAGGTGGTTCTGGGGACCCTTTGCCCTGTATTAGCCTGAATGGCTCTGCTTTAACCTGTTTACATATGAATTTAATTTGAAAAAAGAGTTCTATTACTGCCACTGAAGAGAAAAGGTGATTCCCAGATGAGAATCTGCTTTTAATGAGTTGAGCTCCTCAGGATCCTGAGTTTACAAGCCTGTGCCTTTCCACCATGTAGGCCCTCATGGAGGTGTCTGCTGACCTTGCCCCATGGCTGCCGCCCTGGCATCACAATAGCAGCCTGAGCAAAGGATGTGGTCCATGGCCACTTAGGCCCTCTGAAGAGAATCGAGGAAACGTTTCTCTCCCTTCCTGAATCTCCAGTCTATACTTCTGGTTCCACATCTTTCCTCATACATTCCTTCCAATCCAGGCAAATGGACTATTCACTTTTCCTATTTTGCAAGGACACTGTCCTTACTTGGCATGTGTGGTAGACGAAATAATGCCCCCCACCCAAGATATCCACTCCCTAGTCCCAGGAGCCTGTGAATGTGTTACTTCACATGGCAAAGGCGATTCTGCAGATGTGGTCAAATTAAGGATCTTGAAGTGGGGAGGGTGTCCTGGATTATGCAGCAGGGGTCCCAGTGTAATCACCAGATCCTTACATGAGAGACGGAGGTGACAGTGGTCAGTCAGTGTGATGCAATGTGAGAAACACTCGACCAGCTGTTGCTGGCTTTGAAGATGGAAGGGAGCCTTGAGCCAGGGAACGTGGGCTACCTCTAGAAGCTAGAAAAGGCAAGAACTCAATTCTAGAGCTTCCATAAGGGGACACAGCCTGTTGACACTTTGATTTAGCCCAGTGAGATCCATTTCAGACTTCCGACCCCCGGAACTGTGAGATAGTAAATCTGGGTTGCTTTAAGCCACTGAGTTTGCAATAATTTGTTACAGCAGCAATAGGAAACTCATACAGTATCTTATGCTGCTCCCTCTGTCTGGGACACCTACCTTTCCCCACTCTCATCTCCACAAGTCCTCCCCAACCTTTCAAGGTCCAGCTTCAGTTCCCCCTCTTATCACGGAACTTCACTTGTCCTGCCTCTCCCCCCGAGCTATTATCCACCCCTTGGGAATTGTCCAACACATCCCCAGCTCCACAGCCCAGGCCCAGGACTGTCCTTCTGCCCTTAAAACACTGTGGTCAATGGCACCAGTTTTTCCCTTCAGCACAACTGGTGCAGACATTTTCAAGAATTCTACTAAAAATCAAAGGGGAAAAGGAATGATCTTCCAAACCACAAACATGAGAAAAATGTGTTATGCTCTCAAGTACAATTTTTTAATTCAAAAAATCCAAGTAGCAGTAGAATGCTGCCAATAGCAACCCTGAGGCACTGTCCTGGCTTCCTGCCCTCCTCCTCCCTGCTGGCTCTCTCCCGGATGATGTCTTGCCCACCGTGGAGCCATCTGATCCCCTCTGGGGCCTCCCACATTTATAGGTTCACACCTTCTGGAGCTCATTTGCTCACTCAGTTCTAGTACGAGGGCCTCAACCAGTCTGCAGCCTTTGGAAGGGCTCTCCTGATGGTCACAGTGGCAGGAGTGCCATATAATTCATGGTCCAAACTAAAACACTTTAGAGAGTAAAAGGAGGTATTAATTGTGCTTGAGTCAGGCGTGGTGGCTCACACCTGTAATCCCAGCATTTTGGGAGGCCGAGGCAGGTGGATCACTTGAGGCCAGGAGTTCAAGACCAGCCTGGCCAATATGGTGAAACCCTGTCTCTACTTAAAGGATACAAAAATTGGCTGGGCATGGTGGCACGCGCCTGTAGTTCCAGCTACTCGGGAGGCTGAGGCAGGAGAATCGCTTGAACTCGGGAGGCAGAGGTTGCAGTGAGCCAAGATTGCAACACTGCACTCCAGCCTGGGTGACAGAGCGAGACCCCATCTCAAAAAAAATAAAAAATAAAAAATACATTGTGCTTGAAGAATGAGTGTAAACCCGACTGTCCTGGGCAAACCACCCACCTCAGCAGTGAGGGGTCTGACTCTTGCTGGCTTGGGTTGTTTGAGGACCCACTTGGGAGCAGCCAGCGCTGCTCTCCTCAGTTCATTTACTAACGCTGATAAAGGGAACAACGTGCTAACCTCATGCTAACCACCCAGACATAAAAGATACAGTCAGACACTAGCAGAAGGCCAAATCAGCGGAGGGTTAAGAAGCGTTCTATGGAAAATTGTGCTCTGTGCTCAGATAAGTCTGGAAAAGCTGTTTTGCATAAGAGTATTTAAGTTTTGGTCTTTAAGTGCAGGACTTCTCAGGACCTTTAATATCCTAATGTGGGTTATGAAGCTCCAAGAAGAAAATACAGTATGCCGTATTTCAGATTTATTTTCCTGTGGCATATGGCCCCCTCAGAATACATTTGGTTGCTTTCCAGGAATCACATATGGTTCCTTCAGGGATTGTTTGAGGCAGATCTGAAATATCAAAGTGGCTAGTATTCTCTGATTTAGGAAATCCAAGTTCCCTTTCACTAAGGAAGCCTCCAGAGATAGATGGCTTATCCCTGAAGAGTCCTTGGAATCCATAAGCCATGTTTCTCTGGATGTGGTAGGAAAGGCTCTGGGGAAGGGAGGGGGTGTTGACAGGCACATATTGAGTGACTGCTTGTATCAGGTAAAATCTGGCCGGGGCTCCTTGTCTCCTGAGTGATGGTTGTTTTAGCAGTTGCGTTATCTTTTGCTAAAAAACCCAGGGGATTCTAGAGTGTCAAGCGATAACAGGGTGGGGCTTCTATCTTCAGCCTTACCCTTGGACCTGAGGCCTGAAGATAAGCCTGCTTCTTATCACAGATTTATTTTTACTATCTTCCAAGCCTGGGACAACAGCTGTTTATAGGGGATGGTTGAGTTGAGTGTTGATTCTGCTGTGGAGGAGGCAAAGTCCCTGCAGTCTGCACATTCGACAGTCTTCATCCATAAGGCATGAGGCCGGAGACCCGTAAAAAGAGTACATTCCTGCGATGGCCCACAGTTGATTATCCACACAGGAAAAATGAAGAACATTTCTTCCTCCAAGAGTCAGTATTTATCATCTCCCTGTTTCTGTCATCATCCTGGGCTTTTATTCCTAGACAATTTTGTACCATTGAGTGCTTTATGATTAGAAATAAATCAGTCCAAGTGTGGTGGCTCATGTCTGTAATCTCAGCACTTTGGGAGCCCAAGGTGGTAGGGATGCTTGAGCCCAAGGGTTCTAGACCAGCCTGGGCAACATAATGAGATCCTGACACTACAAAAAATTAAAAAAATTAGCTGGCCTGGTGGCACATGTTTCTGACCCTGGCTTCTTGGGAGTCTGAGGTGGGAGGATTGCCTGAGCCTGGGAGATTAAGGCTGCAGTGAGCTGTGACTGCACCACTGCACTCCAGCCTGAAAAACAGAGTGACAGCCTGTCTCAAAAAACAAAGAGAGAAAGAGAAAGAAAGAAAGAAAGAAAGAAAGAAAGAAAGAAAGAAAGAAAGAAAGAAAGAAAAGAAAAGAAAAGAAAAGAAAAGAAAAGAAAAGAAAAGAAAAGAAAAGAAAAGAAAAAAGAAAAGAAAAAGAAATAGATCAAAGCTCATCATATCAACCAGGAACAGTGCACACCCAAGGATTCTGAGGACGAACACGCTGTGTGGTGGGGAGACCACTGATGAGGAAGTCGGAAGACCCAGGCCTGTCTCCAGTGTTTTGCCCCTTACCAGCTCTGGGCTTCAGGGTTTTCGTGTTTGTTTGTTTTTAATCCATAAAATAAGATTTTGAATGAGATTATAATAACCAAGTGTCCGGTATATCATTTGTATCAAATGTAGCAGCATCAAAGTTTACTAACCAAGAATAAGAAATGCATTAATTTTGTGTGTGTACACGCACACACACACACACACAAACACACACACACATTTGACCACATCGTGCTTTAGAGTTATTTCCTTCTAAAAGCAAAAAACATTTACATTTACCAATTAAAGGTAATTCTGCCTCTTCTAATTCGACTGTCTCTTTTGTGTAAATATTCAGTTAATTCTAAGTTCAGCTTGCTGTCTGAAATGATGATACTCATCTCCCAAGGAATCTCCTTACCCCTCTTCCTTTCCAAGGCACCTCTCGAGGCAGGGGAAGACACATGGATTCTCCTGGAGTGGTGGGTAGGTAGGTCTGGGCTCCATGTGCTGTCCTCCAGGGCCCTGCCAACCTCCTCTGGGTGGCTCCCCACTCCCACCTTGGCTGCTGGTTTCCCTGCACTGGTGTCCACTAAGCTTTGGTGGCTCCTACCTTGTCTTGGGTACAGAGCAAGTTTCATGCTGATGGCCATGATCCCTGCCATTGCCCCTGGTCAGGGTGTCTCTCACTATAAGCCTTTTTGTTCCAACTCTAGGGCTGTTGATACTTGCATGTACTCTCTGGTGGCACCTGTGGCTCAAGGCTGCCAGGAGCACCATGCCCATCTCACCACCTGGCACCTCCGTCCACCAATGCTGCTCTAAAGCTGGCACACCATGTTGGGTCTGAGATCTGAGGCTCCTGTCATCTTTTCTCCCTGCCACTCTGAGTCAAGGCTTGGGGGTGGGGCATTCTAGATCTCTTCTTAGAGCCTCAGGTAGTATCTAAACTTCCATCCTGTCACCTCCCCATTTCCTGTTGTCAGTGTCCTGTCCCCAGCTCTGCAATCATCTCCTGGTACTCTACATTACGCTTAGAGTAAAATTCTCTGTGCATGGACCTCCAAGCTTTGTATTGATATACTGAGGCATTTAGTCCAAAGGGTACAGATATTCCAGGTCCATGATACTTTTATTAAACAGAAATAAATTCCATAACAGTGAGAAGATGGGAAAGAGGAGATAGATACACAGATACAACCACTCTTAGACTCAGTCAGGATGACATAGAAAGAAAGATCTGAAGATGGAACAGAATATAATGCACAGAGCTGTAGAGGCCATTGTCCCCTCAGCTTTGAATCCAACTTAACTTTGGAACAAGACTTCCAGAATTTTCTTTGCTACATAAACCCTGCTGTGGGTAACAGGTGCCCAACTCTGCACACAGGTGTGCTGGGCCCTAAGAAATGTCTCTACTGAGTCCACTCCTCACCAAGGCCGAGCAGGGCTAGAAGCCTGATGTCCCTGATGTCCCGGGGCTCAGAGTCACAGGTTGCTCTGTAATACAAGACTGATTTTGCAGCTGGGTTGGCGATTCTAATTTCCACCACTTCTTGCTGGAAAATGTCTTAGACATTCAAAGCAAAATGTAGAGTAAGTGAACTCATTAAAACCACAAATCATTTGACCTAGGGATAAAAAGTTACACAAAATCTAGTTAGTTTCTAAAAAAGCTACGTGGAATTTATTCAAGCTATTAGATTTAGCAAATGTAAGACCACAAATATAAATGTTTAAGCTGGAAGAAATCTAAGCTCAGAGGTTTCTATTCTACAAACCAAGTTTATTTCAAAAAAGAAAAAAGCTCTCCTTCCTTCTCACAGGTTCTTTTTTCACTCCAAATAAGCCTAGGTTGGCACAGGAAGCCAGAGTCACGGGGCTGGCTGTCGAAATGCCACGGATTTGGCCATGCAGTGACTATTTAACAATCCCACCTTCTTATCAAGCCAAATGCCATCATCTTATTAAAATTTGCTGCTTTAATTTGTGCAGTAGCAACAGAAAAAAATAAATACAAACTAAAATGTACTTCTGAACAGATTTAAAGTTGCATTTTAAGTTTTGTCAGATGCTCTATTGACTCTGTCTCCTGAACACCTCTTGGGTCTATTCACCCTTTCTAATCTGATGACCATTACTGATTAAAACCCTTGTCGGCCAGGCACGGTGGCTCATGCCTGTAATCCCAGCACTTTGGGAAGCCAAGGCGGGCAGATCACGAGGTCAGGAGATCGAGACCATCCTGGCTAACACAGTGAAACCCCATCTCTACTAAAAATACAAAAAATTAGCTGGGCGTGGTGGCGGGTGCCTGTAGTCCCAGCTACACGGGAGGCTGAGGGAGGAGAATGGCGTGAACCCAGGAGGCGGAGCTTGCAGTGAGCCAAGATTGCGCCACTGCACTCCAGCCTGGGCGACAGAGCGAGACTCCATCTCAAAAAAAAAAAAAAGAAAAATTAAACCCTTGTCACCTCTTTCTTGGATCCTGACAACAGACTCACACCCTGGCTAGTTCTGAGTGAATGAATTTAAGGTATTTTCTTGAGTGATAAGAGAATTATCTCAGAAAGGCAGGCAGCGGCCAAGCAGTAAAGGGCTTTTGGCCAGCCTGAGAACTGGATCTTTAACCATGCTCTTTCCACTGCCTTTGCAGAATGGTATAAGGTCCTTATCCAAGCAGATGGGCACCATGGCACTGTTCCAGATGTCACAGACAAAGGGAGGATCAGGGAGAAGGTCTAGATTCTTGGTTTCAGAAAGTCTCAAACTAGGGTTCCTAGTTTGAGAAGGCCATATAGGGTAGCTTCCAAAAGTTGCCATGGCATCTGTAAACTGTCATGACACTGGTGGGAGTTTCTCTTAGCATGCTAATGCATTATAATTAATATGTAATGAATGAGCAGTGAAGACAGCTAGAGGTTGCTTTTGTCACCATCTTGATTCTGGCTGGTTTCAACCAGCTTCTTTACCACATCCTGTTTTATCAGCGGGGGCTTTGCAACCTGTGTCTTAAGAAACAAGTCTTAACAGCATGAGAAGCATGGGCTGACGCCAAAGCGGCAGAGAGTTTAGGGACACGCAGGTCCCTGGAGCTCACACAGGTCCCAATACCACGAGAAACTAAACCAAAAATTCCCTAGTGCTCAGGTTTCCACTCTTACCTTTAGTAGGATCAGGGACCAGGCAGGAGGAACCCCTGATGGGGGATGCTGTTCATTGTTCTTTCTCAAAGGAGCTGGAGAAAGTAGAACCGTATGAGTATTCTTGTTATCTCTGCTATTTTTCTTGTGCAATTTCTGCTGTATCACATAACTCCCTATGAGTTTGCAAATTAATTCAACCTTTTTTCACAATGGTGACTACTTCCTATTTGTAATTCTCAAGCTCTTACCTGCAAAGCTTTGAACATTCTTATTAAAGCTTGTTTAAGATGTCTTCCTTTGATAAAGTGGCAATTATCAGGTGTATGGGTTGTGCCTCAGAATCATTTATCATCTTATAATCAATGGGATTGATTTAGCTTCTGAACACTATGCATCTGGATGCTTTCCAAGCAACAGTAGCATCACTGTTGATCGAGTCATTGTTATTGCAATGGATAATAGATGAACCTTTGGCAGTAATGGGATTCAAGAACACCGTGATCCTCTAGAGGTCTTCCTTTCAGTCTTAGAATCGTTAATGGGAAATAGTCCAGATTCTAATTTTGCTGTTTTCTTATCTCTGCTCTTGGAACCCAAGAACATCTTTGTCAATGTTGCTTAACTGCCTGGTTGTACTTTTTGAAAAGTACGTATCTTGAATCAAGAGAACTATATGCATTTGCTGCAGTCTCCCCATATAAATCTCTAGAAAATTAAGAAAATGTATCTTTTTAAAATTCATAACTATGTTGGAAAGCAGGAGAGAGTGCCTTTAGTGGAAATTACAAGAGATGCCTAAAAATCTGAAGGCAAATCGGATCAGATTGAATGGGGAAGCCAAATCCCAAAACAGGCAAAGGAAGAACTCTTAAAAAAAGAGAGGTATTCTAGGGGGAGCTCCAAGTTTGAAGAGGCAGGTATAGATATCTGAAGTGGCTCTGGTTGGAATATGGAAGGAGAAACAGCCCTTATTTTTTTTTTTTTTTGAGACGGAGTCTTGCTCTGTCGCCCAGGCTGGAGTGCAGTGGCACGATCTTGGCTCACTGCAACTTCCACCTCCCGGGTTCAAGTGATTCTCCTGCCTCAGCCTCCCGAGTAGCTGGGACTACAGGTGCCTGCCACCACGCCTGGCTAATTTTTTATTATTTTTTTTTCATTTTTAGTAGAGACAGGGTTTCACCATATTGGCCAGGCTGATCTTCTACTCCTTACCTTGTGATCCACTTGCCTCGGCCTCCCAAAATGCTGGGATTACAGGCATGAGCCAGCCCCTCTTCTTATGCAAAGCAAAGGTGACAAAGGTGTCATCATTCAGGTGTGAGCAGTAAGTGTAGATATTTAGGTCAAGAGACGTCAGTACCCTTCATGGTTGATGATCCAAAAAGAGACCAGTAGCCCGTACTTCCAGAAATCCAGACACTCCTCGCGCAGCTGCACACCACCCCTTGCCTGCATCTTTGGTAATAGGCTGTGGGGAACAATACCACGTGGACAGAAAGGCTTTCAGGAAAACAAATGCAAAAAGGAACACAACACCAAAATGTACAAGAACAGAGAAAATCAAGATTATAAGAGAGGCACTAATGAAACAGATGAATGCACACCTGAGGAAGCATGGTTAATCCAGCAAATAAAACTTCAGTTGGTTAAGACAGAATTTCATATCAAGCAAGAAGAAGTTACTAAGAAAAAAGAGTTAATTACAAAAACTAAAAAAAGAAGCCAGGTATGGTGGCTCACTCCTGTAATCCCAGCACTTTGGGAGGTCAAAGTGGGTGGATCACTTAAGGTCAGGAGTTCGAGATCAGCCTGGCCAACATGGTGAAACCCCATCTCTACTAAAAATACAAAACTTAGCTGGATGTGGTGGTGCACGCCTGTAGTCCCAGCTACTCAGGAGACTGAGACACAAGAATCGCTTGAACCCAGGAGATGGAGGCTGCAGTGAGCTGAGATCGCGCCACTGCACTCTAGCCTGGGCAACAGAGCGAGACTCTGTCTGGAAAAAAAAAAAAGTTTGAATTTGAGTTTTTCTTATAATAAATGAGATTGAATATGTTTTCATATGTTTAAAGGATATTTGAACTTTCTTTTCCATGAACTGTGTGTTCATGTCTTTTGCCCATTTTTCTATAGTTTTATTTTTGTACCTTTTCTTCTTAATTGTAAGAATATTTACATATTATGGAGATTGGCCCTTTGTATCTGATACAAGTTGTAAATACTTTTTTTCCCAGTTGTTATTTGTCATTTGTCTTTGTCTTGGCATTTGTTTTGTTTTGTCATGCAAAAATGTTTAAAAGTTCTTTTATTTAATTAAATTTATCAATCTTTTTAAAAATTTGCATCTGAATTTTAAGTTATAGTTAAAAAGGCACTATCCACTTCAGGTTTTATAGGAATTGATTCATATTTTCTTCTAGTATTTATAATTTTTTTTGTTTGTTTTTTGAGACGGAGTCTTGCTCTGTCACCCAGGCTGGAGTGCAGTGGCATGATCTCAGCTCACCGCAACTTCTGCCTCTCAGGTTCAGGTGATTCTCCTGCCTCAGCCTCCTGAGCAGCTGGGATTACAGGCGCACGCCACCATGCCTGGCTAATGTTTGTATTTTTAGTAGACCCGGGGTTTCACCATGTTGGCCAGGCTGGTCTGGAACTCCTGATGTCAAGTGATCTGCCCACCTGGGCCTCCCAAGCTGCTGGGATTATAGGCGTGAGCCACCATGCCCAGCCTCAAAACCAATTCTTAAACATCCCATTTCCTCAGTGATTTGAGACACCTTTAATAGGTACTGAATTGGCACACACATTGGGTTTACTACAGTTCTTTTTATTTTGTTTTATTGATCTGCCTGTTTTTAAGTATGTCAGTTTAATTATTGAGGACTTCTAGTATGTTTTAATATTTGGCAGGGCTGGACACAATATTTCCCAGTATTTTTTAAATTTTTGTTTCAGAATTCTCCTGGCCAATTTTGCCTTTTTATTTCTTCATGAGAACTTCATATTCATCTCATCATGTTATTGCGGGGCACAGGGTGGAGATGGGGATTTTTGGTACCTTTATAGGGATCACATTAAATCTTTTAAATAATTTGAGGAGCATTAAAATCTTTATGATTCTGACTTCCTATCTAAGCATACTTTATATTTTCCATTGGTTCAGGTCTACTTTTTGGACTTTCAGGGATTGTTGTAGAGTTTTACACGTAAACATTTACACACTTCTTATTTAATTTATTCAGATATTTTATCTTTCTGATGCTAAAGAGTGGTGGCAATAGTTACTTCCTCACATTGTTCATTTCTCTAGCAGAAATGTCTTCAGTATTTCCAAATTAAATAGGAAGCTTGCCTTTGGGTTGAGACATAGCTATTTTATCAGAACTTGACCCTGATTTTTTCCTCCCCCAGGAGGTGGTGAGTGTTATTTTGTCTTGTCTGGATGTAGGTTTGCTTTGCTCTTGAATGTTCCAGAGTGGAGAGAGACTAGGAGAAAGCACAGGAGGTCTATTTGGTGTAATCTGCTCCTTCCTTTTCATCTTCACCATCAACAGAGACAGCAGCACACTTGCTTGCAGAACTGAACTTGGAGGCTGGATTTTCCTCAGGTTTCTTTGACTCAGGTGCAGATCTGCAGACTTGATCTTTTTTGCCATCTTTCCTGTCTGACTCCCTCCAGCAGTCTTTGTTCCCTCCATCTCCTGGACCACGGCCCGAGTTCCCACTTTGGACTTTTGGACATTCATCCCGTCTACTTTATTTTCATCTTTCTTTGCTGGTCTTTCCTCTGAGGGTTGAACTGGAGGTACTTTTCCCTCACTACCTGTAGGGGGTTGCTGCTCTGTTTCTGAGCTCTGAGATGGAATAAGAGGATTAGAACTTCTCTTCACCTAAGCAGTCTCCTTTGGTGGAGGGGCTCGAATCACCTTTAGGAGTTGATCAGGTTTGGAAGGCTTAGAAATTGGAGACTGGCAGTGTTTCTCTTTATTGAGTGTTTCATTTTCTAGAGACTTCTCACTCTCTCTTCTTCATGTGTCCTGGTCTGACTTGCTTCTGCCTGATGTGGCTGGGGTCGCAGTCTGCACTGGCTCACTTCCCGTCCTCCACCATTCCCGTTCCTGAGTTTCTTCACTTTGCCAGCTTGGATGTCTCTCCAGAGGCCATTGTTCTAGATTTGGCTCATCCAGCTGTCAATATGGTTTCTCTTGTTTCTTCTGTAGCTGTTCTTCTGCTTCTCTTTTTCTAGCAACTGTGTCAATGGACTTTCCCCCTCCAAAGATAGAAGCCACTCAACTGAGCTGAGGGGGTGCTAGAAGAGGGATCATCTTCCTTATGAATGCTCTGAGGCTCTGATCTTTGGGAGGGACCCCTATCATCATGCCTATAATCACCCTAAGAGTAATCATCTCTGGAGTTCCATGACCAATTGTCCTGTCTGTCTTATTGGCCTTCATCCACCTCCTCAGTAGTCATCATCTCTGAGGTACCCACTACCAAATGCTCTTCTGCAACTGCCTGTTGCAGAATCATAGCCTCTATCATAGTCTCTGCTGCCTCAGTCATCATCTTAATCCCGGCCCCCACATTGACCCATATCCTGGTGTGAGCCATCTCTAAACCTGTCCTGACACCCATCATGATACTGGTCTGAATTGCATGATCTTGATACTTGTCTCCAAAGCTATCAACACCTCTTCTAGGCAGGTAGTCATCAAAGCTGTCTGTGGCAGGATGGACCTCCAGTATATCTGTTTTGTCAGTATCCTAATTTCTATCCTGGCCAAGAGGACAGTCATCCCTGTCTTTATCCTGTGCTTGGTCAGCAATGTCCACTCTAATTATCCTGTTACCTACAGACTCTTCATTGAGACCCAGGGTACTGAACAGGGCATCCAGGTCCTCAAACTCAGGATAACTAAAACTTTCAACCTCTCTGGATGCCGGGTTCATGTGGTCAGTGTGCTGTATCAATATTTAATCCTCTAAATAATTCCTTAATTGAGTCTTCTATCACATCATAGAGCAAGTTCCCTAGAAGAGCATTGTAGGATGGTGATTTGGGAAGATGGCTCCAATCAATATGGGGTTCTCCAGCATCCTGTGGAGCAGTGAAAAGAATGGAATGACCAATTGGAGATGTCCTATACACATCTCATCATTAGTGTGCCAAGTGGTTGAAGCATTTCCTTCTGGCTCATCTGTTTCATCAGCCCAGTCTGGGGATATAGGTGCTTCCTCCTCCAGTCTGCCCTTCCTCAGTCAGAAAGTCTATTAGGGAAATTGTCTTTTTCTTCTCCTTCTCCTTCTCCTTCTCCTTCTCCTTCTTCTTCTTCTTCTTCTCCTCCTCCCCCTCTCCCTGCTCCTCCTCCCCCCTCCTCCCCCTTCCCCTCCTCCCCCTCCTCCTCCTCCTCCCCCTCCTCCTACTCCCCCTCCCCCCCTCCTCCTTCTCCTCCTTCTCCTTCTTCTTCTCCTTCTCCTTCTCCTTTTCTGAGGCCACCATGTTGGGAGACGGAAAGAACACCAAGGCTTGATTTTACTTTTAAGGGTTACTTTTAGCAAGGTGGAGATGTAGGAAAATTATATCCCAGGATTGTGTAAAAGAAAGGCACAATTAGAGAATCATAAGACCTTTAATGTGGCTAGACAGTGGATTGCCTGTTAAGGGAGAGACAGGAAACATAGATGGAGATCATTCAGGGGCATCTTACAAAGACCCCACAGGCTATGCCGTTCAACTTGGACTTTCTTTCATTGGTAATAGAAAATCATTGAAAGGTTTTAAGCAAGAGTATGGCATTATTAGATTTATATTTTAGTAAGATTCTGGGGGCAATGGCTGATAAATTCCACTGGCAAAGCATTTCAAACATGTCTGCAAATCAGACCAGATATCATCCAACCAAATAAACCGAGAGGAAGAACAAGAACAATCACAGCCGTATCACTTTTATTTTTCTTAAAAAATGACTTAAAAATTATAGAGTAGGTAGACTAACAGTGAAGACCATATATTTACGTCTCCAAAACCTGGGAGTTCTGCAAGAGATACTGAGCTCCAGATGATTATGCTGGGTCTTTCTCCAACCTCAGCATAAGCCAGGAGTGGGCAAAGCAGGTCTGGGAGAGCTCTGCCTGAAAGTGGACGCCAAGCTCCATGCTAGGGGCCTGGGCACCCTTAAAGCAAGCCACAGAATCACTTTCAGTCAGTGAGGATATGCCTGTCTTCTCTCCTTTTCTGTTTTTCTGAGTGGAGTATTGAAAATAATCAGGCACAAAGCATAGCATAGTGGACAAAGAAAATAATGTTTATGTTCATGAAAAATTCAACCCTAATTATACCTCTGGGAGCCAGTGGGAGTAATGAAATAGTGTGCCTGGGGTGTTCATTTTGTTAATAGATGCCAGTCACAGGGTACTTATTTTCTGTGCCATTTATAAAGCCTTTGACGGACAGTGCTGCTTGCGTCAGTTCATACAATTATAAGATATAAAGGATATTATGGTAATTCTTTGGAATGATGTTCATTTAGTATCTGGTCATGAGAATGCGGTTCCTCCTGTTAGTGCCATATTCCAGCAAATGCAATAGGCAGCTTAGCAGGGGCTCTGAAAAGTGTACATATTAACTTTGGCTCAGACACCAGGGATACATTTTGCTGCCATTTAAGATTAATTATTTGTAATATGTTTGTTAAGAAAATTGTTTTAAAATTTTATTTCTGTCTCTCAATTTAGGAGTGATAGCTCCTAGATTTCAATCACATAGACTGAATGACATATACAAGGGTTTTTGAAGTATCTGAGATGGACAAAGCTCAAAGTATGTTTTCCAATGGCAAAGGCAGAACTAGATCCACTTTTTTCCAACACAACAGCCAGGTTTCCAAGAGCAAATGAGCAGTGAGGTGAGGTGAACATAGAAAAGTGAAAAGATAAAACTAGCTAGTTGTTTTGTTAGAGGGACAGAGGATATATATATAAGCAAGGTTCTTTGGCCTGAAACCAAATTCAGCAACTCAACCATATTGACTTTTGCCCATATTTATTTAGGTTGAGCCCTATAAAATTCCTGATATTATACTGGTTTTGACCAACAACGTCAATTATTGCATATGCTTCAACCTAATGCTTCAGAAAGAAAGTCATGGCCACCTAGAACTTGGCATAACCTGCAACTGCCTTAACTCCAAAGCCTTAAACGTCATGGCTGCAGCCTCCTGTCCTCTAAACCTCTCATTTCCTCACCTCTATCACAAATCCATGTAAAGTCAGATTGGTTTACAGCTCTTCAGGCCCAGTGAGCCACAGGTCCCCTCGGCATCTTTGCAAACAACTCCCACAGATACCTCAGTATAATTATTTTTAAAATATGTCCAGGAATTTTTTTCCTTAAGCCACGAGGCTTGCCAAAATACTTCGTAGAAAATACTATTTTGATAGTATTAGAATTTTACCAATGACTTAAGCAAGAGGCACAAAAGTGGAATGACCTCCAACTATGAGTTTTGATGAAAGTGAAAAATGCTACCTAAGCCAAAACCACTAGTTCAGGCATTCAGCTTTCCCCTGTCTTATAAAATCCCAACCCCACTTTAATCTAGGGTCAGCTGTCCTCTAGATGCTCTCTGATATGTATCAGTTGAACAAAGTCTTTAATCTCTCTGATGTGTATCCGTTGAATAAAGCCTTAATCTCTATTTGAGTCACTTAAATAACTTTCTTTTGACTTTTGATACCCAGAAAAATGGATTTGGAATGCTGTTTGGATTGTCTGTCCTCAAAGCTGTCTATTGGTGTGTGTCCAGTGGTGTTTGGGTGGGTAGAGTGGGATCTGCCTCTCTCTACCATGGTGCTGAGTTTTGTCTAATGTTGCTTTACTAAGAACACTGCTGTACAGGACAGAGCAAATTTGAGGATGGACACTATATGAGTTAGATGGAGCTCCAAGGTGATTATTTGATTACACTGTCTTAGAAACCATTTGAAAGGAAAGAAGGTGGAATGAAATAGGGGCAGAAGGGAATTAAAATATCCTTGGGTGTGCGATGAGTGTACCTTTCAGCTCATGAACTAAGGAGTCCAATAACTAGAACTTACTTTATAGTCCACTACTCTACTTAATTTCCAACTCAAGCCCTGGGCCTGAGGGCTGGGCAACAGGGCGAAACTCTGTCTCTACAAAAAATACAAATATTGCCCTGCTTGGCTACAAGAAAAACAACCTCAGCTTTTCTTGGGAACCCCACACAAGCCTAGGGTCTTTCTAAGGCACTGGGAGTAGGGGAAAGCTATTTGGTCCTCAGTCATCAGTACCTATGGGAAGTCACAATGACATCTGTTATCCTGTCCTCCTGACTCCTTCAAGGCTAGGCAGGTCTCAACTATTCCTGTGCTGGAAGTCTTTCTGAAATGTGTCTTTCTCTGGAATCTTGCTCTAACAGGGCTACCAAAAAAACAGGGTAATGCACCTCTAATCCTGCCACCACAGCACTCTTCTCTTCTTCCCAGCCTGGAACAATCTAATTTTTTTTTTTTTTTTTGAGACGGAGTCTCACTCTACCACCCAGGCTGGAGTGCAGTGGCATGATCTTGGCTCACTGCAACCTCTGCCTCCCAGGTTCAAGCGATTCTCCTGCCTCAGCCTCCCAAGTAGCTGGGATTACAGGCGCCCGCCACTACACCCAGCTAATTTTTTTTTTTTTTTGTATTTTTAGTAGAGATGGGGTTTTGCCATGTTGGCCAGGCTGGTCTCGAACTCCTGACCTCATGATTCGCCCACCTCGGCCTCCCAAAGTGCTGGAATTACAGGCTTGAGCCACCGCGTCCAGCGGGAACAATCTATTTTTAGTCTGGGGAAAATCCTTCTCCTTTCCTGTTTCTTCAACTAAATTATTCTCAGGAATTCACTTCTAAGTATAAAAAGCCAGCAAGACTTCTAGGGTAGTTCTGTTTTCTGACTTGCCACATACCTCCCATGAAGCAATGACCACCAAGCTGACTTCAATGAGGTGAAGGGAAGGGGGAAACAGAGGGAATAAAGAACACATAAATTGATGTATCTTTTGATTTTTACTTCCCTTCCATGATGTCTGCTCCATGCTGAGTCTGGCAACTTGGGCTTTGGAATTTACTGATTGGGTAATGCTCCCTGGAGCTGACAGTGGGTGCCCCTGCCCAAAGGCTTAGACAGCAATCAGGGAAGGGTGGCCCTCCAAAGTGAGTGTTATCATAAAAGAGGCAAAGAGAATTAGGGCGGCAGTAAAAACTTGGTAGAAGACTAAGCAGTGAATCTTGGTAGTCTTTTGTGACCTTCTGCCATCCCATAATGGTTGGATGTTTCTCCTGTGCCCCCAGAACACTTTCTTCTATTGCCATAGACCACATTCTACTGGGATGGCCATCTATCTTCATTCCAGCCTCCTTCTATATAGAAAGGAAGTTCCTGAGCTGAGGACCTATATTTGTTCATCTGGATAGCATAACCCCTAAAAGATGGAGACTGAATGAGTACAGATGGAATGAGTAACTCCTTGGAACATCATGGACTCTGTACCAGCCACAGATGACTCGCATACCCTGGGTGAGCAAGGCCTGCAGATGGAAACTGTGGATAACAGCAAACTGTGTTGCTCAACAAAATGAAGATCAATAGATAGGAAGCACAGGCCAAAGCAAGCCAGACAAAATTTAATGCTCACAAATATAAAATCATGGATTTGAATTGTAAAATTCAGCTGGAATAGAGGTGATATGACTGAAGAGCAGCCACAAATAAACAGCCAGATGAAGGGACACATTTGAGAAGGCCTAGAATTGTCCTGAGCACAGGAGTGTCTGTCCCCATGGAGTTGAGGTGTGCTTTCCACAGGCACTCCAAACTCTGTCCTTTTGGGCTTTTATGGGGGCTTGATTAGCTAATTGGCCTTTAGTGAAATTAACCTTTGGCTCCTCTCCTCCCAAGAGGTTATGGGTGGGCTGAATAGTCTCAACCCTCTTAATTGTGCCTTGGTCTTCACTGTGATGAGCCCCCATCCTGAAGCTACCTAGGGGCTGCCAGCCACCAGTCTCAATAGCATACCTCGCTTTGGAGATTCTAAGGATATTAGGAGTTGTAAGCCAGAGCGTGGGAGCAAGGGTCAAATATTTAGTTCACACTACCACAGATGGGTCCCAGAAACTTCTTAGTAAATTCCCATTTTATCTAATCCATTAAAAGCTTCATCATAAACATGAAATTACTTGAATTTTTAAAACAGTAACAGTAGAAAACCCAAATGCAGTGCTA
Organism: Homo sapiens; assembly: GCF_000001405.40. Lineage (NCBI taxonomy): Eukaryota > Metazoa > Chordata > Mammalia > Primates > Hominidae > Homo > Homo sapiens. The sequence continues at coordinate 42,335,589 of NC_000003.12, read as the reverse complement.
ATTAGATATAATAGCAATAAGTATTTTTAAATAGCATATCCAGAAGAGAGGTGGTGGTTAATATGAGAGTGTAATTAATCCATTTGCTGAATTAATTACCACTTTCCTCATCATCTGGGCTAGCAGAGTGTTAGACAAATAAGACGAACATTGTCAGTCAAAACATAAATATTAGAACCAACCTAAAAGTGTAGATGAATAGTTAAATAAATTATTCATGAAATACTCTGTACCTGTTTTTCAAAGTGAGATGGAGTTCCTTGCTGTGCCCTGAGAAGGTATCCAGGATTCTTAGTCCCTGGCAACAAGACGTCACCAAAAATAAAAAAATAAAAAAAACGTAAGAGAATCTACAGGATGGAGTACAGTGGCACAATCATAGCTCACTGCAGCCTTGACATCCTGGGCTCAAGTGATTCCCTTGCCTCAGCCTCCCAAGTAGCTAAAATTACAGGTGTGCTCCACCAGGCCAACTAAGTTTTAAAATTTTTTTGTAGGGTTGGGGTCTCACTATGTTGCTCAGGCTGAAAAAAAATAGTAAATAACTAAGTAAATACATTGTTTAGTGAACAAAAGTAAACCATACATAGAACATAATTCCAAACAAAAAGGGATACGTGGGTTTAAAGCTTTTTTTTGTATCTGTATAAACACAGAAAATACTTGGATGAATACGTGTCAAATTGCTAACGTGGTTACTTAGTGTCAAATTGCTAAAGTGATTACTTCTGAAAAAGGGATTGCAAAGACAGAGAGAGGGTTTTTCACTTCAGAATAAAAATGTCAGGTTTAGAAGGATACATGCTCAAGGTATGTGAAATGAAACATGCAAGATATAAAACTTCACATCAATACAATCACACTTTTATAAGACATCTAGCATATATTCATTTTTAAAAGTAAAAGAATTTGTAAAAAACTAAGAGTAGTCATATTTAGATGGTGAATTATGACTGATCGTTGTTTTCTTTGATGCTTTAAAAAATTTTCCAAAATGTCTGCAATAAAAATTTATTATGTTCATCATAGACAGACCCACGCTTTTTAAAAGAAAGTTTTTAAAGGAAGCATTACCCAAACTCAGTTTTGTTAATTGAAGGCATGCCCCCTCCCCCTGTAACTAAAGAGGAATTTCTCTGGGTTCCCTACCAAACAAGAAAAATTTTCCCAGTGGCAGGGGATGGAGATCTTCCTAACAACTTGCCGTCCTTTGTAGCTGATGCTCACAAGTACGTGGATGGCAATGAAACAAGCCTCTATGGCTAAGCTTCCCCAGACTTGCTCACTCCACTCCTCATTTATCCATTAAGCCCACATGCTGAGGGCTGTCATGCATTTACAGTGTGTATCAAGCTGCCCCAGCCAAAGTGATTTCTGGCTCATTATGCTACTCCCAATAAATTTGGGGATTGGTCAGCTTCAAAACAAAATTGGGCAAGTTATATATATATATAGGCAAACAACAAAAATTGAGTTCTGTGTGTGTATGTTTATGAAGGGGTGGTACATTCCCAGAAGACAGTGACAGGATAGAATGCAAGTTCCAAAATCACTAAAGATAGGCCCTGACAACTAAGGATCCTCTCCAGGCAGCTTTGCAGGAAGCAATGGAAACAAATAGGAAGAGAAAGGAAGAGAAAGGCACATGCCACATGGCAGTTTGTGAACAATACAAGACAAAACTTTGAACACTGCCCCCTGTCGCAAAATAAATGGGGGCCACTTTTGAGGGGTAAGTTCTGATATATGGTTGATAAATGAATAGGTACTTTATTCATAAGACTAAATCTTCAAACAACAAGAGCAAATAATAGCTAGGTGTGGTGGCTCAAACCTGCAATCCCAGCACTTTGGGAGGCCGAGGTGGGAGGATTGCTTGAGGCAAGACCAGCCTGAGCAACATAGCAAGACCCTGTCTGAAAAAAAAAAAGTAAATTATAAGAGACAAAAAGTTCCAACCTCCTCTTTAGAGCACTGCATTCCAGAAAGCAGTAGAGTAACATCTGCAGTTCTGCAGTGTCTGGGAGGAAAGCGTTGGGACCAAGGACTCAGCATGCACCAATTTTATTTCAAGAGTAAAGAAAATAGAGATATTATCATAAAAGCTTGAACCTACAACAGACAGAGTGTTGTAGGTTCCCAGACCCAGAACACACAAATGTGGGCAGACAGGGGACATCCATGAGACAGAGGATTCCTCCCACAGAGCTTTTCTGGAGACCTTAGAGTTTGATTCCTGGGACTTGAGGTAGTGTGTCCAATATCCAGTAAGGCTATAAACAGATAAAACCTTTCTAGAGTGTGATTTGTTAAATATGGAACAAAAGCCTTAAAATATATGTATACTTTGATCTAGAAATTCTGCTACCAAGAAGAAACCAAGCAATATTTATTTATAAGGATGCTAATTATCATAAAAGAGAAAGCAGAAATATAATAAATGTACAAATATAGGGGACTGGTTCAATAAATTACAGCACATGTATATGTAGTAGTCATTAATGCTGCCCACTGAATATTTCTGGTTGATTCTTCACCTTTGGGATATATCACAGGACTGCATTTCCTGGCCCCTTCTACTTGGGTAAGGTCATGCAACCTATTCTATCCAATGAATTGTAAGCAAAAGTAATATGTGTTCATCCCAATCCAAGTGTTTGGTTAACAGTGCTAGACCTTCAAGCTCTCTGCTCACTCTGCTGCGGTGACCAGCAATGTTCTAAATATGGTTGCTCTGTAAGCCAGGGTCAAGGAATAATGTCAACAGTGACATAGAGCAGCAGAGTCCCCACAAGTAACCTGAAGAAAAATACACTGTGAGATTTGGTGATTGCTTGTTACTGCAACATAACCTAGCCTATCCTGATGAATACAAAGGAAGTATGATGCAACCACTGATAGATATGATCTAGTATATTTATTGACAGAAGCACATTTTCACAGTGTACTGTTACATTAAACAGCAGCTATAAAACATCAAATACAATTTAAATCAGTTTCACATATTATACAAAGTAAAAATACTGAAGAATATTCCCCACATTTTGCTGATTAATGAATTGTGAAACTATGTAAGCCTGTGTGTGTGTGTGTGTGTGTGTGTGTGTGTGTGTGTGTGTGTGTTGATGAGGGAAATCAGTACCTTCTTCCTAAGAGTTTTATGTCATATATTCTAAAAGCTAAAAATGCTAAACAAATTCTGTAATTCCATTACTAATATATATCTAAACCACCTTTCTTACTTATATTTTACCTTTTTTAACTTTACTCACCCTACTATCAGAATGTATACTTGAATACTTTTCAAATGTATATTCTAACTTTCATGTATTTCTTTTTTTGTTTGTTTAAATACAAGGACCTCCTCCTATAGCTCTCAAAACACTTTCTGAAAAGTGGGAAGGAATCTTGTGTTATATATAAAAAATAAATGAGGTGAAACTATCATCTACTTCTGGCTGGAGGAAACTCCCCCAAAGGTCACATTTCAAAATTTTTCAAGTCTGTGGTTTTATTCTCAAAACAGTGTTTCTCTATATACTTTTTTATTCAAAATTTCAACAATGAATATGCATTGTTAATATAATTGGGGAAAAGTTATGTTAAAAATTACTTGGGATGAACCCAGGTCTCTATATTTTAAAAAGACTCTCAGATGATTCTAATTTATACTAAATTTTGGGAACCATTCTTCTAAACCTATTCTTTAAAACCCCTCATCCTTTTTTCAAATTTCAATTAGGATGGTCAAAGAAATATAAGTGAAAGCTGGGAAATAATACTTCCCAATGCCAGAAACACTCAGGAATATCTTCATGGTGAAATGAGATCAGATCCAGAGATGGGCTGACTGATGCATAACTCACTACAAGTAAAGGAAGCACTTGTAGGGAGAAAACCATGGAAGACCTGCTGCCCAACAGAACCCCACTAACATCCCTTGGCTTCCAGCCTGGGAGTTGGAGAAGAGTGCAGGCCGTGAGATGCTTTGGATGTGGTCAATTTCTTTTATTTTTATTTTTACTTATTTATTTTATTTTATTTACTTTTTCAAGATGGAGTTTCACTCATGTTGCTCAGGCTGTAGTGCAGTGGAGCAGTCTCGGCTCACTGCAACCTGTGCCTCTCGGGTTCAAGTGATTCTCCTGCCTCAGCCTCCCGAGTGGCTGGAATTACAGGCATGCGCCACCATACCAGGCTAATTTTTGTATTTTTAGTAGAGACAGGGCTTCACCATGTTGGCCAAGTTGTTCTCAAACTCCTGACCTCAAGTGATCCACCCGCCTTGGCTTCCCAAAGTGCTGAGATTACAGTCGTGAGCTACCACGCCAAGCCCTTATTTTTATTTTATTTTTTTTTTGAGACAGGGTCTCACTCTGTCACCCAGGCTGGAGTGCAGTGGCTCAATCTCGGCTCACTGCAACCTCATTCTCCTGGGATCAAGCCATTCTCTCACCTCAGCCTCCCAAGCAGCTGGGACTACAGGCATCTACCACCGCGCCTGGCTATTTTTGGGTTTTTTTTTTTTTTTTTTTGCATTTTTTAAAATTTTACTTTAAGTTCCGGGATACACGTGCAGAATGTGCAGGTTTGTTACATAGGTATACATGTGCCATGGTGGTTTGCTGCACCCACCAACCCATCATCTAGGTTTTAAGCCCCGAATGCATTAGGTATTTGTCCTAATGCTCTCCCTCCCCTTGTTCCCCACCCCGCAAAGTTTTGCATTTTTAGTAGAGACAGGGTCTCACCGTGTTGCCCAGGCTGGTCTCAAACTGCTGAGCTCAAGTGATCTGCCTGCCTTCGCTTCCCAAAGTGCTGGGATTACAGGCATGAGCCACCACACCAGCCTATGCAGTCAATTTCTAACAATACGTTTATATTTTAGGAAAGTTCTTTCTATTCCTATTTTGAGTGCTTTCATTTTGCTTTCTGGAATGAGTTGATTTTTTTCAAATATTTTTTCACTATGTATCAAAATGTGCATATGTTTTTCTTCCTTAACATGTTAATACAGTGACTTACATTGAAATTTTCCTAAAGTTAAGTCATGTTTGCGTAGCTGGAATGAAGCTGATCGTTAATATATTGCTGGATTTAATTTGCCCTTTTTTCTCCCATAATGTTCATCTTTATAAAATGATCTAGGCTTACAGCTTTCTTTTCTTCTTTCTTCCTTTTTCTGATTTTGGTATCATAGTTATGGTAGACTTGCAACATATATTGGGAAGATTTCCATATTTTTACTTGATTAAGTAAAATAGAAGTTTTACTTAAGTAATATGAAATTTTTAGTTCCTTTAAAGTCTGGTAGAACTTGCCAGAAGAATTAAGTGGACGTGGTGACATTTTGGTGTGGATATTAGACCACTCTCCTCTATGTTTTTTGGTCTATTTAAATTTCCTATTTCTTTTGCCAATTTGGCCATTTGACGCCTCGAAAATCATGTGGATTTTTTTCTCCAACTATGAAATTTGCTATTACAAAATTGTATATAACATTCTCTTCAATTTTGTGAAATTCCGCTGTATTTGCAGTTACGGCAGCTTCATCATTCCTAATGTTGTTTATTAGTGTCCTCTCATTTTATCTTGATTAAACTTGTCACCACTTGTCTATTTTATTTGTGTTTCCCCCCAAATGAAAAAGAAAAAAAAAAAAGTACTCTTATGGGTTCTATTGTTCCATTTCATTGGCCTCTGTTTTTATATTTACTGTTTACTTTGAAGATTACTTTGATTTTTTTTCTTAGCTTCTTCAGTTGAAACTTCAGTTTACTTATTTTAAAAATATCATATTTTCTAATAAATGTTTAAGGCTGTACTTATTTTTAGTATGGTTGGCTCTATCCCAAAGATTTGTATATGTAATGCCTCTTGTCATTAATTTCTAATTTGGTCTATAAGTTGTTTCATTTTTTCTTGCTGACATTCATATATTTTGGAAGGATTATTTCTATTCTAATCCAATAAATCATTTTGGGGAGATTTTAAATTTAGTTTTTCTTTTTTGCTATAATTTGTTTATTATAAATTTGCTTACAGAGTTTTTCTTTTTGGAAAAAATTGAAATGTGCTTTTAAGCCTAAAATATGCTTATTTTTGGTGAATTTTCCACATTTGTTTAAAAAGAATGTTTCCACTTTGATGTTGGGTACAGCTTTCTTTATATAGCTGTTATACCAAGCTTGTTATTTAAATCCTTTAAAGTCTTACTGATTATTTACCTATTGATTTCTATGTTTGATCTTAGCCAAAAGGCCAAAAAGCAATGCCTATTGATTTCTGGAGATATGTGCTAATCTCTATATCAGTTAGCTATTGCTGCAAAACAAACTGCCTCAAAACTCAAGCACTTAAAATAATCATTTGTTATCACTCATGTACCTGTGGTCAGCTGGAACTCAGTTGATCTATAATGCACTTGGCTGAGTGCCTCCACTCTAGGCTGTGGTGGCCAGGGTGGCTATTGTGGCTCCTAACTGCATGTCTATGGGTCAACTAAGGTGGCAGTAGTTGATTCTGATCCCTACAGCAAGTCTGTGGGTTAGCTGGAAGACCAGATCAGCAAGGAATAAAACTGCCCTTACCAAGCCAACTTGTTGGTCCAACAATCAGGAGAACATGCACTTGTGTCAAGAATTCTGTTACATCCAGTTTTATAATCTGCCCTGAGCCTGACTTAACACTCTAAAGACCTATGTGGTGGGTTACATGGTGGTCCCAAAAATATACGTACAAGTCCTAAGCCCCAATACCTGTGAATACAGCCTTACTTGGAAATAGTGTCTTTGCAGATATAATTAAGAATCTCAATATAACGTCATCCTGGATATAGCATGGGCCCTAAATCCAATGACAAAATGTATTTTTTCAAAGACAGCAAAAGAGAAGGCACGGAGACACACAGAGGAGAACATGATGTGAAGATAAAAGCAGAGATTAGTAATGTATTTACAAGTCGAAAATGCCAAAAATGGCTGGAAACCACCAGAAGCTAGGAGGGAGGCACAGAATCCATTCTCCCTCAGGGTTGGCCTCTAGAAGGAGCCAACCCTGCTGACACCTTGATTTAGGACCTCTGGCCTCCAGAACTGTGAAATAATAAATTAATGTTGTTTTAGGCCACTGGTTTATGGTTATTTGTCACAGCAGTGTCTTAGTCTGTTTGGGCTGCTACAATTACCATAGATGGAGTGGCTTATAAGCAACACAAATTTATTTCTTACAGTTCTAGAGGCTGGAAATCCGAGATCAGAGTGCCAGCATGGTCAAGTTCTGGTAAGGGCTCTCTTCCAGGTTACAGACTGCTGACTTCTCACAGTGTCTTCACATAGTAGAAGGGGCAGAGCAGCTCTCTGGGACTTCTTTATAAGGACACTAATTCCATTCATGAGGATTCCACACACAAGCTGCTCCCACAAATGTCCCCTAGGTCTTGTTGACACACAGTAAAAAGTTCCATAAGTTCCATTGACATTTAGGCTATTTCTTCTCCATCGAGGCTGTGCTAGGGTCTGTCTAGTGTTTGGCCTGGAAGAAATGACAAATAATGGCAGAAAGTCTTGAGAATCAGTACCTCTTTGTGAGGCACAAATTCAAGTGAGGTTAACATGATTTCCAGGCGAGGGGAAGCTATTCTCCTCTGGCAGAGGGAAGAGATTGCTTTTGCCAACTCAGAGAGTTCAAAGGAATGTCAGGGTTTAAGATAGTTTCATTCAGCTACAAAAATGTTCCCAACTCAGGTCTCAAGCTCTCACAAGACTATGTGACCACCTCACATAGTCTTTTCTGCTGTGCTGCCATCATAATCAGATTCTGGGTCTGATTTTTCAACACAATCTGACCTGTGACTGCTTCAGACAATGATCTCCTTAAAAGCTGCCATAGAAGTATGAGATGTCAGGATAATAGTTACTGTTGGAAAGAAGGAGAAAGTAATTGGAAGATGGCATAAGAGGGCCTTCATAGATGCTGATAAATTCAAATGTATTAATCCAGGGACTGGTTATATGGTTGTGCTTGCTTTGTGAAAATTTATCAAAGTCTGTAGTTATAACATGTGCACTTTTCTATAGGTTACACGTAAATAAAAAATATTCGTTTAAAAAAAACTTTAAAATAATAAAAGCTGCCTTACAAGCTCCCTGGCTTTAAAATATGTTGACTGCCTTGATCCAACCATTCTCTTGTGTTGTCATAAATAATCAAACTATTACACATTGATTTTAAAAAGCATTATTTCCATAGCAATTAAGAGAAGCTATCCAGCCTCTTAAGACGTTGCCCTATCAGCTGGGCATGGTGGCTCACAGCTGTAATCCCAACAGTTTGTGAGGCTGAGGCGGGTAGATCACCTGAGGTCAGGAGTTCACGACCAGACTGGCCAACATGGTGAAACTCAGTCTCTACTAAAAATACAAAAATTACCTGGACGTGGTTGTGGAAGCCTGCAATCCCAGCTACTCGGGAGGCTGAGGCAGAAGAATTGCTTGAACCTGGTAGGTAGAGGTTGCAGTGAGCTGAGATCGTGGCACTGCACTCCAGCTTGGACTACAAGAGCTAGACTCCATCTCAAAAAAAAATTGCCTTATAATGAGTTCTTGAGAAATCAGAGGCTGAGGCAAGGATTAATGCGCTAACACTTTACTTTGAAGATACAAGCCCATAAGAGTGAGGGAGAAGGAAATATGAAGTGAAACAAGAAAAAAATGTGTGAGGCAGTGCAAGGTAATTAATTACTGCACTGAGCACTGCTTCACAACGAGGCCACAAAGAGACACAGTAGGTCCATATCTGACAACTTTTATGTTCCACTTCAAATCTCAGCCGTATTTCCTACTCCAATCACTTCTGCAGCAACAGTTCTACACAGGTCTCAATCACTTTTATACAGGTGCAACCTGAGAGTATCTTTCCTTGGTTTCTCTCCTCCTGCTCCAGGGTCACTCTAATGCCATGGTGAGATGCTGGGAGAGCCCACTCAGCACTTATGCATGTACAACCTGGAAGTACCCAGGAGTTAACATCGATGGGGAAACAGGAGCTAATGGATAAGTGTTCCCCTTTCATGTTCCCAGAAGGATAATTCTTAGATGCATTTCACAAAGCTCTTTAGATCACCTGACATCACTGAGCATCAATCACCACCCATAGTGGTGCCTACTTAATAATGTATCTTTATACTGGCTTTCTCACCTTCTCTGTTTCACTCCCCATGTCTCTCATTCCTACTCCTTGGGATCATTTCCCAAGTAAATTATCTGTTTGCTAGCTTTGTCTCTGGCTCTGCTTTAGGGGGAACAAACAAAGCAAAATCTTTCAACAGGAAGTTTGTCCAGCATGCACAACAGATCACAAGCAGCAACTACACCTTGAAGTGGTCCACAGGAGAGCTAGGATCCCTCCTATTTCCCATTTTCACTGGTCAAACCTTACCTCACAAGGAGACAACTCCAAGTCTTTCCAGGTTGTGTCATCTGGTCCATTCTCAACCATTGAGGAAGTCTAATCTCATGTTTGAAGGGTGACCTGATGGGATAGGGTGGGGGTAGGAGAAGGGATCGATCAAAGCAATCCAATAAGGTGCAGAAGTTTAGTGTCCCATACAAGGAAGGAAATTATATTCAGAAAAGCAAGACAGTGGGAAGTTGGCAGAGTTTGAGAGTCTACAAAACAGTCATATGGAGAATCTGTCCAAAAAGCTATTGAAGCTCAGGTCTGGAGCTCAGAAGAGAGGCCAGAGCTGGAGATGTGGATTTGAGAATAGTCAGGGCACGAGAGGCTTGGAGGCTGTGGTGAGGATGAAATCAATCTAAGGAAGGGAACAGAGAAGTGTCCAAGTGTCCTTGGTATCCGAGGGGGGCAGAGAGTGCAGAGGAAAGGAACTAAGGGGAGAAAACAATTTGAGTGAGGAGAACAGGTGGATGTTCTGTTGTAGAAGCAAAAGGAGAGAGGGGAAGAGTGGACAAAATGCTGTGAGGGGGTCAAGCAAAAGAAGACTGAGAAAGAATCTGTCCTGTCTGGCAATTAGAAATTCATCTGTAAATCCTATGAAAATTCTGCTGCAGTGGGAATATGGGCATGCAAGCCAGACCACAGTGGGCGAGGAGAAAACAGGAGGCAAAGTGGTACCAGCCTCCATAGATGCTCTCAGAGGAACTTCAGAATGTTGGCCGGGAGGGGAAGCTGCTAAAGTCAGGGAGGGAAAAGAGGAGCTAATATTTACCTGGCAAGGGGCTTCCACAAAAAGTCCTCACCAACTGTACTCCACAATCCTGGGAGAAAGGGATCACCCCAGAAAGAGAGAAGAGGAAATCAAGGCTCAGTGAAATTGCTGGTCCAAGGTCACAAGACCAGTAAAGGTTGAGTTTGCACCCAGGAATTTGCACCTAAGATTGTATGACTCTGATTTTTCTGCTACATTATGCACTGGAGAAGGAAACAAAGATCTAGGAAGGGCCCTTCAGGCTGGGAGGGACTGGCGTTCATGTACAGGTGAAGAGAATACATGGTGGAAATTGTCCCACAGGTGGTGGGAGGTAGGGGGAGAATGCCACAGGTACATAATTGGTTGAAAAATTCAACAAATAACAAAACCATGGACATGCTTTTATCCCTGTCTTGGGGTTCTCTTTATTTTCAATCTCTAAATTAATGGATAGCCCTTAGATTCCTTGCCCAGAAATTAGGTTATGTTGCTTCCTAAAATAGCACTGGGTCTGGAGAAGCATAAGCAAGTGGGTGCAAGGAGCCTCTTACGCACAGGCCCAGGCCTAAAATATTTCTCTCTAGGGATGGAAACAATATTATATAATGAACAAGAAATACCAGCATTGCTGTGGAAGTGGCAAAAAATGTAAAAAAAAAGGTTTCTTTTCTTGTCTATAATTTTTAAGTTTTAATTTTGAAATAATTACAGGTTCACAGGAAGTAAAATAAGTAAGTTTTTGGGGGGAAAATTCAAAATGTATTTTCCAACAGACAGACAGCATCAGCAGGTACAACAAAAGGGGTTTCTCCATAGATCATACATTCACAAGGCATTATTAGCTCAACAGTGAGAAAGCCACCAGTGTGTTTTCCGTGACACCCATTTCACAGTCTAAACAGGTACTATTATTGTGTTCATTTACAATTCCAGAAGAAAAGGCACAACTTGGCAGAAATAATAATAATAATAATATCTGGGGAATCCTAAAGTCAGGTGAAATAACTAAGAGACAACACCTTGACTAACAGTCTTGGATCCACTGTTCAGCCAGGGTCTTCCACCTAGAGGGAAAAGACTTTTCTCCCAGAAGCTAGAGTCTTTCTTTCTTTCTCTTTTCTTGTTAAACTATGAAAGCAATGTTTCATTTGCTCAATATTACACTTACAAAAGGAGATTACAAAAAAAGGCATCACAAAAACCTCTTGGACGTTCAGCTCTTCCCATCAATACAACTCCTAGATTTTAGACAGGGCCTGGGAATACTTCATCGGTCTTAAAATAGGAAAACAGACACTATAGCTACAAAAGAATTTTAAAATAAATGAGGTAGATAAATTAAAGCTTTTATACCCAGGAATTGCCTATTCCAACTTCATAGCCTTCATGAAATATTCAGGAAGAAAACAAAAAGAATCTTCATAATTACTTGGCTTAAGTCCCAATTATGTTGAATTAAGGAAATTCAACAAAAAAAATTAGTATGTGAACGTGTGATAGGAAACACACCCTTCCATGAGTTTCTTCTCAAGAATGAAAACCCAGTTCTTCAATAGAGTAGGCACTGACAAACCAAATTAAGTCACCTGAAATTCCCTGCTCAGGTGCCCACCTCTTCTGGGGTTCAGGAAGAGGACAGCACCTGGGAAGTGTGGGGAGGACACTGGCACTCTCAGGGCTCCAACTGGACTGCATTTAAGCAGCAACACACACACTGACTCCTTAAGGACTACTGTAAGTCCATCTGAGGGCATCCGACTTATGGTTCTAAAGTTGAAGCAGGACAGGCGCAGTGGCTCACACCTGTAATCCCAGCACTTTGGGAGGCCAAGGTGGGCAGATCATTTGCGGTCAGGAGTTTGAAACCAGCCTGACCAACATGGTAAAACCCCATCTCTATTAAAAATACAAAAAAATTAGCCAGGCATGGGGGCACATGCCTGTAGTCCCAGCTACTCAGGAGGCTGAGGCAGGAGAATCACTTGAACCCAGGAGGTGGAGGCTGCAGTGAGCCGAGATCACGCCACTGCACTCCAGCCTGGGTGAAAGAGTGAGACTCCATCTCAAAAAAAAAAAAAAAAAGTTGAAGCAATTTTATAATTCTACAACCTTAGTTTTATTTTTTTAAAGTACATTCAGAAAAGCAAACAATAAGATGGGGACAGGGTTGGGGTATATAAATAGGCCCCTAAATAGATGGCAGACCTTGTCCTTTTACCCATGTACAGTCATCATGGAAGTATACAGTACCCCTCTCCCCTCAATTAGGCTAAGTCATTGTCTTTTCCATGTTGGTTCAACAAGTTCCAATGATTCTACCTTGAAATAGGTAACCAGTCTTTGGAAAAAATTCTAGGTTGTGCAAAGGTTCTATGTATACAGTTTGTCACAAGTACAAAAGCTACTTTGCAAGACCCGCTTCTTTCCAAAATTTGTTTTTAATGCTAGTCTTTATTTGTTTTGATATGAACATTTGTTGTTGTTTGATTTTTCAATTTTTTGCAAAGCAGCATAGCAACAGTCGTGATTGTGGGACTTGCCTGAGGTTGCGATCACAACCTTCAAAAACATCATTTGCATATCAGTAAGAAAAAGAAAACGGGAGATGAGTGTTTACCAAAAAAGCAGATTCTAGAGATTTCACACTGTCTGCATTTCTCCTTCCATGCAAGTTCTCCTTTAGCTTAGCTGACTGCAATCTTGTTTTCTTCCAGGAAGTGAGGGAACGCTGTCAGTAGCACCTGGTTTTTCCACATCTGCACTGATGCCTGATTGGGAGCCATCCATCTTGAAGACGGTGGTGTTATTCACAATGGAGCTGGCCCCCAAGGAAAGCAGGAGGTTAGGAACACCCCCACTCCGGACCACAGAGATCTCACTGGTCTTCATGGCCAGACTGCCGCTCGGCATGCTGGGCTACTGGTTCCACACAACAGGGTCCACGTTCACCGAAGGGGCCAGGATTTCCTTGGGAAACATTTCTGAGACTTTTTTCTGTCTGTACTTAACAGAGCCATGGTGTTCTCGATGGCCAGCTTCCTCCCACAGCGGGCTGAGTTATTGTTCGCCCCGTGGATCATGTAATGGACCTTGAAGTTGACTTTGGTGGTAAAACTCGCCCACAAATGTTGCCTACAAAAGACTTCTCTCCAGTGTGGGTCCACCCGTGAATGCGAAGAGCACCAGTGGACGAGAAGTTCTTCCCACACCACATGCAGCCATGTTGCTTGGCCTGTTGGCGTGGCTGGGCTGCTAACAAAGCGGTCATCCTGGGGACAATGTTAAGGGTCCCACAAAGGTGCCAGGAACTTCAACTTTGACATAGGTTGGCAGGGATCAGATAAACACGGAAGGGAGACTGCTCTGACACTTGTGCTTGTAGAGGACCGCCTCATCTTTGGGTTTGAGGTCGACTGTGGAGATGTTCGGTGGCTTCCTCTTCCCTTTCTTGGATGGTTCTAGCGCGACAATGGAGAAAGGACTCTGGAAGAGCATCGAGCCCGGCATCTGAGGAAGCAAATCACTTGCGAGAGGAGACATGACGTTTGGGAACAACCTGGTTCCATCTGGCTTCAGAGCAAAGGGCGTCAGCACTGGGGACAGAGAGCTGGTGGCAGAAGGAATGTTGGCAGAAGGGATGTTGGCTTGAAGTAGTTTGGCTTGTTTCAAGGCATCTGGAGACAGACCTTGGCTTCCAGCTTTCTGGCTGAGCAAAGTCACAGCCATAGAAACCTGCTGGGACATGCGACTGCCCAAGGTCGTCGCCCACCACCAAAGTGGAGAGCATGGGAGGTCCACATGTGCACCTGGATGCGATCTGCTGGGTGAGCTGGACCTGCTGTACCTCCTTCTGCAGACATAGGATCTGCTCAAGCACACATGGGTGCTGGGACAGGCAGCGCATCTGCACTCTGCTGATTCATCACCATCTTGGTGTCTCATAGTGCCTGCAAGATCACATTTGTGTTGGCCACTTTGCCTTTGGGTAAATAAATTATGTCTTGGGGGTGGCGGCAGGACAGTCTCTGTCTTTAGGTACATCACAGAGTCCACAACTGGCTTCACTCACTGCTTGGACTGGGTGGTTGGTAGCTAAGTACAGCTCTGGAGAAGTCCTCTGAAGACACTGGCCTCTCGCTGTCATTCATGAGAACAGGTAGATTTTTAGTGTGATTTTTTTCTTATGTTCCAGGAACTCGGAGATGCTAAAGAACTCTACAGAGCATTTCTCACAGACACACGTCTCCTGACGAAGCCACTTTACTGTGGCTTCATCCTCACTCGTTTCATCATCATTCCCTGGGTGGGTCACTGGAGCACCCGGCTTCCCCGCCACTGGTGCCACTGGGGCCACAAGAACTGACCCCGGAGTTTGCAGATGCAGCTCCAGCAGCAGTGGTAAAGGACAATGTGATATTATTTATTTAATATCAAAACAAACACAAAATAAATTACCTTCCTAGCTGCATTACTATCAAAGAAATGAGAATGAAAGATGAGAATCAATATGGAATTTCATTGTATTGATATTGTTTTTCTATTTTGCCATGAGAAAATATTCATGTGTCATTTGTGTGTTTAAATTTTTTTGAGAATGAATGAGAAGTTCTAGCATGATGATAGCTGCATGAGATAACATCTTCCCTCTTTCCCTTATAATCATGTTAAAACTTCATTTTAAGCAAAACTAGACTCCTACTATTCTTATCCAAAGTTCAGCAGTTTTAAATAAATAAATGCTCTTCATTTTGTTGTTTGCCCTTGGTCTATTCCAAAGCTCTGAAATGATTTTTTTGTTCAGTTTTATAATTGTTTTTGAAGAGAGCATTTGCTGACCTTTTCACTCCATAACACTGGAACTCTATCATTTAATTTTTATTTGTGTTTATGGTTTTTTTTCTGATTTTATTTTTAGTAGAGTCTGTATTCGTTTTCTAAGACTGTTGTAACAAGGTACCACACACTGGGTGACTTAAAACAACAGAAATTTATTTTCTCACAGTTAGGAAACTAGAAGTCTGAAATCAAGGTGTGGGTGGGGCCCGCCTCTCTGGGAAGGCTGTAGGGGAGAATCTGTTTCATGCCTTTCTCTTCGCTTCTGGTGTTGCTGGCAATCCTCGGCTTGTGGACACATCACTCCAGTCTCTGCTTCTGTCGTCATATTGCATTCCATTTGTGAATCTTCAGATCATCTTCCCACTCTGTATGTCTGCCTCTGTCTCTTCTCCTCTTCTTATAAGGTCACCAATCATGTTGGATTGGGGCTGTGAAGGTTGTCAGAATAAAAACAAAGTCACTTGTGTTAAAAATCCTCACAAATAGAGCCAAGAAACACCATGAAGGAAGAGTTCTCATGCACAAATATCTGATAACAAGAATTACGACAAAAGCCTGCAAAAACTAAAGCTGTGCACAAAGGCCATCACAACCTTACACACACACAAATTCTTCTGCAAGGACATCTGCCCAGCAACTGCCTGTCTAATCTTGGACTGGCACCACTCTTATTATTGATTCTTGGAGCTAAGGACAAGTATCCCGAAACAATTATGTAATTATCCTCATTTTTTCTTTAAAAAGTTTGTCCGTCTTTACTTCCCTAAATATACACATAGTTTACTATGGCACACATGTTCCCATTGCAGTGCCCTATTCCCAAATAAACATTTTTCTCTTAGAGCCCCCCTCTTTGTTATTTAGATTAATAAAAATGATATCTCAGAAGTGGGACCCAAGTGTACCCACCTCAAAGGAATCAGCAGCCCCTGGTATCAAGTGAGGTAATCGGCAGCTGCTGGTATCAAGTGAGGCATCAACTGAGCCCTTTGCGCTCTATGCTGCCATGAGTTACATTTTCTGCTCTAGTAAATACCCTTTTTAATTCTTGGACTCCCTTCCCTCAGTGAATTCTTTGTCAGTTTCTGAGATAATAAAAGATGTTTTGTCTTTTCTGGCAGGTGGTATCTAGAATAAGAACAATGTTTTTCTGATTTGAGTCCTTTAGTTTCCAAAGAATTTACATTTTGTCTGGGTCTGCATGCCTGGTATAGTATTTTGTGTGGTCTGCATGCCTGGCTTAAAATTTTTGTGAACACTTTTATTTTTTGTTTCATTTGGGTTTGGTCATGTGCGTCTGTAAATGATCTGGCTCCTTTTTCCCCCTTGCTTGTTTCTAAACATTTTCTGAGAGCAAAAACAAACACTCTAAATGGTGGGCACAAGACAGCCAATTAAAAACCACTAGGACAGTCACCACTATCTAAAACATCAGTCCAAACTCCGTGACAGGAATTATAGAATTTTCTTCACTCTTGAGAGATTAATATAAAACAAAAATGATATTCTCAAACATTAAGGCATGCCAGGTTTTCAGGGACTCCTGCCAATTACATGACTTTTCCTCATGCATTTCTTTTTATTTAAAAAAAAATTTTTTTGTAGAAATGGTGTTTCACTATGTTGCCCAGGATGGTCATGAACTCCTGGCCTCAAGTGATCCTCCTGCCTTGGCTTCCCAAAGCACTGGAATTGCAGGCATGAGCCACCATGCCCAGCCATGTTTTTAAACCAGTGGCTATCATGGGGATCATTCGAACCCCCCAAACTTGTTTTACTTAAAGCTGAATTAGAAACTGTAACTGCAGAGTTAACATGTAGAGCCTTCTAAGTTTTCTATATCTCTATTTTTTTTCTGCCTACTTTGAATCTGCTGATTTTTCTACTTGTGTTGAGATAAACACACTGCTTATGGCATTCCAGACAAGACATTTTTTTACAGTCTTAAAGGGCTTTCAAACTAATGGCTTTACAACTTACAACAGCTCCATGGCAACCAACAATCTAGACATGAAATGTAAATTTGAGTTTGCCTGAAAAACAATTGCTTAGGGTGATGGAATAGTTAATTAAGGGATTGATATTCTGAAATAAAATAGACTACCTATCAGGGTAAATAACATTTAGCTATATGAACAGACCCCATTTTCTAAGAAATATAATTTGGATCCAACTCTCTTTTATAAACCAATAAGTATATATTGCTAAGTATTTAAAATTCTAAAGTTATGTTAAATAAAGTGATACTCATTGAATGTCCAAGTCATTTCCAAATAAGATAAATTCCAAAACATAAATAAATGTTTATAAATTAGGCTCTCAGATTAAACAGGTCAAAATCTTAAGCTCAGAGCAATAATATGAGGTGTCTCTCTGGCATAAAAATGCCTTTCTTTGTCTGCCATGCCCAGAAAAAGCAAACAAAGCAAAACAAAAAACCTGCTAAAATGCTTTCTCACCCACATTGACTAATCAAGCAAACCAGACAAAAAAAAAACATAAATTTGTTACTAAAACACCCAAGGCTATTTGGAGATTTGATTTTTCTTATACAATTCAGCCAATTCATGCTGAAAAATAAACAATTGAATGTTTAACCCTAAATTCATTTGAAACCGATAAACAAAAAGAGGGGGCATAAAGGGGCAAAAGAGATTTTGAAAAAGAAAACCAAACTGTTTTGTTCAAAATTTTGGTCCACAGCCTTCATTAGACTACCTATCAGGGTAAATAACATTTAGCTATATGAACAGACCCCATTTTCTAAGAAATATAATTTGGATCCAACTATCTTTTATAAACCAATAAGTGTATATTACTATGTATTACTATCTCATGACTAAAATTCTAAAATGAAAGCTGTAAGATCTTTATTGTGGCTTGTGTATCTATATGTGTTTACACATTTTGTATGTTGTATCTGCATGGTAAAATCTGGCATAGTCAGCTAGAAATCCTTTAAGGAATTCTATTCAGATTGGCTCAGATAAATGAGTGCTTATATAAATTATGGAGTAATCAACCCAAATGCCTTTTAGTGCATGTGACTTAAGTATTTCTTTAATAAATAAGCTGGCTTTAAATTTGTTGATGAAATAAAAATAAAAACATCTTCAGAATTTCAGCATACATTTTTGTCTGGGTTTACTAGTCAGATAGGATTATATTTGTCTCTGCTAGATATTTTAAGATAATAAAACTATAAACCCAGCCTAAAAACATAATGATCTCTGTTTGTGTAACTCTTTGACAAGTAAGACTAATTTAATAGTGTTGACTTAATAAAAACAGCTATGTCTTCTAAGCCATCAGCAAAATATCCATATAATTAACTTTCAAGTTCTTACTTAGGTGAACACCTGATATTCACAGACTGTACACATGTTTAACAGGGAAATTACTTGAAATGATGAGTAGCTTTATCTCATATCTCAGTTTTCATAAGTAATTTAGGTAATGTTGATAAAAATAAATAAATTAGGTAAACGTAAATGGAATAAATATTTATAATGAATTTTTTGTGTGATTTAAAGTTCTAAAGTTATGTTAAATTAAGTGATACTCATTGAATGTCCAAGTCATTTCCAAATAACATAAATTCCAAAACACAAATTCCTGAACATAAATATTTTTGTCTTTGGCTTCTTAAATTTTATAGAAAGACTAAGTATATTTGAGTCTAACAATACATAAAAATTACATTATGGGGAAATGTTTCTAAAATAATAAAATTCTCATTTATAAAATACCAATGTGTGACAGACAGTTCAAAATTGCTCCCTTTGCTTGGCAAAGAATTTATGACTAAAAGCAAATGCAACAAACATGAAAATAGACAAATGGGACTTTTTTTTTTTGAGACAGAGTCTCGCTATGTCGCCCAGGCTGGAGTGCAGTGGCGCAATCTCAGCTCACTGCAAGCTTCGCCTCCCAGGTTCATGCCATTCTCCTGCCTCAGCCTCCCAAGTAGCTGGGATTACAGGTGCCCGCCACCACACCCAGCTAATTTTTTGTATTTTTAGTAGAGACGGGGTTTCACCATGTTAGCCAGGATGCTCTTGATCTCCTGACCTCGTGATCCACCTGCCTCGGCCTCCCAAAGTTCTGGGGACAAATGGGACTTAATTAAACTAAAAAGCTACTGCACAGCAAAATAAATAATCAGCAGAGTGAAAGACAACCTACAGAATGGGAGAAAACATTTGCAAACTATGCATCTGACAAGGGACTAATATTCAGAATCTACAAGGAACTAAAATATCTCAACCACAACAAAAAACAAATAGCCCTGTTGAAAACTGGGCAAAGGACATGAATAGGCATTTTTCAGAAGAAGACATACAAATGACCAAGAAGCAGATGAAAAGATGCTCAACATCACTAATCAGTGGAGAATTGTTCATTATAACCAAGGTGAGATGCCATCTTATATCAATGAGAATGGCTATTATTAAAAAGTCAAAAAATTACAGATGTTGGTGAGGATATGGAAAAAAGGGAATTCTTAAACACAATTGGTAGGGATATAAATTAGTACAACCTCTACAGGAAATAGTATGGATATTTCTTATAGAACTTAAAGTAGAACTACCTTTTAATCCAGCAAGCCAACTACTGGGTATCTACTCAAAGGAAAATAAATCATTACATAAAAAGGATATCTGCACTCATATGTTTATTGTAGCACTATTCACAAAAGCAAAGATATGGGATCTACTTAAATATCCATCAATGATTGGATAAAGAAAATGTGGCATATATATACATCATGAAATACTCCTCAGCTATGAAAAGAATAAAATCATGTATTTTGCAAAAACACCCATGAAACTACAGGTTATTAAGTGAAATAACTCAGAAACAGAAAGTCAAATACTGCATGTCCTCACTTAGAAGTGAGAGCTAGGCTGGGTGCAGTGTAATCTCTGCACTTTGGGAGGCCAAGATGGGTAGGTCACTTGAGGCCAGGAGTTCAGGACCAGCCTGGCCAACATGGAAAAACCCCACCTCTACTAAGAATACAAAAATTAGTTAGGCATGGTGTCAGGTGCCTGTAATCCCAGCTACTCAGGAGGCTGAGGCAGAAGAATTTCTTGAAACTGGGAGGCAGAGATTGTAGTGAGCTGAGATCACGCCACTGTACTGTAGCCCGGGTGATAGAATGAGACTCTGTCTCAAAAAAAAAAAGTGGGATCTACATAATGTGCACATATGAACGTATTGTGTGGAATAATGGACACTGGAAACTTGGAAGGGTGGGAGGGTGGAAGGAGGGTGAGGGTTGATAAACTATTTGATGGTTACAATGAACACTATTCAGGTGATGGCTACACTAAAAGCTTGGACTTCAGTGCTATGCAATATACCCATTTAACAAAACTGCACTTGTACCTCCTAAATCTATTTTTTAAACTGCACTTGCACCTCCAAAATCTATAAAAATAAAAATACTTTAAAATAAACATGTTGTCATAACATTTTTAAAAATTTCTTGCTTCCTAGGTTTTCACTAGAAATTAAGGGTACTAAGAATTAAAAATTCTAATTAATATATAAAATTCTGTATATAAAGCATACCAAAGATTTTTATGAGATAAAATATAAGAAAGGCATAAAAATGTGTTCTTCATTTAGAATAATAAAAAACACGTGTTCTAATTGTAAGTTCAGCAGTTATTAAAGGTTATTTTAAAATATGAATTTAGGAAGGAAATATAAACAAGATAGAAAGAAACCAGTAAGTAGGAGAGAGAGAGATGTAAAGAAAGTTATAAGTATGAGGATAGAGTTTTGGTAAAGAGTTAAAAAGAAAAAAGAATAATTTTGTATGGGAAAGAATCATGTGTGGCAAATTTTTGTCTGAAAGTCAAATGGCTGGTTATTTAAGAAAGAGGAAGTATAGTTCAAGCAGAAAGTCTAAGCATGTCGTGGAAGGTATGTGTACATCACAAAATGTTTGTGAAGGATGAATTTATGAAAGACATTTTTGTGTGTCATCAAGTTGACTATAATTAGAAGGAAATTATAAGTCCTTCTAAAAATTGAGCTGTGATATTAAAAATACAATGATAGGGCTGGGTGTGGTGGCACATGCCTGTAATCCAAGCACTGTGGGAGGCTGAGGCAGGCGAATCACAAGGTCAGGAGATCAAGACCATCCTGGCTAACAGGGTGAAACCCTGTCTCTACTAAAAAAATACAAAAAAATTAGCCAGGCGTGGTGGCGGACACCTGTATTCCCAGTTACTCGGGAGGCTGAGGCAGGAGAGTGGTGTGAACTCGGGAGGCAGAGCTTGCAGTGAGCCAAGATTGTGCCACTGCACTCTAGCCTGGGTGACAGAGTGAGACTCCGTCTCAAAAAAAAAAAAAAATACAATGATAGAAAACAAAATAATCTGCTCTCCTATGTTAAAACAACAAAGTTTTCTTGAAGTATTGATCTGCTCTTAGTAACACTGCAAGAAGTTTTGATTTTTAATTCTGAAATCTGTTTAACAGGTGTATTACAAACTGCAGCTTCTTCCTGTTTTACAGTTTCTATTTCTGCTAAGTTTCTTTCTGAGATGCATTTAATTTTCCTAGTTTCAGGTTGGAAATGCCATCTTCTTTGTTTAGAGTGGTTATTTAATTTCTCAAGGTAGAGAAATTCTCTAAGGCTCTTAAGGCTTCTCAAATTCATGTCTCAGAAATTCAACTTTTGCTGTATTTTGCTGCACATGATTTGCAGGTCACACACACACACATCTTCTGGTTTGGCTGGGGTGATAACTCTTTTAACTTTCTTGTCTGCTCCTGTAACTTTTTTCTTCAGTACTAACTCTGCTGTTACGACCTGACACTGAAATGGTCTATTTTGAAGGCCTGGGAAAGCAATGTTTTCCTCCTGCATAACAATTTCTTGATGTGTCTTAATTGCTCCACATAACAAGGAGACATCTCATACTTTTTCTAAGAGCCATGCATTTCCCTGTACAAGGCACTAGTTTTCTTTTTACATTTCTCTATAATATGATGCATGCTCATAACCTTTGGGCCCACACTCTTAAAATGTCTGACAAAATGCAAGTACCTTTTCATCAGGTTCAACATCCAGGTATCTGAATGGGCTTCCTATGAGGAGACGTAATCACAATGAAGGAGGTTTTTCTTTATCTTTTTGGTAACTAGCCTGAGAACAAAATATTTGTGTTTTATGAAGACACTTTCCTGTGTTGTCTTTATTAGGTTTTCTGATTACTTGGGAAAACCGGGCTTTGAAAGGGTTAAAGCATTTTTTTCTTTTACATCAGTGTAAGTTTCTATATTGTGTTTGAATTCTGATTATCACTCTGGTTAAATGAATTACTATTATTTAATTTTATTATTTAATTAACAGTGACCTGTTATCCTGTCTTTTTTTTTTTTTTCCCTGAGACAGGGTCTCACTCTGTCACCCAGGCTGAAGTGCAGTGGTGCCATCATGGCTCACTGCAACCTTGACCTCCTGGGCTCAGGTGATTCTCCCACCTCAGCCTCCTAAATAGCTGGGACTACAGGGGCACACCACCATGCCCAGATAATTTTTGTATTTTTTATACTGACAGGGTCTCACTATGTTGCACAGGCTTGTCTCAAACTCCTGGGCTCAAGTGATCTGCCTGCCGTGGCCTCCCAGAGTGCTAAAACTACAGGCATGAGCCACTGTATTCAGCCTGTTATCCTGTCTTAATCAAGGGTTTTAAACATTTTGTCATCTTTAACAGGCCTCTCCATTATCAAAATTCTAAATTAAGTCTTTTTGACCTATAATCAACTTTGGGATATTACAGCCAGATCCCTGGAGAGCATCAAAGGATGTATCTCTCATCTTTAGAGATATTAAATGATTAGCCTTATTTGGTGAGTTACATGGGAAGCATTGTCAAATAAATGATGCTAGATCTTCTCTCAGTTGCATCTATGTGTTACTGATATGAATGTTCCAAAGTGTATAAAACTCTTAAAATCCAATATATCATCAGTCATAATGCTTGTTATTATGTTATATGCCACAGAAATAATCAATTTCCTTATCAATTGCTGATTATAATGAACTTCTATCAGATTTTTAACCATGGTTCTTCTAAGTTTTTGTCATCCATAGCTACTGTTTTGATTTTTCTCTAACAGTATTTGCAATCAGATTTGTGAAAAAGACTCTAACAATTACTCTTAAATAGAGGTTTGGGGTTTTTTGTTTGTTTGTTTCTTGTTTTTTGTTTCAAGATGGAGTGTCACCAGGCTGGAGTGCAGTGGGGAAATCTCAGTTCACTGCAGCCTCTGCCTCCTGGGTTCAAATGATCCTCCCACCTCAGCCTCGTGAGTAGCTGGGATTACAGGTGTGCACCACAACACCCAGCTAATTTTTCTATTTTTTGTAGAGACAGGGGTTTCACCATGTTGGCCAGGCTGGTTTCAAACTCCCAACCTCAAGAGATCTGATCGCCTAGGCCTCCCAAAGTTCTGGGATTACAGGCATGAGCCACAGCATCTGGCCAGAGATTTTTTCTTTTTTAAATAACTTTAAGAACAATTGACTAAATAAAAAAATTCAGAACTCTAAGAAGAAACTGATGAATTTGTGAGACAACAAATCATGTCAAGCAGAACAAAAATTAATTACATGAGATTAAATAACTGATGAAGATAATGTTTTTATAACTTATATTTGAAACATTATTGGTTCTTCACTTAAGTGTTTTGTTTTCCAGATTTAAGAAAATGTTCTCTCAGCCGAGTGCAGTGGCTCATGCCTATAATCCAAGCACTTTGGGAGGCCAAAGCAGGCAGATCCCTTGAGACCAGGAATTCAAGACCAGCTTGGGCAACATGGTGAAAACCAGTCTGTACTAAAAATACAAAAAATTACCCGGGCGTAGTGGCACCTGCCTGTAGTCATAGCTACTTAGGAGATTGAGGTGGGAGGATCATCTGAGCCTGGGAGGCAGGGGTTTAAGTGACAGCCTGGGAGGCAGGGGTTTAAGTGAGCCAAAATCACACCACTGCAATCCAGCCTCGGCAACAGAGTGAGACCCTGTCTCAAAAAAAAAAAAGAAAAAAGAATAAATTCTGTCTTAAGCTGTCTGTAGTTTAAAGAAATTTGGTAAAGTATATTTTTGTGAACAAAGGTGGAAGCATTTACTTCTTTCTCCCTACTTGAATTCTCCAAAATGTGGAAACTATCTGTGAATATTCATTTAGCTATTTGCATAATATAGTTATATATTTGTGTGTGGTATAGGCAATATAGTTATTTGCATAAGTTCAATAAAAATTTGCTCTCTTTATAACAGCATACAACTGGAAACATTGGTTATATTACCAAGGCTCTGACTGGAATATTACATTTGAGAATGTGCACAGAATGCCTGGTTTCAAGGGTTCCCAGTCTTACAGAGAGTAAGTAAAAATTGTCATTTCCTGGCAGGCTCAGGAACCTTAAGACTGGAAGTAAAATCTAAAGTCTGCTTTGGTTTAGCTTCTTAGCCTCAAGATTTCAAATATGAGATTCTTACGTGATCAATATAGACAGAAAAAGTTATATTTCCAAGGAAAACTATAATATACTTGTTATTAGATTGTAGTCCTATGCATTATTTTGAGTACTTGTTATGTAACTGTAGACTAGACTAGATTCTAAATTCTTCTAGGTTTCTTCAATCCAGCTTCTATAAAATTATAAAAAATGGTAACTGTTTTATTCCTGAAGCCCTACAAGCAGAAACTAGATAATTTTAAGAAACAAGTCTCATGCCTGATGTATAGGCCACTCTGAAAGTTCAACAAGCCACCCTATGCCATAATCAGAAACATTCAGACTGCAAACTAGGAAAAGAAGTTGACAACTTCATGCTGTGGGCAGCTTTTCCCAAGATGTCAGCACAAGACTCCGTATCATAATGAGACTCTTTTTCACTTGGCAGAATAATGTGCTAATTGAAATTTCACAATCAGGAAGGTAGAGCAACATGGTAGAATGGAAGACTTCACCATTTGTCCTCCCTGCTGGAACACCAGACTTTAACAACTATCTACACAGAGAAAAGCACCATCACAGGAAACAAAAATCAGGTAAGCAATCACAATACCTGGATTTAACTTTGTATCACAAAAACAGGCATTGAGGAAGGCAGGAGAGAGTCTTGAATCGCCAGTGCCACCCATCACCCATCCCCCAGCAGCAGTAGCAGTGCAGAGCTGAGAGAGAACCTGTGCCCTTTGGGGAGGGAGAGCACAATGACTGGGGAACATTACATTTGACCTCTGTACTGCTCTGCCATAGAGGAGAATAAAGCCATGCTGGGCTCAGCAAGTGCCTATGAATGGACCAGACCGAGCCAGAGCGGAATAGCCCATCCCAGCAGTCAGAACTTGAGTTTCTCACCAAGCCTCACTACTGTGGGCTAAAGTGCTCTGGAGTCGTAGGTGAATTTGAAAGGCAGTCTAGACAAAAGGACTGCAATTCCTAGGCAACTCCTAATGCTACACTGGACTTAGAGCCAGTAAACTAGGGTGACTAGTGACCTATGGAGACACCAGCTGATGTGGCTAAGGGAATATTTTTGCCATCCCTCTTCCCATCCCAGGCAGTGCAGCTTGCAGCAGTGAAAGTAATTCTCTCCTTCTGCTTAAAGAGAGGAGAGCAAAGAGTGAAGAGGACTTTGTCTTGCACCTTGGATACCAGCTTAGCCACAGTAGGATAGGGAATTGGACAAAGATGTAAGGCCTTCATTGAAGCCCTGGCACCTGGACATTTCTAGACACATCCTGGGCCTAAACAGAACCCTGCTGCCTTGAAGGCAAGGACCCACTCTTGGCAAGATTTATCACCTGTTGATTAAAGAGCCCGTGGGGCCTGAATAACTACTAGTGACACACAGGGAGTATGCCACGGGCCTTGGGCTCTGACATGTGTTGGCTTTGGGGTGATCCAGCACATTCCCAGCTATAATGGCTACAGGGAAAGACTCCATCTGTTTGAGAAAAGCAGAGGGAAAAGTAAAGGGGACTCTGTGTTCCACTTTAAGTACCAGCTCAACCACAGTGGGATAGAGCTCTTAGAGGTCCCAAGTTCAGGCCTAGGCTCTTAGACAGCATTTCTGGACCTGCTCTGGGCTAGAGAGGAGCCCACTGCCCTGAAGGGTGAGCCCCAGGCCTGGCAGCATTCGCCACAAGCTGACAGAAGAAACTTTGGGCTTTAAGTAAGCATTAGCGGTGGCCTGGCAGAACACCCCCATGGACCAGTGGTGGTGGTGGCCACAGGGAGAGATTTCTCTGCCTGTGGAAATGGGAGGGAAGAGCAGGAAGGACTTTGTATGGTGGTTTGAGTGCCAGCTTAGCCATGGAGAATAGAACATCAGATAAATTGCTAAGGTTTTTCACTCCAATTCCTGGCTCCCAGACAGCACCTCTGGATATGCCTGGGACCTGGTGAAACTCACCACCCTGAGGGAAGAGCCTTGGGCAAGGCCCAGTGTTGTGCTGGCTTCAGATCTGACCCAGAGCAGTCACTGTGGTGATGGCCACAGATATGCTTGCATCATCACACCCCCAGTTACAGGTAGCTCAGCACACAGAGAGAGACTCTGTTTGAGAAAAAGTAAGGGGAAAAAAACAAGAGATTCTTGCTTGATAATCTAGAGAAGACTTCTGGGTCTTATCCAAGACCACAAAGCTGGTACCTCTGAGTCTGCAAAAACCACGGTGTTATTGGGCTTGAATCCCAAGTCCCTTTGAATACATAGAAAGCCTTCCCAAGAAAGACAGGTACAAACAAGCCTAGGCTGTGAAGACTACAAATACCTAACTCTTCAATGCCCAGACACTGAAGAATATCTGCAAGTATCAACATCATCCAAGAAAACATGATCTCACCAAATGAATTCAATAAGCTATCAGGGACCAAGCCTGGAGAAACAGAGGTATATGACCTTTCAGACAAAGAAATCAAAATAGCTTTTTTGAGGAAACTCAAATATAATGCAGAGAAGGAATTTAGAATTCTATCAGATAAATTTAACAGAGATTACAATAATTAAAAAGAATCAAGCAGAAATTCTAGATTTGAAAATGCAACTGACATGCTGAAGAATGCATGAGATTCTCTTAATAGCAGAATTGATCAAGCAGAAAAAAGAATTAGTGAGCTTGAAGACAGACTTTTTGAAAATATACAGTCAGAGGAGACAAAAGAAAAAGGATTAAAGAAACAATGAAGCATGACTACAAGATCTAGAAAATAGCCAGTAGCCTCAAATGGGCAACTCTAAGAGTTATTGGCCTTGAGGAGGAGGTAGCAAAAGAGATAGGGGTAGAAAGTTTACTAAAAGGGGTAATAACAGAGAATTTCTCGCACCTAGAGAAATATATCAACATTCAAGTACAAGAAGGTTATAGAATACTAGGCAGATTTAACCCAAAGAAGACTACTTCGAGGCGTTTTATAATCAAACTCCCAAAGGTCAAAGATAAAGAATCCTGAAAGCACCAAGAGAAAAGAAACATGTAACATACAATGGAGCTCCAAAATGACTGGCCGCAGACTTTTCAGTGAAACCTTATAGGCCAGGAGAGAGTGGCATGACACGTTTAAAGTGCTGAAGGAAAAAACTTTTACCCTAGAGTAATATATCTGGTGAAAATATCCTTTAAGCACGAAGGAAGAAACAAAGACATTCCCAGACAAACAAAAGCTGAGGGATTTCAACACCAGACCTGTCCCACAAGAAACGCTAAAGGGATTTCTTCAACCTGAAAGAAAAGCATTGGCCGGGCGTGGTGGCTAACACCTGTAATCCCAGCACTTTGGAAGGCCAAGGCAGGGAGATCACTTGAGGTTAGGAGTTTGAGACCAGCCTGGCCAACATGGTGAAACCCTGTCTCTACTAAAAACACAAAAAATTAGCCAGGCGTGGTGGTGCATGCCTGTAGTCCCATATACTCAGGAGGCTGAGGCAAGAGAATCACTTGAATCCAGGAGGAGGAGGTTCCAGTGAGCTGAGATCACACCACTGCACTCCAGCCTGGGCAACAGACTGAGACTCAGTCTCGAACAAACAAAAAAATCCTTTATATTATCTAATATTCATTTTATATTTATATGTTCCCAATTGTTCTCCAAATGACTTTTTAGCTAATTGGTTTGAACAAACACCCAATCAAGGTCCACAGATTGCCTTTGTTGTTGTGTCTTTCAAATCTCTTTTCATCTAGAATATCCTCCCTTTCCCCCCTTTTTATTGTTTCATGACACTGACCAATTGAAGAGACCTGACCAGACAGATGTCTTATAGAACAACTCATCTTCTGAGACTAAAAGTTATTTCTAAATTAAGGTTAAAATGTTGGGAAAAAATATGTCATAGCACTATGTATTTCAAACTGCATTATATTAGGAGACACATAAAGTCTATGTATTATAATAATCGTTGTCCCATTATTGATGATGTTCCAATTATAAATTGACTTTAAAATCAGCTTTAAAAGCAATATTAAATACATTAAAAAGATAAAATATATATTCCTTAATTCAAAAATCAAATTCATGGAATCATACTTTAAGGAAATAAGGAACCCATGGGGGGAATCTATTCATGAATATTTTAAACACTTATCTATTTTATGAAAAAGCTAGAAAAAATATGAATATTTGACAGTAGCAACTCTGGTTCATTCATTCCTTTATTCAATAAACATTCATTTAGCTCTTGCTATGTGTTAACAGTGGGTTAGCTACTAAGTATTTAAAGACAAATATGGCATGGCCTCTGCCTTGGGGATCAGTTCGAGAAGCAAGCAAGCACACAGACACTGACACCACAAAGTGAGGAAAACCACAAAGGGGAGAATTTTCCACCTTTAATGACTTCAGGGTACTTCCCCCAGTACTCCACCGCCTCCCCAGATGAGGAGGCACTCAAGAATTGATTACCAATTCATTTGACATTAATTTCTAATGTAATTGCAATGTGGCTTTATAAAAGATAAACAAAATGATATTTCAGATAGCAAACAGTGACCACCTGTAGCCCTGAAACATTGAAGAGAGCCAAGATATCAGAGTTGATATTTGTTCAACAATAGAATTGTATCCATCAATTTTTTTATTGCTTGAGAGAGAATATATGGGGGAAGTTTGAGCATGATTTATTTGTACATGTAAGTAATATCAGTTTTAATGATACCTTCTTACAGTTTTAATGATGCTACTTATTGAGCCTAAAATTATGTTTCAAAGGCATTGGTAATAAATTACGTTTATTAATGGCAATGGTGGGTCATGTTTGCCCCATCTCTAGTCCCAGGACAGCAGCAGAGTGTGCACACTGCAGCTGGCATGCGGAACAGACCCGTGTCCCACATCACTGCTGATCTTGACACAAAGGCTTTACCACTCACAGTCTCAAAATGGACCTTGTCAAGTTAAGTTCAGGCACTTTTAAATGTTCACTCAAGTTGCAGTGAGCTGAGATCGTGCCATAGCACTCCAATCTGGGCGACAGAGCAAGACCGTCTCATAAATAAATTAAATAAATAAATATTCACTCAATTAGCTACTTTTTTTTTTTTAGACCGAGTCTCGCTCTGTCACCCAGACTGGAGTGCAGTACAGTGGCTCAATGTTGGCTCACTGCAACCTCCGCCTACCAGGTTCAAACAATTCTCCCAGCTCAGCCTCCCGAGTAGCTGGGATCACAGGCGTGCACCACCATGCTCAGATAATATTTGTATTTTTAGTAGAGACAGGATTTCACCATGTTGGCCAGGCTGGTCTCAAACTCCTGACCTCAGGTGATCCACCCACCTCAGCCTCCCAAAGTGCTGGAATTCAGGCGTTAGCCACCACGCCCGGCCAGCTACTCTTAAAGTTTGTTTATGTAAAACACTTTAACCTTTATGACAGTCAGAACTGGATGAGATTTTAGAATATCTTTAGTCCATTCCTCTGCCTTTAGACTGGACCATGGCTACTTGGAGTCATAAAGATAAGAATATATCTTTTTAAAATAAAATGGAATGCCACAAGGAGCAACTTCACCATTTCTGCTACCAATTTGCTTCATTGTTTAGAGACATTGGCATTTAAAGGCAATCCTCCTACATTCCTTGTGCTTGAGTTTAAATTTCATTTCTTTGATTTTAACCTTGACAAAGGTGTAGTGCCCAGGATCAGTCCCTGTCTACCTCTCACCCTCCTTTCAAGTTATTCCTCTCATCTTCCACTCCATCCCCCTAATATGCTTGGCTCTTCCTCGCTAGCTCCTATTGCAAAGTTTCCATATCACACACCACCACCCCAGCTAGCATATGGCTTGTTTCTCAAGGGACAGTGAGAGGAAAACTAGGAATTTAGAGCGGGGCAGAGAGTGCCTCTGCCCTCAACTGGACAAATTCAGGGGAGCTTTCCCCACCTGTTCAGAGGAGGCAGCCCGGTCCTGCCTAGACACTGTTTTAAACTTACTCTGACATTGTTATTAGCAATTCTAAAAAATGGAAACTAATCAAAAGTAATGGAAAAGAGATCAGGGGTTGCATGGGGAGGGGGTTAAAGGAAGGAAGGGGCACCAGAAAACTTTGAGGGGAGATGGAAATATTTGTTACCTTGATTGTGATGATGGCTTCAAGGGTGTAGACAGATGTACATTCTAAGTATGTGTAGTTTATTGTACTTTAATTATATGTTAATGAAGGTATAATTGTTTTAAAAATCCTTATTAGCTCTTAATTCAACTTATTTCAGACCTGGCCTAATTTCAGAAGGCTTGTATTACTAATTTGTAAAGCCAATAGTTTGTCTCCCTAGTCCTCAGAGCTTGAAAGCACAGTAGTAACATCTTTGCACAAGCCCTACTTTGTAAATCAGCCTTAGTTCCTTGTAATCATGTAGCCACTTCACTGTCAATGGGGCTCAGAGAAATCAAGTAGATTGCAGTTTGTTCCTGCCAGAGAGCACCACGCTTGCAGTTCAGCTGTGTGTGGGCCACCCTGTGACATTGGAGAGGCAGACCTGGCTCAGTACAAGGGACATTTCATAGGTGAATATTCTGAAGAGGACATTCAACATCATGCATATGGATGATCATCCCCCCACCCTCACCAAGACATTCTCAAGGCCACAGCTAAGTCTTACGCATTCTAAATGTTTGCTGAGATGAAATGGGGTTCACGAACTGTTTCCTTCCCAGCAGCATCCCAGCTGTGTGTTAAGGGGAAGAGATCTAAAACTCTCTCTCCATCAGCATGGGGAAGCAGTGGAGAGAGACTGTGAAAACCTTGAGCATTTTACAACTCCAGAGCCTTCCAGACTGAAGGCTCAAATTGCATTTAGCTCCAGCACAAGGCAGAAGATGGCAGGAAAAGACGATAATCAACACAATGTATGCACATTTCCTTTTCCAAGGAGGAGTGTGAATCTTTGATTCTAGTCACAAATATCCTTCCCACCCCAAGAAAAAAAGATTTCTTCCACCATTCACCTGGATAAATACAGTACAGAATTTATAGAAGTCAAGGTTCAAATGTAATTGAATGTAACATGAACGTGGCTCAAATGAGCTTGCACAGAATTAGAATTTATTGACTACTATAGGCAGGAAATCCAGTAATTGGTCTCCATTCAGGCATAGATGGATTCAGGTGTTAAAGGATGCTGTCCAACTTCTGTCCCTTTCCTTTTCTCTCACCCCTCTCAATCCTCTGTGCTGGCTGCATTATAAAGCAGACTCACTCATCTTACTTTATCCAAGATAAAGACAGAGGCAGCTGCCTCATTGTTAATATAACAAATCTTGTGGAAGAACTTTGATTGTTTCTGCTTGGATTAAGTGCTCATTTGTGGACCAATCACTGCAACCAAGAGAATGAGGTGCTCTGATTGGCAACATCAGTGGTCACTGTTCATCCTGTGACTAGGACTGAGAGGGTAGGGAGGAGGAGAATTATAGGCCCATCCAAACCATATGGACTGGTTTTCCCAAAGTGAAGAAGAGTTATATTGGCAGAACAAGGACAGAAGAGCATGCTGGGAAGCTGTCACAGTCCACTAAAAAGAGGAACAGGAAGAGCTGGCATGCCCGATCAGAAAGACTGTTGTCTGAAGAAAAAACCCCTCTTCCACTTCCTGCCACCTGGAGGGTCACAGAGCTTTTCTCTCTTGTGAACTCCCATAGTTCTCATTCATCTGGAGGAAAAAGATTCAGCTTTGGTGGAAAGGCGAATGCCCTGCCTCTGCCTCTGCTATCTTCCTTCTGCAGCAGGAGGAAAGGCCATGGGCCTGCCCTCCCCATTCACAGGAAAATCACGATGGCAGCTTTTAATTTCTTCAGAGTGGAGAGAAACCTTGACCTTCACAGAACAGAAAACCACTCTGAGGGTGAGGGAAGTACTGATGAATAAAATATCACCATTCTTGCCTTGACCTGTGAGACTTAGATATATGATAACAGATACTCATGACAGAATGGTGGAACCTATTACATAATCACTTTCTGTGATAAGTTTGAGGTTTGGTCTCTCTAAAAGTCCACAACTTGAGATTCTTTATCCTTCTTCCTTTCTTAGTACTATTCTATCCAAGAGAAAGAGGAGACATGCTAGACCTGCTTCTGATTCACAGGGACACTAGCTAAAATTCCCTGTGACTCAAAAACAGGTCTAGCTTATGCTGGGCCTTTCTTTTACCATTGAACCTCACACCTCCCTGGTCCCCAGTCTGCCATTTTACTGTGTGGCCTTTGGCAAGTATTCTGATCTCGCCAAATCTGTTCTCTCAAGGTCAGTGGAAGTAATGAGACCTACTTTTGCAGGAAGACACACCAGAAAAAGTTTCCATAATTCCTTTCTTTCCTGAAAACCTGAAACCGTTGTTGAAACCTCATTTTTAACAGACTGCATTAGTATTATGAAACATACACTATATATCAATGAAAGTTAATATCCACAACTCCTAAAATGTTAATTAATACACATTGTACATCTCTGTGCTATGCTAAGAATTGTGTTTTTATCAAATGCTTTTCTCAAGTCCATGCACAATTGCATCCCATTTCTCCTGACTCTGAGGCACAGCCAGCCTACCTCCTTGTTAGTATCACTGTGTTAGTCCATTCTCCCATTGCTATAAACACCTGAGACTGGGTACT
The DNA here is from genome assembly GCF_000001405.40 of Homo sapiens. Classification (NCBI taxonomy): domain Eukaryota; kingdom Metazoa; phylum Chordata; class Mammalia; order Primates; family Hominidae; genus Homo; species Homo sapiens. Next base: position 42,302,385 of record NC_000003.12, on the reverse strand, counting down.
TTATAAAGAAAAGAGGTTTAATTGGCTCATGGTTCTGCAGGCTGTACAGGAAGCATAGGGGCTTCCGGGGAAGCCTCAGGAAACTTTCAATCATGGCGGAAGGTGAAGGAAAAACAGGCATGTCTTACATGGCTGGAGCAGGAGGAAGAGAGAGAGCAAGTAGGTGTTACATAGTTTTAAACAACCAGATCTCATGAGAACTCTATCACAAGAACAGCACTGGGAGATGATGCTAAACCGTTAGAGACCTCCCCTAATCCAGTCACCTCCCATCAGGCCCCACCTCCAACCCTGGGAATTACAATTTGGCATGAGATTTGAGTGGGAACACAGATCCAAAACTTACCAACTACTGAGGCAATAATGGGAGAAGAAAGGGAAAAAGAACAGTGTGTGCATGTGTGTGTCCCCACCTACTCACACGCACACCACAATAATCTGGTGATGTAGACACCATTCTTTGTCATGAGTAAAGTATTTTGCCACATCCCCCATCTGGGTTCCACTCCCATCAGGACCCTTCATGGGAGCCCAGTGACTCCATAGTGTCAGGGCGTATTCAACCAGTTCTAACCTCATACCAAAAGGAGGAGACATACCTTCTGCAAAATTATTAAACTCAAAGAAAAGCAGAAGAGAAGGAAACCCTACACCCTGATGTCATTCCCTCTGCCTTGTTTTAGATCCTTACTGCCAAGTAGAGAAGCACATAGTTTAGGCTTGGTTGGAACAGGATGTGAGAACACAGATTTAAAGACCACTTCAGGAATTCATTTTTGAGTGACTCATGGGAAACTGGGTGTTAAGTGACTTTTTGGGGGCTGGGATGTGGCTGATACGGTCAGTCATCAGAGAGCAACACTTGGTGTCCCTGTGCCTTTATGGAAAAAGGGAGAAGCCAGCTGCATGCCTTTTGTAGGCTGGACAGAAAGATGGTGTTACTTGTTCCTCATCCTTTGTTGTCCTTGCCAAGGCTCTCTTGTTGGCCATGTATACATGTATACACCCTTGCTCCACTGGTTTTGGGTTTGATCTGTGACTTGGAATGTGAGTAGGGGTACCATATGCCCATTCAACCAAAGGCATTAAATGTACTTGCATGGTTTGGTTTGCTTTCTTCGGCTTCTGCCATCTGTCATCAGAACAGCATTCCCCAGGAAGCTACCTCCCATCCAGCCTGGGTCCCAAAATAAGTGACATGTAGAAAATTAAACTCAACCCACAGCCTGAAGCAGTGTCTGGAGGTCCTTCCCATCACGTGTCTTCCCATCCTTCAACCACCTCCTGCTCTCTCCTGGCCTGGGCCATGTGGACACAGTCGTAGCTAGACTCTCCTCAAGAGGATGAATTCCAGTCTTAACCGACCCCTTCATGACCACCCCACTGATGTTTCTCACCTCCCTTGAGTCATCCTACTGTGACCTTTCTCCCTTATTCTCAGAAGATGACATACCATATGCTGTACTAGAAAGATGAAAGCTTTTCTGTCTGGTTTAGGTTTTACCAAAAGCAGACTCTCAAACAAGAATTTGAGTGAGGAGGTTTATTTGTGAGGTGATCCCAGGAGACAGATGTAAGGAAAAAGGGAAAGTAAGACAGGTAAAGGAGACAAGCCAACAAATGGTGCTATGGTTTGAATGTGTCCCCTCCAAAATTCAGGTGTTGCCAGTGACATGATAGTATTAAGAGGCAGTGCCTTTAAGAGGTGATTAGGCCATGAAGGCCCCTCCCTCATGAATGGGATTAGGGGTCTTTATAAAGGAGCTTGATGATGGGAGTTCTTCCTGCTTCCCCTCTTCTGCCTTGTGCCATCTAAGGACACAGCAAGAAGGCCCTAATCAGATGCTGGTGTCTTGATCTTGGACTGTAAGAAATAAATTTCTGGGTTTTTGTAAATAAATAACTCAGTCCCAGGTATTCTGTTATAGCAGCACAAAATGGACTAAGACAGGTGGCATTAGTGAACTTCTGGGCAACTGGGGCTCAATCCATTGCATACCCTCTGAGGAACTATGTAAAATGTGCCTCCAATTTTCTCCCCAAAAGAGGACCAGGGACACGATCTCGTCAACTATTGACTGAGGATTGGGAGTGGTAACTCCCTTGTACTTCTGGGATGTGCCTGCACCTGGCTAAGTAATCTCCTGCCTCTGATGTGAAAGCCTGAGGTTTTGTGTGGAAGCAGGTCACAGCAGGGAACTGTCCTCCACTGCAGTGCTGAAACTAGACAGGCCAAGGGGATCTTGTTTCAAATGCTCTATTCGTGTGCTATCCATGTCCCTGTGTCTCTGGCCTAGTGTCAAAAACAGATCTAGAGTGAGATGTAAGAGGCAGAGACAGAGACAGACAAACTGCTGGTGGTATTCAATCCTGGTTCCAGGCATTCCTCTTTGTCACAGAACACTCCTAACTTTCCGTTGGTTTGGAGGAGGATCTGCCAGGTTCCAGCAAGAAACAGAGGGTAGTCTCAAAGGGTTTCAGTGAAGAAAGTTAATTATCCTCTTGTCCCACTATTATTCCTATAGATCAGACATAGCAATGACGAAAGTTTGAAGAGAAGTTATGTGAGAATAACTTGAAGTGAAGAAAGTCCTAGAAAGATTGCCAGATTTAATTTTACTGGTGGATTCCAAGTTTGGTTATTTGAGTTCAGAAGGTCGCTGAGTTTGAGAAGTCCTCTGTTCCCCTCCAGTCCTTTTGGCCCCAGAACCATAATAATTTCTTCCCCCTGGTTGCCAAACAATGGTATGTAAGATGGTTCTACTGCCCTGGGTTTAGGCAGAGAGAGATGTCTTGTCATCCTTTTCTTGGATTTAAATGATTGAGTTCCCAGACCACTAGTAAATCTTTGGACAGTTAGCCTGATGTGGGCTGGGGAAAGGATGAGTGGCTTGATATTTTCCTAGAGACCCTCATCAGGATCAGGGGCCTAGCTAGGGGCACAATTCTAAATTGGCATTTAGTTTTCCTCAGTACCTTAAGGACATTAATCTGTTGTTTCCTGAAATTTATTAATATTTTTACTGTTGAGAAACTGATTGTCAAGCTCATTATAGTTATTTTGCATGATTTTTATTTTCTTTCTCTGAAATTTTTTTTAATTCCTTCATCCTTAATGTTCTGCAGTTTTCATCAAATGTGTCTACATATGGATTTATTTTTATCCTGCATAATTTTTAGTACATACTATGAATTCAGGGACTTATGTCTTTCTTTAATTCTAGAAAATTCTAAGCATTTTCTTAGAATATTAATTTGCTGCATTTTTCTAACTCACTTCTTGGACTCCTTTTACTTATTTATTTATTTTTCAGAGACAGGGTCTTGCTCTGTCACTCAGGATGGAGTTCAGTGGTGTGATAACACACACTGCAGTCTCGAACTCCTGGGCTCAAGGAATCCCCTTGCCTCAGCTTCCTGAGTAAGTACGTAGGTGAATCATCATGCCTAGCTATTTTTTCCTCCTTTTTGTGGAGACAAAGTCTTGCTATGTTTCCCAGGCCGGTCTCGAACTCCTGGCATCAAGAAATCATCCCACTTTTGCCTCCCAAAATACCAGAATTACAAGCAGGAGCCTCTGTGCCTGGCCTGGAACTCCTTTTAGATGTTTGCTAAAGACTGTCAAACTACCCTGTTTTTGTGTGTATGTTTTATCCTTCCCTCTTTCTGTGCTATATTCTGGATTCACCCTTTAGGACTAATTTTCCAAGTGCTTAGTATAAAATTAGAGTTTGTCTTGTCCATAGGACTTTTATTTCAATGACCTTATTTTTCAATTTCTAAGATTTCTATTTGGTTCTTAGCATATTTACCTGGTCTCACTTCTGTTTGCTTTTGTTCAGTAATTTCTCATTCCACAGCTATTTATTCATCTCTTGAGAATTCTCAGCATATGTAGTGTTCAGATTGCTCTGTAGCTGTTGACTCTCGAACAACACAGGTTTGAACTGCTCAGGTCCACTTATTTTCTTCTGCCTCCACCACTCCTGATGCAGCAAGACCAACCCCTCCTTTTACTCCTCCTTCTCAGCCTATTCAAAGTGAAGATGACAACGATGATGACATTTATGATGATCCAATTCCACTTAATGAATAGTAAATATATTTTCTCTTCTTCATAATTTTTAATAGCATTTTTCTTTCTCCAGCTTATTTTATTGTAAGAATATAGTATATAATACATATGACATACGAAATATGTGTTTATCAACTGTTGATGTTATTGATAAGGATTCCAGTCAACATTGGCTATTAGCAGGTAGGTTTTTGGAGAACCAGAAGTTATATGTGGATTTTTGACTGCATGGCTGGGGGGGGTGGTCAGTGTACCTAACCCCATGATGTTCAAGGGTCAACTGTATTTTCATTTTATCTGATATGAATTCATCTCTTGATTGTTGATTTTATTGCTGTTTTTCTTAGAATTTGATTTTCCTCGGTGTTTTCAAATTTATTTTTTAGCCTGTCTCGAAGTGATGTCCCTCTTCTCTCTCTTTTCTCCCTCTCTCACCCTATCCCTCAAGTACATTACTTCCTACTAACTGGTTTGTTGCTGCCTCTGCTCATCCTCCCAGGACATCCAGCTGCCTTGTGATGATATTAGAGACTCTGCATATCCATTTACCCAGGCTTGGTCCAGGTCCTGGCTGTGAAGTTCTGTCTGCTTCCTCTGCCCACCCTGGGAAGGTAGATTAAGTAAGACATAATTCCTGGAATTGATGGGGAATGATTTTCCTTCCTCACCTTGTTTCTCAGGCAAGGAAACCCCAGACCAGCTTGTGGCTTGCATGGGTGACCCTGGATCTGGAGCCTTGCCTTGTATGGAGCAATTTTAGCTTGCACTTCCCTGAGTAATGGGAAGTGCTGCTGTTGCCTATCTCTGCACCTGGAGGCCTGATGCCTATACCTTTAGCCCCAGCTCACCACCATATGTATCTATTATGTTTCCAGTCCATGTATCTATAGATTTTGGTTGTAATGGTAGCTGTATCTTCCTAATTTACACGTTTTACATTTTACCTATTACCTTTTGGAGGTGATTAGAAAGGCGGCACTGACTAGATGAACGTTAAGACAAAGTTTTAAGAAAATGGCACCTCTATACCTACCTGCATGGTTTATTTCACTTATTCGCATTGGAAAATCCCTGCTTCAACTGAGAAATACTGTAGCACAGTTGTTTTTTCATTACATTAATATTTCTGCCTGGCTCAACAGTCAGTAACTTTATTAAGATGTGATAAAGCAAGCTAAAATTATTTTATTAACCCCCAAAGCCAGAATAGAGTCTCAGATAGCATCTTCAAATCATGAACAGCCTAAACAATGTGACCAACTTTAATTTCAAGGAGCATCCTGGCCACCCAACGTTATAAGGAAGTCAGTAAAAATTGAAACATTTACCCAGAAACACACACACACACACACACACACACACACACACACACATTTTCCTGACAGCTGGGAAAAAGAGAAGCATTTGGACCTACATTTTAAATAAGTCCCCCTCAAAATTGAAGCTGATATTAAATGTTTTTAATTTAAAAGCAATTTAAGGAATAAGGCCATTTTTTGATTGTGGAGTTTTTCTTCTTTTCTCTCTCTTACTTATTTCCCCCACCCCCATCAACACATGCCTAATCACTATCTCACATTTTTCCCACTTGGAGGAAAATGAGAGGTTGAACAAATTCAAAAACCCTGGTAAATGTCCCATATGCATGTGGCCATTGCTACCTAAGTTACCTTAGTTATCTAAGTCAACTGTTTGTCAAAGTCTGGTCTAAGCCCAAACGTGAGACATGGGGGTCCTTCTGAAGGCCACAAAAAAGAGAGGGTGTTGCACTGCAGTTCTGAGATGAACCCTAGAAAAGTTGAAATAATTTAAAAAATAATACTTAGTCTGCGTCAGGCACTGAGAGAGGCACTTTACATTTATCTCATTTAATTCTCACAATAGCTCCAAAAGGAAGACACTATTGTTCTTGTCCTCATTTTACTGATGACAAAATGAAGGCTCTGAAAGGATAAGTAGTTTTCACAGCTAAGGAGAAGAATCAGCATCTGATCCCAGGCAGTCTGGATCCAGAGTCTGTGCTCTTAACCACCACAGGGCACTACTCTTGTAACCTGAGTAACCCAGAGCTATTTTTTTCGGTGTTGTTGTGTTGTTGTGTTTCTCGGGGATTTTTTTTGTTTGTTCATTTGGTTGTTTTTTGTTTTTTTGTTTGTTTGTTTGCTTTTTTTTTTTTTTTGAGACAGGGTCTCACTATGTCATCCAGGTTCAAATGCAGTGGCTCAATCTTGGCTTACTGCAGCCTCGAGCTCCAGGGCTCAGGCAATCCTCCCACCTCAGTCTCCCAAGTAGCTGGGACTACAGGTGCGTGCCACCATGTCCAGCTAATTTTTACATTTTTTTTCTACATATGGGGTCTCCCTGTGTTGCCCCAGATGCTCAGAAACTCCTGAGCTCAAGTAGTCTGCCCACCTCAGCCTCCCGAAGTGCCAGAATTACAAATGCGAACCACCACACCCAGCCTTTTTTTAAAAAAAAAAAATAGAGACAATGTCTCATTATGTTGCCCAGGCTGGTCTCAAACTCCTGGCCTCAAATGGTCCTCTTGCTTTAGCCTCCCAAAGCGGTAGGCCTCCCAAAGTTCTGGGATTGTAGGCATGAGCCATTGTGCCTGGCCATTATTTTTAGTTTTATTCTTTCAATTTCTGGTCTACTGATCTATTCACTCATTGTGTCCATCTTTTCTTAAAATTTTAGGCATATTTTTAATAACTTAAAATTTTTATCTTCTTACCCTTCTATTCTCTCACTTTGTAATCCTTTTTTTTTAAATCCTCAAACATACTTGTAATAACAACTTTAAAATCGTTTGCTAATTTCAACACATAGGTTATTTCAGAGTATCTATTTAGTGCTTTTTCTATTGATTATGGTTCCTGTTTTCCTGCTTCACATGTCTGATAATTTTTGATTATATGATGGACATTGTAAATGATACCTTGTACAAAGTCTGAACTATGTTGTCTTCCCTTAAAAAACAACAAAAAAAAAATGTTAAGTTTTTTCTGACTGGTGGTTAAATGACTGGTAGATTCTCTTGATGCAGTCAGAATTTGGTAGGTTTTGTTAGGGCCAATGTATTTCGAGTTTTGTCCATAGTCCTAGAAACATGGCCTTCAATCCAGAATGTGGTCCTTACTCCTAAATTATGGCTTTTCCGACATCTCAACTGAATGCTTGAGGTGCTCAGCAAAGTCTCTGAACACTGACTGTGTGGGAACTCAAACATTTCCCAGGACTTCACTACTTCTGTGATCTTGACTTAGTTCTCTGCATTCCAGGACAGCCTTGCTCTGCACATGGACAGCCCAGAATGCTCTGCCTTGTGCACTCTCTCCTTTTAGCACCCTTCCCTACTAAATCCAAACACCCCAAATGTCATTCTCTGCCTTCTCCACCCAGAAAGACCCCTGTGTTCCACTGGGGCTCAACTTTCCTGCTGCAGTCTGGGAAGGGCCTCCAGGACCGGGACAAATGTGAATTTCTCTTCTTTCAAGAATCAGAGACTTGCATTGTCTGCTGCATTGTGCTGAAAACATTTGCCTCATAGGTTTTGTCTAGTTGTAGAATTGTTTACAGGAGGGACCAAAGAACAAAGGAAGTATGAGAGTTTTGTGGGGACAGGGGAGCCTGTTATGTGTACAATTGCTAAATGTATTTTATAGGTGATGACAGCATTTGCTGCTAATGAATAGTTATGTGTCATTTTCAATGTACTGTATTTCATGGACTCTAAGACTCAATTGATTATAAGATATACCACTATTTTAAAAACACTAAAGGGGCTGGGCGCCGTGGTTCATGCCTGTAATCCCAGCAATTTGGGAGGCTGAGGCAGGTCGATCAATTGAGGTCAGGAGTTTGAGACCAGCCTGGCCAACATGGTGAAACCCTATCTCTACTAAGAATTAGCCGGGCATGGTGGCATCTGCCTGTAGTCCCACCTATTCAGGAGGCTGAGGCAGGAGAATCACTTGAACTGGGGAGGCAGAGGTTGCAGTGAGCCAAGATCGCACCACTGGACTCCAGCCTGGGTGACAGAGTGAAACTCCATCTCAATAAATAAATAAATAAACAAATAAATAAATTAAAACACTAAAGGAAAAAAATACTGCTGTTAAACATAATTCCTTGAGAATCACCCTGCATAATGCATAAATCAGTCACACCTACCTCTTGTTGCCTTGAAGTTTCTTTTATCTAATCCAAGGAATTTGGCAATTTCTTCTGCCTGTAGGTACATGGCTTGATGTGTACTGAACAATTCTTTTGCAAGTATCTCAATACAAAATACAGCACAGCTTCATCTACTTGTGGGTGATATGGTTTGGATGTTTTGTTCTCTCCAAATCTCATGTTGAAATGTGACCTCCAGTGTTGGAGGTGGGCCTAGCAGGAAATATTTGGGTCATAGGGGCCAATCCTTCATGAATGGTTTGGTGCAGTTCTCCCAGTAATGAGTGAGTTCTCACTCTATGAGTTAACGTGAGATTGGATTGTTGGAAAGAGCCTGGCACCTCCTTCCTCTCTGTCTTGCTCCCTGTCTTGCTATGTGACACACTGGCTCTCCTTTGCTTTCCAACATGGCTGGAACCTTCCTAAGGCCCTCACCAGAAGCAGATGCCAACTATGCTTCATGTGCAGCCTGCAAAACTGTAAGCCAAATAAATCTCCTTTCTTTATAAATTACCTAGTGTATTAGTCCATTTTCACATTGCTGATAAAGACGTATCCAAGACTGGGCAACTTGTAAAGAAAAAGAGGTTTAATGGGCTCATAGTTCCACGTGGCTAGGGAGGCCTCACAATCATGGTGGAAGGCAAAAGGCATGTCTTACATGGCAGCAGGCAAGAGAGAAAAATGAGAGCCAAGTGAAAGAGGAAACCCTTTATAAAAACATCAGATATCATGAGACTTATTCACTTATATGAGAACAGTATGGGGGAAACCACCCCCATGATTCAATGATCTCCCACCAGGTCTCTCCTACAACATATGGGAATTATGGGAGCTATAATTCAAGATGAAATTTGGGTGGGGACACAGCCAAACCATATCACTCAGTCTCAGGTATTTCTTTATAGCAACACAAATGGACTAACACAGTGGATATCTGCTTTTTATGAAGTATATAAAGCATTTGGTTATTGCTTTCTGATAAAATATGGAATTGCAGTCATTTCTCCAATAATGAACATTTACTTCACTAACAACATCTCAAGGTTTTACTGCTATTTCTGTGCCTTTCTAGGCCACAACAACCTTTCATTTCAATGCCAGATTGTAGTGTAACCTTTCTGAAGGCATTTCGAATAGCATTTAAAGTTAACACACATTGGCCGGTGCAATGGCTCACACCTGTAATCCCAGCACTTTGGGAGGCTGAGGCAGGTGGATCACCAAGACCAGCCTGGGAAACATGATTAAATCTCGTCTCTACTAAAAATACAAAAAATTAGCCAGGCACACACCTGTGGTCCCAGCTACTTGGGAGGCTGATGCAGGAGAATCACTTGAACCTGGAGGCAGAGGTTGCAGTGAGCCCAGATTTTGCCACTGCACTCCAGCCTGCATGACAGAGAGAGACTCTGTCTCAAAAAAAAAAAAAAAAAGTTAACACACATAATACCAATAAACCACGCCGACGAAGTGATGTCAGTATGAATGACCAAGACAACCCTCAGGTGAAGTGATATCAGTATGAACAAGCGAGGCCAAATTTGTGTATCTCCAGGCCATGACAATGACAGACCATCTAGTTCCAGTGATCGTAAGATGCCATAGATTGTGACACATATTCTGATTTCAGTTATCTTACAATGTGAAAAAATAAATCTATGACTTAGAATTGACAAAACATGGTAAACATAGTTTTTATATATGTGTACTTTATGTCACATATATTTATAAGACATAAAGCCATATCCAAAGGAAATAATGTACTCACAAAAAGGCTCTCTAATTGCTGTTCCCATTTTGACAACTTCAAGTACCCTTCAAAATTGCATCACCATTGACCTGCTAGTTGGCCTAGTTTTGTAAACTGGACTACAATTTAAGCACACTTCTCATAAAATGAAAATAATAACAGTGTGGCCATTCTGAAGGGCATTCCTTGCACTCACCACACACACCCAGCTGGGAAAGTGTAAATCATCCTAAATGTACGTCCTTTGCTGTAAGGACTGACTTTAGCTAAGGGTTGCTTTCTCAAACTGAGTGATTGCTGTGAATGTCCCTGCCCTAAGATGAGGGTCATAGATGCTTCTCTTGGACTTGTAGTCTCTTTTGGAAGCAAGACCAAGGCACTTCTCAGCTCTAGACTGGTTCCTATGGGCGAGACACTGCAGATGACCACAATACCACACCTTCTCTCCAACCTTCAACCCTGGAAACATACATAAATGATCCAGGCCTCTTAAAACTGGCTTTAAGTGCATTTAACTTTTCTAAAATTGGGAACTATCTAGGCAAGGTGAAAGTTTATTTCCTTGAGCCAACCCTAAAAGTGGTTTTTGACTTTCCAAGTTTCCAGAAAATTTGTTCAAAAGACTCAGGATATCCCAACAAGCAAAATGCAAGCTTTAATTTTCAATGATTATGGTAATAGTTGGTATATATGATATATGTTTACATGTTGGAACTTCATATACATGATCTAACCCTGACAGCTACCGAGAAAAGTAGGTGTCATCATAATGCTCATTTTACAGATGAAAAACAGGATCAGAAAGACAGAATAATACAGGCAAGGCCACACAGCCAATAGGGACAAAGCAATTGTTTAAACTTTAGCTTATCTGACACGAAAGCCCATGCACTTATGACTAAGAGAATGTTCTCCCCCAACGCACATGCTTCCTCATCCAAATCCCTTTCAAGTATAATCTGCCATTTCAATTAAAAATACTTTTCCAGCTTGAACCCAGGAGTTTGAGACCAGCCCAAGCAACATGATAAAACCATGTCTCTCTAAAAAAAATACAAAAATTAGCCAAGCGTGGCGACACACACCTGTAGTCCCAGCTACTCAGGAGGCTGCAGCAGGAGGATCACTTGAGCCTGGGAGGTTGAAGCTTCAGTTAGTCATGATAGCACCACTGCACTCCAGCCTGGGTGACAAAGCAAGACTCTGCCTCAAAAAACAGAAACTAAAACTAAAACTAAAACTTTTCCACACAAAGGACTGTCTGAGAAGGTGAGAAATAAATGCTAATCTCATACCTCAAAGTGCAGAGTGAACTAACAATTGGCTGCAAGTGTCCTATCCTAGACAAGTTGGGGGAAGCTCAGCTGGTACCCCATTTTTCAAGCACAGCAGGCTTGGTCCTTACCTGATTTCTCATCCTCAGCATCATAAACAGTCCATGAGTTCCTAGCTTTCCAGAGCTCACTCAATCCCTTAAACTAATTTTTGCCTGAAGAAGGGATATAAGAATATGCCCTCAGGTGTTCTTGGCTGTATTTGGCCAAGTGTGAAAGGCAAATTGGAAAATTTAGCTAACAGTGAGTAGGGAGAGGGAGAAGGAGAATCTCCAGGGCTGAAAATTAGGGAGAGGCTCCAGGGCTAAAAATTTAGACTCCGGGGAGAGGCTCCAGGGCTGAAAATTTAGCTAACAGTGAGTACAGAGAGGGAGAGGTGCCTGGTCCCAGAAATATTCTTCCTTAGATGCACTTACTTGGGCTTGGCCCCAAATCTCAGGCCCAGAGAAAGGACAGATGCAGGCAGGGAAACTGTGTAGTCAGGAGAATGCAGAGGTCACTACCAGAAAAATTTCCTGAACAGGTTCATGTTGGGGTGATTAGTAATGCAACGATAGATATTTAAATAAAAGAAGAAAGGGAGGGAGGGAGGAAAGGAGAAAGAGGGATGGAATTAGGAGGCTACAATAAGAGCCTAGGTAAGAGACAATGAGGACCTGAACTATACAAATTGAGAGGAAAGGCAAGCTCACCTCTGATTTGACCCAGAAAGCTGAGAGCCTCTAAGCCTTGACAGATACTCAAATAGTCCAGCAGTCAGAATTTCCATTGTCAAAGCCTTCAAAATTGAACAATAAAGAATCAGGCATTTCGAAAGCTGCCCCAGAAAAGGGTCTATTTGTATATTTTCCCTGAAAGGAAAAGCATGTTTTCATTTACAGAGGTGATCAGGTGCTAGCCGCACAGACTTCATTGACCTCATTGACAAGTCCTTTAAAGGAGTGTTTTTGAGAGGTAGCTGCCCTCAGACACAGATGAAAATGTGAGTGAGGAGAGAATGTGTTACAAGGCCTGTGGCACCTGGTGTCCCTCCCTCCCTTTCCTAAATGTATCCACTCTTTTATATTTTTCCATAACAATTCAGCATTTTTCTTTTCTTTTTTTTCTTTTCTTTTTTTTTTTCTTTTTTTTTTTTTTTTGAGAAGGACTCTCACTCTGTCGCCCAGGCTGAAGTGCAGTGGCAAGATCTCAGCTCACTGCAACCTCTGCCTCCCAAGTTCAAGCGATTCTCCTGCCTCAGCCTCCTGAGTAGCTGGGATTACAGGTGTTCACCACCATGCCCAGCTACTTTTTGTATTTTTAGTAGATACAGGGTTTCACCATGTTGGCCAGGCTGGTTTAGAACTCTGACCTCAGGTGATCTGCCTGCCTTGGCCTCCCAAAGTACTGGGATTGCAAGCATGAACCACCACACCTGGTTGGCAATTCATTTCTTTTTCTTTTTTTATTTATATAAATTTATGGAGTACAAGTGTAATTTTGTTACATGCATAGATTGTGTAGTGGTAAAGTGAGGGCTTTTAGGGTATCCATCACCCAAATATCATACATTGTACCCCTTAAGTAATCTCATCATTCACCCCCCTCCCATCCCCTTATGCTTCCAAGCAATTCATTTATTTTATGTGGACAAAATCTCTCTTCCACCAAAAAAAGTAATAATCATAAGCCTAGTTTTCCCAGAACAGTCCTGCTGCTTGACATCAAGACAACTGCTTAGAAATAAAAGCCTGTGAAGTATCTCTCTCTCAGCATTCAAATAATTACAAGCAACCTCTCCATTTGGAAACCTGTAGGGGATTGGGACGTCCTTTACAGCATCTGTAGGGAGAGGAGGAAATTGGCAATATGCCCTGGGGTTTCCATTCCCTTCCAGCAGAGAGAAGCTTTGAAGGTTTCACACAATTATGCTTTCTCTAATGCTGGGCATGTATATGTGTTTGTGTGTGGGCATGTGTGTGTGTGGGGGTGTGTGTGTACACAAAACATTACCCACCACACAACTACAAAAAATGATAAGGCATATTTGCACTTCTCTGTGGTGGGGAGATCTCAAAAAGAGCTGGCTAGGAGCCAGCCCACCTGGAATTGCTAAACTAAAGCCCACCCCTCCCCCATCCCCACTCCATGATGGGGAAGAGAGATGAGGGTCCAGTATCCTGACGTCTAATCACCTGCTGTAGTGGGCACTGTGTTCTGCTTAGAGGCCCTGGGATCCCTTTGCTGCTTCTGTCCTTCCCTCGTACTTCACTAAATTCCCATGGCTTCCACTTGTAACTCAGTGTGTAGGGCTGTGCTCAGGCTATGAGAATCTCTCTGCCTGAACCTACAGAGAACCAGAAGTACTTCAAGTCAAGCCCTTAGCCAATGACTGACAAGTTCAGGAGTAGGAGAATCCAGCCCCATTGCCTCAAGCTCCTGCAGACTCCCCTGGAGCATCAGACTGGGACTTTGGCCAGATGGGACTTTATCAGAGACCACACCCTTCCTTGGCATCCTGTGCCTGTCCCCAGGTAGGCTTCGGGGAGCCCAGCCTAAGGCGTTCCAGTAGCCAGTTAAAAAGCAGATCCTGGCCCTACCTCCAGAGATTCTGATGCAGTAGGCTCTGCCTGTTTAACAAGCAATCTCAATGATTCTGAAACAAAGGATCAGTGGATCCACATTAAGAATGATTTTTCCTGTTAACTAAAAAATCCCATGGTCTTCATAAATTGAGAAAGGAGAGCTTTATTTCTTATAAAGGGTTATGCCCTGAAAGATGGTCATTTTGACAAGCTAGGAAGCATAGCCTCTGGTAAAAGCCCAGAAGCAGGCACTTGGAAGAAGGAGGGGTTGGGCAGGAGCTTCATGCTGAATAGGTTGGCTCAACATTCATATTTATCAGTTTAAAGAAGAAGTTATGAATATTCATTGAGGGGATCCAGATGCAAGCATTGGGGTGGAGAATTAACATTTAAATATATAACAATTGGAGGAGGAGCCAAGATGGCTGAATAGGAACAGCTCCAGTCTACAGCTCCCAGCATGAGCAACGCAGAAGACGGGCGACTTCTGCATTTCCATCTGAGGTACTGGGTTCATCTCGCTAGGGAGTGCCAGACAGTGGGCGCAGGACAGTGGGTGCAGCGTGCCGTGCGCAAGCTGAAGCAGGGTGAGGCATTGCCTCACTCAGGAAGCGTGAGGGCTCAGGGAGTTCCCTTTCCTGGTCAAGGAAAGGGGTGACACACTGCACCTGGAAAATTGGGTCACTCCCACCTGAATACTGCGCTTTTCCGACGGGCTTAGGAAACAGCGCACCAGGAGAATTATATCCCGCACCTGGCTCAGAGGGTCCTACGCCCACAGAGTCTCACTGATTGCTAGCACAGCAGTCTGAGATCAAACTGCAAGGTGGCAGCGAGGCTGGGGGAGGGGTGCCTGCCATTGCCCAGGCTCACTTAGGTAAACAAAGCAGCCGGGAAGCTTGAAATGGGTGGAGCCCACCACAGCTCAAAGAGGCCTGCCTGTCTCTGTAGGCTCCACCTCTAGGGGCAGGGCACAGACAAACAAAAAGACAGCAGTAACCTCTGCAAACTTAAATGTCCCTGTCTGACAGCTTTGAAGAGAGCAGTGGTTCTCCCAGCACGCAGCTGGAGATCTGAGAACTGGCAGACTGCCTTCTCAACTGGGTCCCTGACCCCTGACCCCCAAGCAGCCTAACTGGGAGGCACCCCCGAGTAGGGGCAGACTGACACCTCACACGGCTGGGTACTCCTCTGAGACAAAACTTCCAGAGGAACGATCAGACAGCAGCATTCACGGTTCACGAAAATCTGCTGTTCTGCAGCCACCACTGCTGATACCCAGGCAAAGAGCGTCTGGAGTGGACCTCTAGCAAACTCCAACAGACCTGCAGCTGAGGGTCCCATCTGTTAAAAGGAAAACTAACAAACAGAAAGGACATGCACACCAAAAACCCATCTGTACATCATCATCAAAGACCAAAAGTAGACAAAACCACAAAGATGGGGAAAAAACAGAGCAGAAAAACTGGAAACTCTAAAAAGCAGAGCACCTCTCCTCCTCCAAAGGAATGCAATTCCTCACCAGCAACAGAACAAAGCTGGATGGAGAATGACTTTGACGAGTTGAGAGAAGAAGGCTTCAGATGATCAAACTACTCTGAGCTACAGGAGGAAATTCAAACCAAAGGCAAAGAAGTTAAAAACTTTGAAAACAATTTAGACGAATGTATAACTAGAATAACCAATACGGAGAAGTGCTTAAAGGAGCTGATGGAGCTGAAAGCCAAGGCTCGAGAACTACATGAAGAATGCAGAAGCCTCAGGAGCTGATGCGATCAACTGGAAGAAAGGGTATCAGTGATGGAAGATGAAATGAATGAAATGAAGTGAGAAGGGAAGTTTAGAGAAAATAGAATAAAAAGAAATGAACAAAGCCTCCAAGAAATATGGGACTATATGAAAAGACCAAATCTGCGTCTGATTGGTGTACCTGAAAGTGATGGGGAGAATGGAACCAAGTTGGAAAACACTCTTCAGGATATTATCCAGGAGAACTTCCCCAATCTAGCGAGGCAGGCCAACATTCAGATTCAGGAAATACAGAGAACGCCACAAAGAAACTCCTCGAGAAGAGCAACTCCAAGACACATAATCGTCAGATTCACCAAATTTGAAATGAAGGAAAAAATATTAAGGGAAGCCAGAGAGAAAGGTCGGGTTACCCACAAAGGGAAGCCCATCAGACTAACAGCGGATTTCTCAGCAGAAACTCTACAAGCCAGAAGAGAGTGGGGGCCAATATTCAACATTCTTAAAGAAAAGAATTTTCAAACCAGAATTTCATATCCAGCCAAACTAAGCTTCATAAGTGAAGGAGAAATAAAA
Organism: Homo sapiens; assembly: GCF_000001405.40. Taxonomy (NCBI): domain Eukaryota; kingdom Metazoa; phylum Chordata; class Mammalia; order Primates; family Hominidae; genus Homo; species Homo sapiens. The sequence goes on along the minus strand of NC_000003.12, from coordinate 42,286,158 downwards.
TACTTTACAGACAAGCAAATGCTGAGAGATTTTGTCACCACCAGGCCTGCCCTAAAAGAGCTCCTGAAGGAAGCACTAAACATGGAAAGGAACAGCCAGTACCAGCCGCTGCAAAATCATGCCAAAATGTAAAGACCATCGAGACTAGGAAGAAACTGCAGCAACTAACGAGCAAAATAACCAGCTAACATCATAATGACAGGATCAAATTCACACATAACAATATTAACTTTAAATGTAAATGGACTACATGCTCTAATTAAAAGACACAGACTGGCAAATTGGATAAAGAGTCAAGACCCATCAGTGTGCTGTATTCAGGAAACCCATCTCACATGCAGAGACACATAGGCTCAAAATAAAAGGATGGAGAAAGAGCTACCAAGCAAATGGAAAACAAAAAAAGGCAGGGGTTGCAATCCTAGTCTCTGATAAAACAGACTTTAAACCAACGAAGATCAAAAGAGACAAAGAAGGCCATTACATAATGGTAAAGGGATCAATTCAACAAGAAGAGCTAACTATCCTAAATATATATGCACCCAACACAGGAGCACCCACATTCATAAAGCAAGTCCTGAGTGGACTACAAAGAGACTTAGACTCCCACACAATAATAATGGGAGACTTTAACACCCCACTGTCAACATTAGACAGATCAACAAGACAGAAAGTTAACAAGGATACCTAGGAATTGAACTCAGCTCTGCACCAAGCGGACCTAATAGACATCTACAGAACTCTCCACCCCAAATCAACAGAATATACATTTTTTTCAGCACCACACCACACCTATTCCAAAATTGACCATAGTTGGAAGTAAAGCTCTCCTCAGCAAATGTAAAAGAACAGAAATTATAACAAACTGTCTCTCAGACCACAGTGCAATCAAACTAGAACTCAGGATTAAGAAACTCACTCAAAACTGCTCAACTACATGGAAACTGAACAACCTGCTCCTGAATGACTACTGGGTACGTAACAAAATGGAGGCAGAAATAAAGATGTTCTTTGAAACCAGCGAGAAAAAAGACACAACATACCAGAATCTCTGGGACACATTCAAAGCAGTGTGTAGAGGGAAATTTATAGCACTAAATGCCCACAAGAGAAAGCAAGAAAGATCCAAAATTGACACCCTAACATCACAATTAAAAGAACTAGAAAAGCAAGAGCAAACACATTCAAAAGCTAGCAGAAGGCAAGAAATAACTAAAATCAGAGCAGAACTGAAGGAAATACAGACACAAAAAACCCTTCAGAAAATTAATGAATCCAGGAGCTGGTTTTTTCAAAGGATCAACAAAATCGATAGAGCACTAGCAAGATTAATAGAGAAAAAAAGAGAGAAGAATCAAATAGACACAATAAAAAATGATAAAGGGGATATCACCACTGATCCCACAGAAATACAAACTACCATCAGAGAATACTACAAACACCTCTACGCAAATAAACAAGAAAATCTAGAAGAAATGGATAAATTCCTCGACACATACACTCTCCCAAGACTAAACCAGGAAGAAGTTGAATCTCTGAATAGACCAATAACAGGCTCTGAAATTGTGGCAATAATCAATAGCTTACCAACCAAAAAGAGTCCAGGACCAGATGGATTCACAGCTGAATTCTACCAGAGGTACAAGGAGGAACTGGTACCATTCCTTCTGAAACTATTCCAATCAATAGAAAAAGAGGGAATCCTCTCTAACTCATTTTATGAGGCCAGCATCATCCTGATACCAAAGCCAGGCAGAGACATAATCAAAAACGAGAATTTTAGACCAGTATCCTTGATGAACATTGATGCAAAAATCCTCAATAAAATACTGGCAAACCGAATCCAGCAGCACATCAAAAAGCTTATCCACCATGATCAAGTGGGCTTCATCCCTGGGGTGCAAGGCTGGCTCAATATACTCAAATCAATAAAGGTAATCCAGCATATAAACAGAACCAAAGACAAAAACCACATGATTATCTCAATAGATGCAGAAAAGGCCTTTGACAAAATTCAACAACGCTTCATGCTAAAAACTCTCAATAAATCCAGTATTGATGGGACGTATCTCAAAATAATAAGAGCTATCTATGACAAACCCACAGCCAATATCATACTGAATGGGCAAAAACTGGAAACATTCCCTTTGAAAACTGGCACAAGACAGGGATGCTCTCTCTCACCACTCCTATTCAACATAGTGTTGGAAGTTCTGGCCAGGACAATTAGGCAGGAGAAGGAAATAAAGTGTATTCAATTAGGAAAAGAGGAAGTCTAATTGTCCCTGTTTGCAGATGACATGATTGTATATCTAGGAAACCCCATTGTCTCAGCCCAAAATCTCCTTAAGCTGATAAGCAACTTCAGCAAAGTCTCAGGATACAAAATCAATGTACAAAAATCACAAGCATTCTTATACACAAATAACAGACAAACAGAGAGCCAAATCATGAGTGAACTCCCATTCACAATTGCTTCAAAGAGAATAAAATACCTAGGAATCCAGCTTACAAGGGATGTGAAGGACCTCTTCAAGGAGAACTACAAACCAATGCTCAATGAAATTAAAGAGGATACAAACAAATGGAAGAACATTCCATGCTCATGGGTAGGAAGAATCAATATCGTGAAAATGGCCATAATACCCAAGGTAATTTATAGATTCAATGCCATACCCATCAAACTACCAATGACTTTCTTCATGGAATTGGAAAAAACTACTTTCAAGTTCATATGGAACCAAAAAAGAGCCCGCATCGCCAAGTCAGTCATAAGCCAAAAGAACAAAGCTGGAGGCATCACGCTACCTGACTTCAAACTATACTACAAGGCTACAGTAACCAAAACAGCATGGTACTGGTACCAAAACAGAGATATAAATTAATGGAACAGAACAGAGCCCTCAGAAATAATGCCACATATCTACAACTATCTGATCTTTGACAAACCTGAGAAAAACAAGCAATGGGGAAAGGATTCCCTATTTAATAAATGGTGCTGGGAAAACTGGCTAGCCATATGTAGAAAGCTGAAACTGGATCCCTTCCTTACACCTTATACAAAAATCAATTCAAGATGGATTAAAGACTTAAACGTTAGACCTAAAACCATAAAAACCCTAGAAGAAAACCTAGGCATTACCATTCAGGACATAGGCATGGGCAAGGACTTCATGTCTAAAACACCAAAAGCAATGGCAACAAAAGACAAAATTGACAAATGGGATCTAATTAAACTAAAGAGCTTCTGCACAGCAAAAGAAACTACCATCAGACTGAACAGGCAATCTACAAAATGGGAGAAAATTTTCGCAACCTACTCATCTGACAAAGAGCTAATATCCAGAGTCTACAATGAACTCAAACAAATTTACAAGAAAAAATCAAATAACCCCATCAAAAAGTGGGTGAAGGATATGAACAGACACTTCTCAAAAGAAGACATTTATGCAGCCAAAAGACACATGAAAAAATGCTCATCATCACTGGCCATCAGAGAAATGCAAATCAAAACCACAATGAGATATCATCTCACACCAGTTAGAATGGCAATCATTAAAAAGTCAGGAAACAACAGGTGCTGGAGAGGATGTGGAGAAATAGGAACACTTTTACACTGTTGGTGGGACTGTAAACTAGTTCAACCATTGTGGAAGTCAGTGTGGCGATTCCTCAGGGATGTAGAACTAGAAATACCATTTGACCCAGCCATCCCATTGCCGGGTATATACCCAAAGGACTATAAATCATGCTGCTATAAAGACACATGCACACGTATGTTTACTGCAGCACTATTCACAATAGCAAAGACTTGGAACCAACCTAAATGTCCAACAATGATAGACTGGATTAAGAAAATGTGGCACATATACACCATGGAATACTATGCAGCCATAAAAAAGGATGAGTTCATGTCCTTTGTAGGGACATGGATGAAATTGGAAATCATCATTCTCAGTAAACTATCGCAAGGACAAAAAACCAAACACCACATGTTCTCACTCATAGGTGGGAATTGAACAATGAGAACACATGGACACAGGAAGGGGAACATCACACTCTGGGGACTGTTGTGGGGTGGGGGGAGGGGGAGGGATTGCATTAGGAGATATACCTAATGCTAAATGACGAGTTAATGGGTGCAGCACACCAGCATAGCACATGTATACATATGTAACTAACCTGCACATTGTGCACATGTACCCTAAAACTTAAAGTATAATAATAATAAAAAAAAAATAAAAATAAATAAATAAATATATTACAATTAGGCCCTACATATCAAAAAGTTTTTTTTCAGGACACAAAGGTACTCAAGTGTGCAGCCACTGTGTCCAGCCAGAACCAGTCCATGGTCAGTGGTTTTCTTATCAGGAGAAAGTTACTGAAATCAGCCTCTTGTCCCATCAAGGCTGGTGGAACAGGGGGTCAGTTAGTCAGCATTTGGCAGTGAATGAGCTGTAAATTGTTTCACCATTGCTTATGTCAAGGTCAGTGCTTCTTTAGCTGCTAGGGAAAAGGAAAAACCTTGTGGCAGTTAAAACATAGTTTATTCTTTAAGTGTAGGGGCAGGGAGTGACTTAACCCTTACCTGGAATGGCCTCAGATCCTGTTTATAACTTTGTGTCCTACTGCTATAAAGAGTCTATTCTGTCAGCTTTATGGTTATTTTAACATTAATGTTGTTAAGTTGCATGTAACCACAATGGGGAGGAGACATAATGAGGCGTGTCTGACTTCCCATCCCATCATGACTAGGAACTCAGTTTTTAAGGTTTCTCTGGGGCCCTCTTGGCCAACAGGGGGTCCATTCAGTCAGGTGGGGCACTTAGGATTTTATTTTTAGTTTACAATCCAAAACAAGTGACTCTGTATTAATCCATTCTCATGCTGCTATAAAGATAATACCAGAGACTGGGTAATTTATAAACAAAGGAGGTTTATTTGACTCACAGTTCCACATGGCTGGGGAGGCCTCAGGAAACTTACAATCATGGCAGAAGGTGAAGGAGAAGCAAGGACATTCTTCACATGGAGGCAGGAGAGAGAAGTGAGAATGCAGGAAAAAAAGCTGCCACTTTTAAAACCACCAGATCTTGTGAGGATTCACCCACTATCATGAGAGCAGCATGGGGGAAACTGCCCCCATGATTGAATCACCTCCCTCCCTCGACAGGTGGGGATTACAATTCGAGATGAAATTTGGGTGGGGACACAGAGCCAAACCATGTCATTCCACTCCTTCCTCTTCCCAAATCTCATGTCTTTTCACATTTCAAAACCAATCATGCCTTCCCTATAGTCCCTCAAAGTTTTAATTCATTCCAGCATTAACCCAAAAGTTCAAGTCCAAAGTCTCATCTGAGACAAGGAAAGTCCCTTCTACCTAGGAGCCTGTAAAATCAAAAGCAAGTTAGTTACTTCCTAGATACAATGGGGGTACAGGAATTAGATAAATGCTCCCATTCCAAATGGGAAAAATTGGCCAAAACAAAGGGGCTACATGCCCCATGCAAGTCCAAATTCCAGCAGGGCAGTCATTAAATCTTAAAGCTCTAAAATCATCTCTTTTGACTCTCTGTCTCACATCTGGGGCACACTGATGAAAGGGGTGGACTCCCATGGTCTTGGGCAGCTCCACCCCTGTGACTTTGCAGGGTACAACCTCTGCCCCAGCTGCTTTCATGGGCTGGTGTTGAGTGTCTGCAGCTTTTCCAGGTGCACAGTGCAAGCTGTCAGTGGAACTACCATTCTGGGGGCTGGAGGACAGTGGCCCTTTTCCCACAGCTCCTCTAAGCAGTGCCCCAATGGGGACTCAGTGTGGGAGCTCCAACCTCACATTCTCTTCCACACTACCCTAGCACAGGTTCTCCATGAGGGCTCCACTCCTGCAGCAAACTTCTGCCTGGACGTCCAGGCATTTCCGTACATCCTCTGAGATCTAGGCAAAGGTTCCCAAACCTCAATTCTTGACTTCTGCGCATCCCCAGGCCCAACACCACATGGAAGCTGCCAAGGCTTGGGGCTTGCACCCTCAGAAGTCATGGCCTGAGCTGTACCTTGGCCCCCTTTAACACCAGCTTGAGCTGGAACAGCAGCAGCTGGGATGCAGAGTGCCAAGTCCTGAGGCTGCACAGAGCAGCAGGGCCCTAGGTCCAGCCCACAAGACCATTTTTCCCTCTTAAGCTTCCAGGCCTGTGATAGAAGGGGCTGCCACCAAGATCTCTGACATGCCCTGGAGACATTTTCCCCATTGTCTTGGCTGTTAACATTTGCCTCCTCATTACATATGCAAATTTCTGCAGCCAGATTGAATTTCTGCTGAGAAAAATGGGTTTTTCTTTTCTATTGCATCATCAGGCTGCAAACTTTCCAAACTTTTATGCTCTGCTTCTGTTTTAAACATCAGTTACCATTTCAAAACATCTCTTTGTGAACACATAAATCCGAATGCTTTCAGAATAATCCAGGTCACATCTCGAATGCTTTGCTGCTTAGAAATTTATTCCACCAGATATCCTAAATCATCTCTCTCAAGTTCAAAGTTTCACAGATCTCTAGGGCAGTGGCAAAATGCCACTAGTCTCTTTGCTAAAGCACAGCATGAGCAAATTTTACTCCCGTTTACAATAAGTTCCTCATCTCCATCTAAGACCACCTCAGCCTGGACTTCATTGTTCACATCACTATCAGCATTTTGGTCAAAACCATTCAACAGGTCTCTAGGAAGTTCCAAACTTTCCCACATCTTCCTGTCTTCTTCTAAGCCCTCCATACTGTTCCAACCTCTGCCTGTTACCCAGTTCCGAAGCTGTGTCCACATTTTTGAGTATCTTTATAGCAGTACTCCACTCCTGGCACCAATTTACTATATTAGTCCATTCTGACACTGCTATAGAGACACCACCTGAGACTGGGTAATTTATGAACCAAGGAGGTTTAATTGACTTACAGTTCTACATGGCTGGGGAGGCCTCAGGAAACTTACAATCATGGCAGAAGACAAAAGAGAAGCAAGGACCTTCTTCACATGGTGGCAAGAGAGAGAAGTGAGAATACAGGAAAAAACTGCCACTTTTAAAACCAGATCTTGTGAGGATTCACTCACTATCACAAGAACAAAATGGGGGACACGGCCCCCATGATCCAATCACCTCCCTCCTTCAACAGGTGGGGATTACAGGTCCCTCCCTCGACATGTGGGGATTACAATTTGAGATGAGATTTGAGTGGGGACACGGAGCCAAACCATATTTTAGGGGCCCCTAAAGAAAGGATGAGGGTCTGAATGTTGGGGTAAGGCCACCCCTGAGGGAACATTAGGGGCCATGAAACATTCAGCAAATGGTTTATCAACTTGTATAAAAGCAATCTTCTCAACCTGCAAAGATAAGTCTTAGTGTTCACATCCACACATCAGTCCCTGGCCCCTGGCCGAAGTAAAATCTCCAAAGCCAAACACCTGCCCCATTTATCAAGGATCCTAGGACTGTGCAAGTCTCTTAGCCACGTGGCCAGCAGGAGATTCATTGCCTGTGGACAGGGGTAATACAAGTGAAGAATATTTTAAACTCTGGAACATGTCTCAAGTTGATGGAAGCTGAAAGTTCAACCATTGTAGCTTGCATTTTCCCATAAGTAGATGCTGAGCAAAAGCTTTGAGGGCCAGTGATTTATTTGGGAGGTGATCCCAGGAAACATAGATATGAAAATGAAGAAGTGAGACAGGGCAGAGAATTTCCACCACTAAAGGGCACATTTCTGCACATGCTACCATCAAGGGCCACTGGAGTTGGGTCCTACTGGGGAACTCCAGGAGCCAACATAGAACATGGCCTGTGAACCTCTGGAAGGATGGGAGAGCTGAGTTAACTCTCCACCAATTCCCATTAGTTATTGGTTGAGGGCTGCTCCCACAGGGCAATAATCCTCCAACACTTGAAACCTGGGTCCCCACTCCAGAAAGAACACTGGAGCAAAGAGTCACAGGGGCAGGGAGCTGGAAGTCAGGCCAACCCTGGAGAATAGATGTGGGCAGGGCACCCAGCATCTGATAAAGCATCTATGTTAATATTTGCAGGCCTGCTGTGTAAAGGCAAGCTCTTCCCAATCACACTGCCTATGGTATGGTCCTTTTTAAAGCAAGAAAGAAAATAGTTACGAGCAGAAGAAAAAGAAACATAACACATCCATGAAACCAGCAGCATCTCTAAACCAACCCTGTAGGGCCATCTGTGTCTTCTCAAGGAAAACAGATTGCTTTGTAAGTTCCAGGGCTTTGGCTGATAACAAACCCCGCTCCTGGCTTCTGATTTTCTCGGCTGTGTGCACAGTACATGCGTATGCCTTTAGCAGCCTGGCACCTCTCGCAGCAATTAGGGCTGCCAAGAAATAGCTGCACTTTCTCTCCTGCTCTCTGCATCCATAATTTATCTTTAAAATTAGCATCTCATCATACAAGGGGTCGTCCACAGGGAGCCCAGAATAAACCTCCTGCAACTTTATCGTTTTAGTGGACTTGAGCTTTTAGTGTTGTTTTCCCTCTGCTTTTACCTCAAGAAGCCACTGTTCTCATAAAAGAGAGTGAGTGATGGCACTCCGGAGCCTTGGGATGGACTTACATAACCGGGATAGTCCCAAGATGCCTGTCACCTCTATACCACCCTCCCATGGGCTGTTTCTTCCTCAATGTCTTATTCAGAGACCAGCCTTTTTGTTCTAAGAGCTGAAAGTGGAAAATGACCAAAAATGCAAATTTTCTTGATCCTAAGGCCTCATCTCACATGGCTGTAGTTTAGCCCCTTCAGACCTCACAATGTTCTAGGGACTGATTCCTATCCACCTCATTTGACAGTTGTACAAATGCAGGGTCACAAAACCACAGTTACTTGCTCTAAGTTACACAGAGAGTGGATGGGAGACCTAGGACTCAAATCTAGTATCATTTTCACTATGAAATTCCCAGGGTCAGAGAGGAAAGAGAACAGTGTCTGGCATGGAAAAAAGAACATATTTCTTGAGCATTTCTCCAGGGCAAAATATTTGTATGTCTTGGTGTACATGTTTCCCCAAAACCAAGAACAAAAGAGTTACACTTGTGTGTTTTTGCAGTTTGAGAATGTAATAGGGTCTTTCCTGAGGTTTGTGCTTAGGGGCTGTGGGAGACACTGTTGATGCTGCACCCCAGGGCCCCTCCACCCACTCTGGTTCACCTGCAGCTGCAGGAGACTATTTCAAGACAGGCTTCTGTCTTCCCACACTGAGTAGCAGCACCTTTCTCCTCTGCCTGTCTTAGCACTAGCAGGCCTCTCCCAACCCTGCCTGCTGGAGTAACCCTCAAACAATAGGAGGTAGAGGCCATGGATAAATGCTCCAGTGGGACAATTCTAGGGCATTCATCTTCTCAAAGGAGCCCAGGCAGGACTGAGCCCCAGTTGTCACCAGCAGTCACCTGCTTGTTAACTCACAAGTTATTGACTTTTCTCGCTTTCCTGTCTCACTTTCCACCTCCTCAGTTCAGCTCTCTGGGGTGCTCTCCCAAATATACCACCTGCATCTAGGTCTTCATCTAACAGTCTGGTTTTCTTGTGGGGTTGTGGGGAGGTATGCAAAGCAAGACAGAGACCCAAAATGTAAACCAAGATTCTTGTTTGAAGACTGAGTCTCTTTCCTCTCAACTTCAAGCTCCAGCAACTTACATAAGAAATGCAATCTGGCAGATAAAAATCACTTTCTCACTCCTCTTCAAGTTCTCAGTAGACCCTGCACCCAGCACTCAGAAGCCCTTCATTCATCTGGAGGCCCGTCTGTTGCCAGCCATCTCTGGGGATGTTGAGGAAGATGGTAAACAATCTCCTTCCTTTGCTCATCATTCTGGATGCTAGGAAAATATGTGCACAGACCCCTCATTTCCAAGCTGCCAACTTTTAGCATTTCATTTCGTTGCACATGCTGGAGGTTCATGCTATTCCTTAAGGAATGGATGTTTTAAAAATCTAAATAGAACTTTTACTTTCATGGTAAAATTCCTGCCATCCAAATACCATTTCTCTTCAGCATGACATTTTTTTCTCTTTTTCTTGTGGTGACTTTCTCCACCAACATGCCCTTTGGGCACTGCTCAGCATTATCCTTATGCAAAGTAGCCCCAGACTTGCTTTTTCTAAAACCCTGGACCTCCAGAGAACTTCCCACGCTGGCACTGTCCACCTCCCTGCTGAAATCTGGGAACTTGCTTTCTACCCTTGGCTCTTAGGCTTGTCTAGGAGAAGCCAAGCACAGGTTGATTGGTGTGGTCTGGCCTAATGGTCAATAGTTAGCACAGTGAGGAGGAAGAACAGATGTGTTCAGTGATCTTTCTACACCACTTCTCTGTCTTGGTGACCATGTTCTGGCCCCATTCCCCTAGACCCCCACACTGCATCCCATTTTGCTGGAGCCCCTGCCTTCAATCCCTGATCCAAACTTTTGCTCTTCTACTTTCCCTATGTTGAGTTATCATGGCAGGAAACAGGTGGAGTGTGATGTCCATACTTTTAAGATCTGGATTCCTATCCCCATCTGACTCCACAACCACTTTTGACAACAGATATTTCACACTCTTCCTTTATCATCCTAAAATGGCATTTATAGTGGTTATAATATACCTACTAACAAAGGCTGTCTCCTTGACCAAACTCTAGCCAGGTTCCTCTGAGCCCTTCTCAACTAGGCCCCAACCTTGGCCTATAAAGACTTGAACAAGCACTAACATAGTTCCTAACAGCTCAAGGCCACATTCTTAGGATACCTCTACCTTCCTTCCCTCTTAAAGTGCCTCCCTGAGAAAACTCAAGGTCGCTAAAAGAATTTACTGTAAGAGCCTGACTTTGAAAAGTACCAGTTTACAAGCCCAGATGGGTTTCAAATGGACCATTGCACCCCCCACCATCACCTGTGTCCCACTTTTTGTAATTTTTCATTTTCCTGACTCTATTGAAATCCTGCTTAACCTCCTTCCTATTCCCTCTTCTCCCTTTAAAACATCCGGTCACCTCTCTACAAATTCAAATTGCATTCAGTTCACGCTTGACTCTTTTCCCTATTGCAATAAAATATCACTGATTAAAACCTGTCCTTATCACCTTAACTACTGTCCAGTTTTGTTTATCTTTGATGCTATACCCACGATATTTTTAAAAATCAATATAATGCCCAAATATAATATAAATATTGATATGGTTTGGCTCTGTGTCCCCACTCAAATCTCATCTTGAATTGTAACTCCCATAATTCCCACATGTCCAGGGAGGAACCCAGTGGGAGGTGATTGAATTATGGGGGTGGCTCTTTCCTGCACTGTTCTGGTAACAGTGAATGGGTCTCATGATATTTCATGGTTTTAAAAAACGGGAGTTTGCCTACATAAGCTCTCTCTTTGCCTGCTGCCATTCATGTAAGATGTGACTTGCTCCTCCTTGCCTTCTGCCATGATTGTGGGGCTTCCCCAGCCACTTGGAACTGTAAATCCAATTAAACCTCTTTCTTTTGTAAATTTCCCAGTCTCAGGTATGTCTTTATAAGCAGTGTGAAAATGGACTAATACAAATATAAAATACATTCTATAATAAAAGGGCTGAGAAAAAAAAAGATAAAGATGCTCTCTTTGACAGTTGGGAACAACTGCCAAAGAGAGCAACTTGGCAATATTCACCAACATGCTAAATGTACATATGCTTTAACTCAGCAGTTCCACTTCCAGAAACTCATCCCATAGGTAAACTTGTGCATGTACAGAATGATGTATATTCAAGAAGCATTGGTTATAATTGGAAAATATTGGAAGCTACTTAAATTTCTATGAATAGGGCCCTGGCTAGATGAATTCAGGTACACCCATACAATGGAATAGTTTACAGATATTGAGGTAGAATTATGCTAACAGTATAAACTGACCTAACTCAAATACATATTTTAAGTGAAAAAAGTAAAATAGAGAACATTTTGTATTTTATGCTTCCATTTGGAGACTGTGTGTGTGTGTGTGTGTGTGTGTGTGTGTGTATTTCTTTGATACTTATTGATGTGCTTGTATGTGCATTGACTTTATCTGGAAGAATTTACTAAACGCTAAAGCACTCCTTGCCTCTGCATGGTGGAGGAAGAAGAGTGAGGGGAAAAATTGATTTTCACTATATACCCCTTTGCACCTTTTAAATTTTGAATTATATGCACTTAATACTTATTCAAACCATTTTATTTTAAATTTTAAAACTATGAGCCTTTTCTGATAAGGTTGTCCTGGAACAGCTGTGTCCCAAAGCCTTAGTTCAACGGAGGGCCCATGGCCACCATGCAGGCACCAGGCAGGTTGGTAAGGTAGGAGATGTCTCTGCTGGGGGCTGGGACCATTCCAGAGGACACAGACTTGCCCTCTGCTGTGAGGGGACCTCAGCTTCAGAGAGAAGCTGGATCAGCAGGACCACAAAGACTCCCAGACTGCCCTTCAAGTACTTCAAGTCTCACTGTTTGCTAACACTTCCCAAGGAGAGCCATGGAGGCCTCTTCTAAACCTTCCTCAAAAGAAAGTGAACTAAGCAACAGGCCTGAGGACACTGGTGGCTGGTTTCCCTGGCAACTACGGTTCCTCTTTTGGCTTTTCAATATTAGTTTGAAAAGCAAAAGGAAAGCTTCTTCTGCAGAGAGCTCAATCAGCTGGGATCTGACCTCTCATTCCTGTCATCCATTCACGAGGTGATCTCCCATTTCTGGTGGCTTTTCTAACCCTGGCTAAATGAAATGGTGCTAAGAACAATTCCTGTGGCTAATTGGGAGTCCACAATCCAACCAAGGGTCAGCAAATGGCTTTTAATTCATAGCTATCCATCTTGTAAGTCCAGTCAACTAAACTGATGAAACTAACAGCTGAATTTGGTGAACATTTATTGGTCACTTAGCATGTGTCCAGCACAATTCTTGCATTTGAGTGAATAAATCACAATTCCTGCTTTCCTGCATGTCAGATGGCAGATGAGACGTTCATACAGATGAAGAGTTCATTCAACAAATATTCATTGAGCAGCTATGTCCCAAGCCCTATTGTAGGAAATTAAGATACAATATGGTAAATGCTAACATTGAGTACATGCAAAGTGTTAGGAGAGTGTAGTGGCTCCGTGGCTGCCCCACTCATATTCCCTCGGGCCTCACTATCATGGTGCTTGCAGGCCCAGCTTCTGGTCACCAGCATCTGCACCTCTTCTCTGAAGGCTTCCATTGGGGGCTGGATCCTCAGTGGGCCAGAAGTGCTAGGGAATGAATGCCCCAGGAGCTTCCCTTAGCCAGTGAGTGAGTGGAGTTGATGTATAGACATGCACGCACCTTCGCACCCTAGGGTGAGATGGCTCTGAGGCCCACGTTCTGCTCTGGCCCCTAGAGTGCCCCAGGAGGTTAACCACCACCCATAGCTTCACTTGCCCATGATCTCTGTGCTTTTTCTCTTGCTCTTCTCACCCACAGCCCTCTTCACTCCCTTGGGTGGTGTTGGAATTTGTGACCCTTGAACAAGAGGGTCCTCAAGGTCCACCCCAGATTTAGGATTCCTTTATTCCACCAACCTTATAGAAATGCCAGTGAACAAATAAAATGTTAATTTACAGGGATGTTTTACTCTGTTATGGGCGGAATGTTTGTGTCTCCCCAAATTCATATGTTGAAACTGTTAACCAAAAAGTGAGTGACTGTGGCAAGTGTCTAAATCCCAGTACAGGTTTATTGAGCCAAAGTGTGAGGATGCACCTGGGAAAAACACAAGCCACAGAAGCATCTGCAACCTGTCCTTTCCAGGAAACTCAGTATTTAAAGGGAAGGAGCAAGCAGGAGAAAAGAAGGGAAGGGTGTAGGCAGTGAGGCAAACAGCTATCTACTTCTGAGGCTCTGATTGATGCTCAAATAATCTACACTCTACATAAGGTAAACATCTGAAAAGAGGGAGTATGGGAAAAAGTTGATGATGCAGCCATCTCAGGGCAGGCAGAAAAGTGATTGATCTTATCTTGTCCTTGTGTATTAGTCCACTTTCACCCTACTGATAAAGACATACCCAAGACTGGGTAATTTATACAGGAAAAAGGGTTTAATGCACTTACACATGGCTGGGGAGGCCTCACAATCATGGCAGAAGGCAAGGAGGAGCAAGTCACATCTTACATGGATGGCAGCAAGCAAAGGGAGAGCTTGTGCAGGGAAAATCAACCTTATAAAACCATCAGATCTCATGAGACTTATTCTCAATCACAAGAACAGCATGAGAAAGACCTGCCCCCATAATTCAATTACCCCCCACTGGGTCCCTCCAACAACATGTGGGAATTCAAGATGAGATGTGGATGGGGACACAGCCAAGCCATTTCATTTGTACCTGGGAAGATAAGCTTATAAACGACATTGTCAGGATAAAATTGAAGAGAGCTCAGTTTTAGGAGTTAAACTTGGCTTACAGACCTAAAGTTACAATTGGTGTGTGCTTGTTTTACAGGGGGATATGTGTCTTGAATGATTTAGAGACCTGCAAGGAATTCCCTTGTGAGCAATTTGTGAGGGTGACCATCCAGAGAGGTGGAAGGCCGTTCATCATTGTGGGAACCTGGCTTATGTATAAAGCTATGAAAACACAGGGTTGTGTCTGTTGTTTAAGCCACCCAGTCTGTGGTATTTTGTTATAGCATCCTGAGGTGACAGTGACACAATCTCTGTTAATGTACCTTTTATGTTCCCTCACCTGTAGCTATTCCCACCTCAGCCGTCTGCTTCTCTGTAGATGTTTGTTTCAGGAAAAAGAAAGGCAGTGTTGCATGGCTCAGTCTCTAGGCTTAACTCTCCCCTTGACATAATGAGTTTGGGGATCTTGAGATTTCCGAGATTTGATTTTCTCGTACAAAGCCCTAACCCCCAATGTGATGGTATTAGGAGGTGGGGACTTTGGAAGGTGATGGTGATTAGGTTTAGATGAAGTCAGATGGGGGAGGACCCTCATGATAGGATTAATGTCTTTATAAGAAGAGACACCGGAGAGCTAGCACTCTTGCTCTCTCTCTCCCCACCCCCCAACCTCCCTCTCTCTGCCACGTGTGGATACAGCAAGAAGTAGTCCATCAGTAAGCCAGGAAAAGAGCCTTCACCAGGACCCCGCCATGCTGGCACCCTAATCTCAAATGTCCCAGTCTTCAGAACTGTGAAAAATAAATGTCCATTGTTTAAGCCACCAGTCCATGGTACTTGTTATAGCACCCTGAGTTGACAGTAACACAGCCACTATTGATTTCCCCTTCATGTTCCCTCTCATGTAGCTATTCCCACCTCAGCCATCTGCTTATCTCTTCTCTGCCTGAGGGCTTTCTCTGGCTCTGCAGGAGCAGGTAAGCCTATTTGGAAGTGAGAGGGAGCTAACACCTGCTGGAACAGCCCTCAACTAATGGGAAATGGGAGTTGGTGCTCCGGCTCTCCTTCTGGCCTCAAGTAGGCTGGCTATGAGCCATGTTCCAAGAGGTATCTCAGAGAGTCCCCAGGGGATTGGGTCCACAGCAGTCATCCACTGTACTCAATACTTCACTGTCTTCTCTCTTCCCTTCTCCCTTACTCCTGCTCCCTTGGAATCACTCTCAAATAAATTACCTGTAACCAGGTGCTGTCCCAGGCTCTGCTTTTGTAGGAACCCAAACTATGACAAGATATTCTAAAGAAATTCATCGTTAGGAAAAGGAAACACTTCACCATGACCATAGTTACTTCCCTTTTTTCAGTCTAATCATTCCAGATATTGGCAGATGATATTGGCTATGTGGACTTTGAAAAATTCCAGGACAAATAATAATATTTTAATACATGTTCAGGAAAAAAAAAGACCCAAAAAAGAAGCCTTCTAACCATCACGTTTCTGATCACAGCAAATAGCCTCCTGCCTTCTGGTAAGTGGGGCTTGCTTGTAACAAGCTTAAATTCTATGAATAATAAATCAGGAGGCTCTAGCATGTCCCTGGAAATTCCACTAAGTTTTCTACACATACAAAATTGACATATGTCTTTGAGCTAGGTCTCATGACTAAAAAAATCGTGTATTGAAAATATATCTGTTTCAGGAACTAATCTTCGGGGATACCTCCCCAACTCTGAGCAAGATCTTACTTAAATTCATTTCACCGCAATCAGATGGGAATTTCTAGACTCCAAACCAGTGAACAGTCACAGGTTTCCTCTCTCCACTATTTCCTTTCCAACGCGGCATCTGGATATGGCACCCTCCACTCTCAGTCCTCCAGATAAAGGCAGGGACCAGCTGGTGCGTCTCATTCCATGATGGGGAAGAGTGGGTGGTGGTGGGAAGGACACAGAGGGCACTGCCTTTTCCATTCCTTTTCTGAGACAAGAGAATGAGCTTGGCAGAAAAGTTAGTTACCGTCTCACATTTGATGAAATACAAAACAATCTCCAAACAGTGCGAACTCCCATACAACTTCCTTTTTCTCTATTTGGACTGAAAAGCAAAACCATTTCTCCATAATGTACATACATAGCAAGGTCTACACAGCAGACAGCCTAACAGGGCATCCCCCAGCAGTGGTTTGCATACGTTCATGCGGGTGCCCAGTCCTCCACAGACCCTCCCCCTACTCTACTTTTCTTGAAAACATGTGTGCACCTTCCATGCCTGCTGTGTATTTTTTAAATTGTCTGTCTCCTCCACTAGAATGGAAGCATCACAAGCACAGGGATTTTGTCTGTCTTGCTCACCACTGAATCCCAACAGTGCCCGAAAGACAGTTGGTGTCTTTGATAGGGTTATACTAAAATTAGACAGACTTGAGTACATGTCGTTTATTTGGGAGAGGAGGAAGAAATGAGAAGAGTAAGACAAAGAAGGAGGAAAAAACAACTAAAGAGATGTTATCAGCTGGGCTTGGTGGCTCACACTTGTAATCCCAACACTTTGGGAGACTGAGAAGGGAGGATTACTTGAGCCTAGGAATTTGAGACAAGCCTAGGCAACATGGTGAGACCCTGTCTCTACAAAAAATTAAAGTATTAGCAGAGTATGGTGGTGTGCACCTGTGTTCCCAGCTACTCAGGAGGCTGAAGTGGGAAGATTGTTTAAGCCAGGAAGCCGGGTTTGCACCACTGCACTCCAGCCTGGGTGACGGAGTAAGACCCTGTCTAAAGAGAGAGAGGGAGAGAGAGAGAGAAAAAAAAAAGAGAGAGAGAGCTGTTATCAAGTTCACCGATACAGGCAAAGGACCGTTGAGAAGTCTTTAGAAGCTTCCAGAAGGGTTCATACAGAGAGACTGGGGTTCCCATTCCCCACTGGCTGAAGATTGTCTTTCGGGGAGATAACACCCAAACTTACAGGCTGAACCTCTGCAAGGGCTGAACTTTGAAGGAGATAAGCCAAGAGGGGTGCTTTGAAAGCTTGAAGTGGGAATGCTGTCTGCTGAAAACTGCCCAGCCTGGCTAGGCTGCAGCTGAAGCCAGAGGGAGAACGTGGAACTGTGGTGAGGAGCACCAAAGGCATCTGCCTCAGGAGACATCAAGCCCATTTTTTTAAGTGAACAAATGGATTATCTTTAATGCGGATATGCATCTGGATTACAGGAATAGTGTCGGCTCCAGGCCTAACTTGCTTAGGAACCATAGTCAGAATAATTAGTACCTGTTGACCCTGTAAGAAGGAAAAATCATGACTATGGCCAAGGAGTTCAGATCCCTTATGTCTTTCTATTTTCCTAGCAGCTCTTCTATCACACATTTCCTGCTCAGAATTTCCACTCCTGAGAGACAAGCGGCTACAACTGCTTTATTTTACAATAAAGAGGCAAGCAGCTCTCTTGATCGTAAATGAGAAAGGCCCATGCACAAGCCCTTCTTCAGCTTCTGATGGTCCCTGTCACCTCTGGCTCTGCACTGGCATTTCCACGCTGGCCTCCTTGGCCCACTTGTCTGGTTCTGTACCAGCTCTTTTTCCTCCACCCACTCCTTCACGCTGTCACTCCTCAGCGGTCTGTCTAGAGGCACCCTGCCACCCATTGCTAGCTGCCTTCCTCAACTCTCCCTATAACTCCCAGGCTGGCAGCCACCACCCACATGCCAGACTCTGGGTCCACCCCTCCAGTGTCTCTCTGCTCAGGACAAAGGCTCCCAAACTCCTCCTAGACTGTCAATGCACAAACGATCAACCAATCCCATACTGGACTCATTACCCGCTCCCCACTGGCCCACTACCACCACGGCCACACTCCAAGCCTGCTTTTCCTTCTGAATTCCCTGTCTTGGATAATACTCTACCACCCACCCTTGTCTCCCAGCCTGGAAACTCAAGGTCAGTCTCAGTCACCAAGTCCGGTTCCCTCTACCAGTTTCCTGAGCAGCAACAGGTTGTTCCCTGGGAGGCTGGAATTTTTCTTCTTTTCTCTACTTTTGTTTTCTGAATGTTCTCTGATGAACACTTATGACTTGCATAATGTTTATTATGTTTCCTAATAATTAATGGGTTTCATAATGGCTTATTATTCTAAAACAAATCTACCTTGATTGTTCCTGCTTGCCCATCCCCGAGGGCCTCCTATCCAGCCCTCCCCTTCCAGTCCCTCTGCCTTTTGGGCATCTTCCATATTACCACCTAGCTCCCCTCACCAAAACATTTCTCCAAGATTACCTCCTACCATCTCCACTCCATAGTCCCCAAATATCAGAATTGTTGAGAAGTGTTTGTCCACTTGTTTGCTTCAGCTCCCCTATTGTATTGTCAGCTCTTGTTCATACTGAATCCCTGGGGCCTGGCACAAAGTAAGTGTTGAATAAACATGAATTAAATGGATCAAGGCCAGGAGTTGAGTAACTGGTATAAGGTAGGGAATTTCTATAGAAATGATCTCAAAGTGTGCTTGGCGGACTAGCATTTTCAGTATGGCCTGGGAACTTGTTAGAAATGTAGATTCTTGGTGGGGCGTGGTGGCTCACGCCTGTAGTCCCAGCATTTTGGGAGGCCAAGGTGGGTAGATCACCTGAGGTCAGAAGTTCGAGACCAACCTAGCCAACATGGTGAACCCTTGTCTCTACTAAAAATATAAAAATTAGCCAGGCATGGCTGCACATGCCTGTAATCCCAGCCGCTGGGGAGGCTGAGGCAGGAGAATCGTTTGAACCTGGGAGGCAGAGGTTGCAGTGAGCCGAGATCATGCCACTGTACTCCAGCCTGGGCGACAGAGTGAGACTCTGTCTCAAAGAAGGAAAGGCAAGGAAAGGAAGGAAGGAAGGAAGGAAGGAAGGAAGGAAGGAAGGAAGGAAGGAAGGAAATGAAGAAAGAAAGAAAGAAATAAAGAAGAAAGAAAGAAAGAGAGAGAGAAAGAGGGAAAGAGGGAGAAGGAGAGACGGAGGGAGGGAGGGGGGAAGGAAGGAAGGAAGGAGGGAGGGAAGGAAGGAAGGAAGGAAGGAAGGAAGGAAGGAAGGAAGGGAGAGAGGGAAAGAGGGAAGGGGAGAGAGGGAGGGAAGGAGGGAGGAAGGGAGGGAGGGAGGGAGGAAGGAAGGGAGGGAGGGAGGGAAGGAGGGAAGGAGGAAGAAAGGAAGGAAGGAAGGAAGGAAGGAAGGAAGGAAGGAAGGAAGGAATTCGGATTCTTGGGCCCTTCCTCAGACCTACTGAATTAGAAGCTCTGGGGGTATTTCGATAACAAGTTTATGTTTCCAGACATGTCTTGCCACAATCACAAATAAGACTCTTTTTCGCAACTGAACTACACAAACCTTAGCAGGCTCGTGGCGAAACCACTGGAAAGCATTTAATCAGCTTCAGCTCTTTCAAACATGTTGCCCATAGGTTGCAGAAACGCAGCTGCCTCTCAGGATTAGAAAGTGGAGCAGCAACCGGAGGCGTCTCTGGGCCGCCCCCCCAACCCCCCCACCCCGCCTCGCCCACTCCACCCTCACACTGGCGTTGCCACAGTCCCTCCATTCCAGAGGGAATTCCAGAGCGGAATACGGATTCCGATTTTAAAATAAGCGCTTCTAAATCTTTCTCCTTGCATCTAAGACGGGTGGGGGAAAGAAAGGGAGAGGAGTTGAGGTCCCAAGGTTCAAGGCCTGGTGATCTCCAGGTCCCAGGCTGGGCGGCCTCGGTGCACGGAGAGGGCGAGGGGCGTGTTGTGGAGCCTTGGCAAGGCGCTGCTCTTCCTCGCGCCTCGGTTTGCGGTCTGTGAAATGGGGTTGGCAGTGCCTTTGCAGGGACGCGGCGAACTCAAGCACCAGCAAGCGGACTCGAACTCAAAGGGTTTCAGGGTGTAGACGACCAGAGCGCACTGAGGGGCTCCAGGTCGGCCCGCTCCGGAGCCGGGAGAGTAACCGCGTGCAGGGAAAGGCGCACGGCAGCCTCGGTGCCTCCCTTCCCTCCACCGGACGGGTGACTGACTAGGGGTGAGGTCCTCACCTCCAGGCTGCGCAGCTGAGTTCTGGAAGGTACTGTCCTGGGGGTGTGAGTGTGTGGGCCCTCAGGAAAGGTGCGAGGGGCGGATGCCGTGGTCTACCCGAGCTTGCGGGGGTGCGGTGGTCAAGTTCCCCAGGACCCTCGCTGGCGCCGCTTGTCGACAACGGGGAACAGTGGGCGCCGCGGGTGGTGGTAACTTGGCCCGGGAAGAAAACACATCCCTTTCCCAAACCGGATTCCTCTGAGCAAAACCAGATGGTGTCATCCGCATTTTACAGCTGCGTCAAGAGAGGCCCAGGACACCAAGAGCCAGCTGTGGCCAGAGCCCTTTCACTGACCCAGAACACTGGCCCTCGGAAACCTGGAGAACTGCGAGGGCTTTTAATGCGGCTGAGAAGAAAGTGAAGACCCCGACTCCTCCTCTCTCCTTCGAAAGAGCCGACACAGGTATGAAGACCAGCGCCTCGGACGCTCCGGGGTAGGGGGCCGACGCCCCCTCCCTTTCAGAATCACGCCTTGCTGATGCTCAGTCCTGCCCAGTGTCCACCCCCCACCCCCGCCCCCAGTTTCCTTTCTAGCCCCTCCGGTCCCCAAAGCGAACTAAGCTAGCGGCAGCTTCTCCATCCCGGAGGAGACTCCAAACTCCTAGGTTTCCCACCTTGGAGAGTACTGCTCTGGAATGCGCAGGGGAGCGGCACCTGGAAAGGGTTGGGCGGAAGCTTCTCGGACCCAGAGGGGGCGGACACCCGGCACCGCGCGTGGGAGGGATTAACTCCACCCCACTAGACCACCTCCCCCTCTCTCCCAGGAGCCACTTCAACCGGTTGTCGCCCCAGTGGCCGCCCTCTGAGCACGTGTTACTGCCAGTCTGCGTCAGCGTTGGGTAAATACATGACTGGCCGACGCCGCCGGGTGGGGCTATTTAAGAGACAGCCGCCCGCTGGTCCTCCCTGAACTTGGCTCAGCTGCCGGGCTGCTCCGGTTGGAAACGCCAAGCCAGCTGCGTCCTAATCCAAAAGGTAGGTCCCTCGGTTCGTCAGCGGGGGATCCAAGTGTCGTGTGTCTTTGAAGGATGCTGTCTTCAGCTTTGTGCCCATTTCCATTATGCTTTTCTATTTTCTGTGTCTTCCCTCCGAGAGCTCGAAAGACATTTCTTGAAGTCAGAAATAACGGCTCTGGGTCTAAAAGTGAGGTCTGGGTGGGTAGAGCTGCTTTAGAGCCTTTCATACGCCAGCATCATTAAGGGATGAACTACCCATTCGCTAAGATTCGCATGCAGATTGAGTTTGCTAGCTGTTACACAGCGGTGCGGGGGACTTTGCAATCTTTTCTAATAAAATATTAGAGGGTTTTAAGATTTAAATTCATTTTCTAAATACTGCAGAAAATTTCGAGGCTTTACGGATAGAAACTTGAGGGTGTTTTATCCACTAGCGATCTAAAATGCACGGGGCTTTCGAAGCCTGAGCGCTGGGCACATATTTCTGATTTTAAAACCTGCCTATGTTCTGCGTAGTGGCTTATTGCCATTTCCCACGTACACTTTGAGAAAAACTTTATAAATACGGCTTTATTTATTGCTCCTACATTTTAAACTGTGCTTCTCTTTTTCATCATTTACTGTATTTCCATATTGAAAGCTTGTTAGCTATCTGGAAAAGTGCTTTCCCCAGGGTTCTCATTTCTCCCACGGAGTCTTCCCTTTAGGATATTTTTTTCACACTATTTTTAATCTCGTGGGGTTTTATTTTTCTTCTTTCGGTTAGAAGAGAGGCACTCTGCAAACACTTCCTCAAACTTTAGGAAAGCAAAAACATTCCTTCTGCTCAACACGGCAGAAAACAGGGTCTCTGCCCCTTGGCGCTGGGTGAGGAGTTCCCAAAGACCAGCCAGGTGCGCCCGGGGGCGCGCGCCATGGCACTCGGCTGGGGTCAGCGCTTGGCGAGCCCTCGTGCTTGCGGCGGCCTGGCGGGTCTGGAGCACCTGTGTTTGTCCTAAGCCCGCTTCTGGGTGCCCGGCCCGCCGCAGGAGCTCTGTTGCCCAGCCTTTCAGTTAACGCGCCCTCCTCCTTTGCTCGCTACAGCCATGAACAGCGGCGTGTGCCTGTGCGTGCTGATGGCGGTACTGGCGGCTGGCGCCCTGACGCAGCCGGTGCCTCCCGCAGATCCCGCGGGCTCCGGGCTGCAGCGGGCAGAGGAGGCGCCCCGTAGGCAGCTGAGGGTATCGCAGAGAACGGATGGCGAGTCCCGAGCGCACCTGGGCGCCCTGCTGGCAAGATACATCCAGCAGGCCCGGAAAGGTAAGAATGCTGCCTCCCCATCCCTCACTTCTGCCCTTGTTCCCAGGCTCCCGATGCTGACCCTCTTCTCTAGCGCTAGCCTGATGGGGATGACCTCTCTCGGTAGGAAACAAGCAACATGATTTCTGGCGGTCCTTTGTAGCAATCTGAGAAGGGGTATGGAGGACTTAATTTATAAGTAAGGGGAACCTTCTTGAAAAGCTTTCTTTGAACTAATTTTTAGCAGTGTTGCTGATTAAGTTCAACACCATTTTACCAAGCCATTAAAAGATAATTATTGAAGCCTAGGAAAGGGTTCCTAGATACAGTGAATACCCTCTACTGAAAACGCAAAGGACCTTGGAGCCACCCAGATACCAACCCTTGGAAATCCTCTAGCAGGAAGGGGTCAATGCTGAGAATGCCTGAGATCTGGCTACAACAGTTTAAAAAAGCAGTGACAATGTGTCCATTTCCACCAAAGTATGTAACAGAAGGAAAGAATCAGCAGCAGTTTTGTGTTCTCCTTGCAATGACTTACAAATTATTACCCAACAAGAGAGGTATTTGTTTTTACTTTACTGTTGCAGAGATGGTCACAGTTGTAGCAAGAGCTGAGCAAGTCAGTTTTCTCAGCATCAAAGTCTTTCTCCAGGAATAAGGTGATTCAGCAGCTCACTAGCCGAGTGGCATGCAGGCAATTCTGACCTGAGGCTAGCTTTCCCCTAAGCTCCTTCCAATTCTTTGTGTGATTCAGAGGGAGGCCCATTCATCTCTTGTGACCCATAGGAATCATGCTTTGGATTGGGGCAGCTTTTTTCTGCCAACTTTATCCCCAGTGACACTAATGATGAACACCGGCTGTGGAGCAGTGTGCTGAACAGTACAAACACAGCTGGACATTAAAAGAATTCAGCAGGCCAGGAGCAGTGGCTCACACCTGTAATCCCAGCACTTTGGGGGGCTGAGGCAGGTGGATCACATGAGGTCAGGAGTTCGAGACCAGCCTGACCAACATGGTGAAACCCCATCTCTACTAAAAATACAAAATTAGCTGGGCATGGTGGCACATGCTTGTAATCCCAGCTACACGGGAGGCTGAAGCAGGAGAGTAGCTTGAACTCGGGAGGTGGAGGTTGCAGTGAGCCGAGATTGTGCCATTGCACTCTGGCCTGAGCAACAAGAGTGAAACTGTCTAAAAAAAAAAAAAAAAAAAAAAAGAACTTAGCAAACACTGCTGGAAGGGATGTGGTAGGTGTGTTGCCTTTTCCATGAAGCTCTCTTACCCAACTGGTGTTCCAGGGCCTGGATTTGAACCTTAACCCCTGGCTTGACCAGAGAGGGATAAGATGAAGAGTTTTGGCTCTGCAGAGTTCTTCTGTGGGTTCACATGAAGGGAAGACTGGAACTCTGACCCAGAGGCTTCAGAAGGAAAGAACAAATCAGTGATTTGTTGTATTTCTTCCTGTCTTTGGGAAATTGCCCCACCCACCACCTTGTGTTTTGCTTTCCTGCTAATTAAATTGAAAAAGATAGAAATACTTCTCAGATGGAGAGAGAAAGTCTGAAAGCTTTTGAGTTCCTGCTGATTCTCTGCCTGAAAATAATTTAGTATCTGTCCCCAGATACAGGCTGAATTTCAGCCAGACCAGTCTGAAATATCCTAGGCTTTTCATTTAACTGTGGACCTGGACTCCCCTCCTCCAATTTAGGAAAGACCCTGGTTTTTCTTCTATGTAGGCTGAGGATATCTGCAAAAAGGCCTGAAATGTGCCGAATTGAGTCTTGGTTCCAAAATTGCTCTAGGGAAAAAAAAGAAAAAAAAAAAAGCTCATTACCAAATTATTTCCTAGAACCAATACTAGACAATGGCTCTTATAGCATAAATCTTAGCTGGAAAGTTCTTTCTAGTCCCTCTTCTCAGCCCCCCTCTCCCTTTGCCTTCAGCCAATTGTGCCAAACAAACCCAGGAGGGAATAGCAATCACTTGGAAATTTAGATGCCAACACCTAGGATCAACTCTAGCTAAAAAACAAGCAAACTCTTCTATGTGACAAACATGAACTAGGACTAAATACTTACACATATAGATACTGCACAGTTTCTATATGTGCAGTATATAGAATATTTTACATATTTTGAATATTTTACATATTTTGAGATCATATCAGATTTTTGCTCCACTATAGTATATATTATTCTTAAAAGTTCTAAACAAGACAATGCATTCTTTGAGCAGTACTTAAGAGTTTATCATTAGGAAATATCTGCAGCACTTTCAATGGCCCAAGAAGAAACAATTCTATTGGAGGGCAGTGGGTAAAGATATCTAGAGGCATTTAGTGTGCGCCTCCCCCATGCCCAGCAAAGCTTCAATGCTACATCTATATTGTCTTTCTCAGTACAACAGCCCTGCACAGTGAATATTATTATACCCATTTTGCCAGTGTGGAAGCTGGGGCTCTAAAAGCCTGAGTAACCTACATGCAGTTGCATATCTACGCAACAGCAGGGCTGAGACTCTATCTAGTCCTGCTCCCCCCAGGAGGGCCTGGAAGCCATTCAGCTTCCTAGCTGTACTGCCTATTCCACATTTTAAAGTTTAAAAGAGCTAAACCCTTCAGTTTTAGCAAGAGCTAAGAAAGTCACTGTTTTCTCAGCACCAAAGTCTTTCTCCAGGAATAAGGTGATTCAGCAGCCCACTAGCTGAGTGACATGCAGACAGTCCCGAGGCTAGCTTTCCAATAAGCCCCTTCCAATTCTTTGTGTGATTCAGAGGGAGGCCCGTCCATCTCTTGTGGCCCATAGGAATCAGGCTTTGATCAATTCCATACATCAGATGTAAGCCCCTACTCTATGTCAGCACTGGGAAAGTGAGTGAGGACCCTGGTAAATACACATGACATGAGGACAGAACTGTACGTGGAACGGGGAAGTCAGGGTGTGTGATAAATGCAGCTTCCATGACTGAACATGGTGCCCCCACCGTTAACTGAGGCTGCTTGCTCGTATTGAAGCTGTCACCTTGCTTCCATTAGATGGAAATTTGGGTTGTGCCCAGGCCTTAGAGTGGGCACTCATCATCACAGCAGGCAGAAGGATGGGTCATGTTTCCATGTGACTGTGTACAGGTAACTGGGTCTATAGGTTTTCCTGAATTCAAGGGTAATATTTCACCTGAATGATGAACAATTAAATAGCAGGGGCTATTTTTCTTCTACGTAGGCTGAGGATATCTGCAAAAAGACCTGAAATGTGCTGAATTGACTGTTGGTTCCAAAACTGGGAAGGGTTGGGGTTGGGGAGAGAAAGGGTGGGGACGTTGTTCTGTGTTGTTTCTGTTTTTAATTAAACTTGCTTAATTTCATTACCCAGGGTAACTGCCTTTGCATTTTCATTTATCAACACATAAGCCATAGTCTGACTCTACTCAGCCTATGGGTAGGAGCTGGCAAGGGCAGCCTCATGCAGAAGGGATATAGACCAGCATGACAGGAGGTGGGGATACAGTGGCCCCCAACACAGTGGGAGTCATTGAGTGGTCCTCCACTCCTCTACCCTTGATTTGGCCTGGGCTTTGTCCATTGAAGTCCCTGAAGGGCCTTTCTTAAGACTGAGCTTGCACAGGAGAAGGTGTTCTGCTGATTTCATACCCCAGGAGGCTTCTGTCTATGAACTTTGAGCTAGGACTGTCTCATGTCTCCAAATAAACTGCCTCTTCATGTCCCTGCTCACTCAGTGTGAGCTCTACAAAAGGATCACACTGTTCCTGAAGACTTAACTTCCATCCCAATGGGACAATTTCAGGTTCAGTTATTGCATTTTGGTCAAAATTGCTGATTTAAATCACCTTTGTTATCACCTCTCTCCCCCCCTTCTTTGAGTCTTACTGAGGTGCCAAGATTTAATCCGACAGTCTTTTTCTGAATATCATTTTTAATTGATATTGATTTATCATTAAAAATAAAATGATCATCAACTCAAAACACTTACTGATAAATGACAAAAGCTTTCTGAATATAACTTTCAAATTCATATTTTTAAAAGAGTATTTATGTAGCAAAGGAGCTTTATTTATCTATTTTTTATTATACTTTAAGTTCTGGGGTACATGTGCAGAACATGCAGGTTTGTTACATAGGTATACACATGCCATGGTGGTTTGCTGCACCCATCAACCAGTCATCTACATTAGGTATTTCCCCTAATGCTATCCCTCCCCTAACCCCCACCCCCCGATAGGCCCTGGTGTGTGATGTTCCCCTCCCTGTGTCCATGTATTCTCATTGTTCAACTTCCACTTATGAGTGAGAACATGCGGTGTTTGGTCTTCTGTTCCTGTGTTAGTTTGCTGAGAATGATGGTTTCCAGCTTCATCCATGTCCCTGCAAAGGACATGAACGCATCCTTTTTATGGCTGCATAGTACTCCATGGTGTAAATGTGCCACATTTTCTTTATCCAGTCTATCATTGATGGGCATTTAGATTGGTTCCAAGTCTTTGCTATTGTGAATAGTGCTGCAGTAAACGTACATGTGCATGTGTCTTTATAGCAGAATGGTTTATAATCCTTTGGGTATATACCCAGTAATGGGATTGCTGGGTCATATGGTATTTCTGGTTCTAGATCCTTGAGGGATTGCCACACTGTCTTCCACAATGGTTGAACTAATTTACACTCCCACCAACGATTTTTTTTTAACCATTCCAACATCAAGATATTATAATTGTGCCACCTTAATAACAAGAGCTCTCCAGGAGTCAGGAATGTTGATGGATATTAAGGGATGAATTTAGGAACAATTAAGTACTGGAAAAATCTTTGGTTGGTTTCTGCTGATGCCATCTACAAAAGGAAAACACCCATCTACCAAAAGAAAGCAAACGGTAGGGAGACTAAGGAAAATCTAGGCAAGTCCCCAGACTGCAAGGCTAGAGAAAATGAATCCACCTAAATACTTGCAGAACGCAAAGCACACCCCTAACTTGTAAATATATTGTCCTCTCTCCAGTTACACAGACATTGGTCCTTCTCCTCTCTCAGATTTTGGTCCATCAGTTCCACTACTTTGATAGCTCTTTGATACCTTTAAGGTGGTGTCTGTTATATTGCGTCTGGCTTTTTCCATTGCTCTCCTTCCCAAATTGAACTAGAGATGCTTTTAGATGCAATGTCCCTGTTTCCTTCCTCCCTGCTCCTTGTAGCTCCTTCTGGACGAATGTCCATCGTTAAGAACCTGCAGAACCTGGACCCCAGCCACAGGATAAGTGACCGGGACTACATGGGCTGGATGGATTTTGGCCGTCGCAGTGCCGAGGAGTATGAGTACCCCTCCTAGAGGACCCAGCCGCCATCAGCCCAACGGGAAGCAACCTCCCAACCCAGAGGAGGCAGAATAAGAAAACAATCACACTCATAACTCATTGTCTGTGGAGTTTGACATTGTATGTATCTATTTATTAAGTTCTCAATGTGAAAAATGTGTCTGTAAGATTGTCCAGTGCAACCACACACCTCACCAGAATTGTGCAAATGGAAGACAAAATGTTTTCTTCATCTGTGACTCCTGGTCTGAAAATGTTGTTATGCTATTAAAGTGATTTCATTCTGCCCTGTCGTTCCCTGCGTCTACTGAGGGCAAAGGGCTCCATTTGGTCCTCAGAACATGCAAGGAGGGAAGCCTGATAGATGCTACACTGGGACAAATCCTTGTAGTAGATGTCCCCAGAAAGGGCTTGGGAAATGCAGCTCAGACTTGGAGCTAACTTTGCTACAGGCCAGGTGGACAGTGAAAGGGCCATCTGTGGGCAACTCCAGAGCCCAGCCCTGGCCACCCTGATCCCCGATCTTATTTACCAATCCTACTCCCATCAGGGTTTCCTTGGGGTTCTCTTGGCCTTTAAACAAGTTACAGGCAGTAACTGGCCATGGTTTTGCATACATTTGATCACTCCATGGCTCTGTGGCACAGAAGTTATCATCCTTTCTTTACAGATGAGGAAACAGGCTCTGAAGAGTGAAAGTGACTGCCCCTTATGCCCCAGCTAAGGAGATTCACAGACTGGAGGGCTTAATGTTCCTAGGCTATCGGGACCTTCATCACTCTAGCACTTCTCCAACTGAGTGCACAGGAATCACCCGGGGAATCTTGTTAAACTGCACATTCTGATTCAACAAGTCTGGGCAGGAGCCTGAGCAAGCTCCAGGTGATGTCAATGCTGCTGGTTGCAGACCGCACTTGGAGCTGCAGTGGTGCAGATAAGAGCCTATAATCGCTTTTCCTTGAGCCCCGCCATGTTTTGGAGTTGGTGGGACTCCAAAGTGCTGGGGAGACTCTGGTAGTTATACAGAGCAGAAGCCAATCTGTCTGTTGGTTCGCTGTAGAAATCAGTGAGGGGAAATAGTCCAAGGCGACACCCAGAGATGATCCAGTACCCACCACCCCCAGTGCAACCTTTCCATGCTTCCTGCTGAGGCCTCCAAGACCCTCTGATCCTTGTCCAGCAGAGGCCCCAGGTGCCTAGTGCAACAGAACCTGGCAGCCCCCAAGGGAAATACATTGAAAACAATACTGGCAAATCTAAAACCTTACCCAGCCCGGTACCACTCGCTACTGGCACTCAGTGCCACCTTCCTTAGTGTTGGGGACAGGACACTGGGAGGGAGGCCCAGGAAGACTTGGTCAGTACAATTCTTTCACTTGAGCTGAAGTTGGGATTCAGTGTAAAACTTACTCCAAATAGGGAACACTATATTAGTCCCTCCCGAGGTACCACCTCATTCAGTCCCTACACTTGGTCTCCAAGGCTGCCTCATATCTTAGGTATCCAACCCCCATTCAGTCTAAAATATCCAGATGCCTGGGTTTTTAGTGCCACCTCCCCTTGCAAAAATCACTAGTTTTATGGGTGTATAGGGGTTATGTGCCTGTGTGTGTGTGTGTGTGTGCTGTTTGTGTATTGGGGATGGGGGATGAGTGAAGGACTTGGAATTTAATATAGAATCAGCAGTGGGGAATGGATGGTGAAAGTCTGATCTAAATTACTGATTTATGAATCATCAAGGAAGTGGGTGTTAAAATACCATTTTCAAAGGTAAAGTCATGACTCATACAACACAAAATGAACATATGTCAAAGATATCATTTAACTCATCAATTAATAAAGGAACCAGTAAGATGTCACAATCATTTCAAAGCAGAATCTGAAGGATAGACATGTGTAGACAGCCAGGAATGCTAACAGAGAGAAAACTGGTTCATATCCATAGGTCAAGAAACTACACTGTTTGGAATAATCTGTTATCCATAACAGAAGTTACTTGTATCATTAGAGGACAATATTCACTTATGTTTCTTTAGGTTTTGGGGTTTTTTGTTTTTGTTTTTTGAGACAGGGTCTCGGCTCTGTTGCCCAGGCTAGAGTGCAGTGGCACAATCACAGCTCATTGCAGCCTCAACCTCCCAGGCTCAAGCAATCCTCCCACTTCAGCTTCCCAAGTAGCTGACACTATAGGTGTGTGCACCACTCCCAGCTAATTTTTGTACTTTTTAGAGAGATGGGGTTTTGCTATGTTGCTCAGGTTGGTCTCAGACTCCTGAGCTCAAGCAATCCACCTGCCTCTGCCTTCCAAAGTGCTGGGATTACAGGCGTGAGCCACCACACTTATGTTTTGATAGGCAAGAATTGTTTGCATTTCTATCAGTTTTCCAGGGATTATAAGTCACCCAGTCAAAGACACAGACCCCAGCAGCATCAGATAAATGCCCAGTGTTCCACTGAAAGGACACCCAGTCATCCCCTTTGCCCACTTCCAAGCCTTTCACAACTTCTTCTAATGCAGGAAAGGGAAAGGAAAGAACATTCCTGGCCTCCTCTTGGGTGCTGTACAAAGATTCTCACAAGCATCAACCTAGGAGACAGTCCCAATCCTGCAAGGTAATCATGATTCCACTCCTCCAAGAGGAAACAGGAGCTCAGAGAGGTTAAGTGTCTTGGAGGTGCACATGCTGCCCACAAACGGCAGTGCCAGGATATAAGCAGCTGGTTCTGGAACTTCTCTATGAAAGGACTTAGAGCCACCATCTGGCAGAGAAGGGCCTCTGAGCCTTGTCTGGAAGCTGCACCTACACAATGAAGGTGGAATCAGCATGTGTGATCATGTGTGGAGTCTTGGAGGGGGCCTGATGGAGCTCCCTGGGCAGGGGAGGCAGAGAGCCTAAAGACCTGTCCCCCTAATGCTTTCAGTGCCATGCTGGATTTAGGACAGCACCTTTTAACTGCAGGGGCCCTGCTCTTATCTCTATGCCACCTGCTGTTGCAGGGTCCCTGGAACCAGGACATGAAACCCAGGACTTCCTCAGCCGTTTCTCAGGGGTCCACATCAGGCTTCTGCAACTAAGCTGAGCAACTCTTACAGAGAAGCCAGCCACTCCTAAACTCCACTTTAAAGAGGCCAGAACTCACACAACCACAAAGCCATGCCCGCTGCCCTGCCCTCCTCCTCCTCCTCCTCCTCCTCTACCCAGCTGTGTGATCCTAGGCAAGATCACTCCCAACCTTTTCCCCCTCCATCCCTCTTCCCCTCGCTAACCATTCTTTTCCTGCTAGCTGTCCTGGAATCCCTTGGGCTTGCAGGAACTCCACCCAGGCCATATCCCTCTACAGCTATTCCTGCTGTTTGTGTCCTCAGCTCTGCCAATTAAGGTTGCTCAGAAGCTTCCTTTTTGTTGACCCACTGGAATTTAAAAGCTGAAGAGAGCAATGGCTATCACTCTGGCTCAGCCCACACCCTACCCTACCTCCACTCCCATTTTACAAATAATAAACTTGCCCAAGATCACACAATGAATTAGTGACGGAACCTGCAGCTTTCTCTGGAATTAACTCCTTGCCAGGCTGAGACATGAAGAATTGCCTGGTAGTCCCTGCATTCGCTGATACCTCTGGACCTTTGGCTTAGGAGATCTGACCTGCCCTGACCCGCAATTACTAACATCTCCATGTGGCCAGCAGCCAGAGGGTGGACAAGATTCACTCTCCCAAGATTTGCTTCACCAAAACCAGGCTGTAAGACATCTGACCCACAAATGAGGGAATCTTTACTTAATTTGTCAGCAACCTACTGAACCCAAATGGCAATCTTTGCTCTCAGGCTCAGCCAAACCCAGGTATAAGGAAAGAAAAATGGAAGAAAGACAGTATAAGTTCATTCTTACTTTTAACATATAACCACAAAAAAACGCCCCCAGCTTTTTTTGTTGACTCTGCTTTGAAGTGCCAAAGGAAAGAATCCTGATCACTTTGCTAGATTTCCAGAGACTGTGAATATTTTTTTCCAGCATCTTCAAATTATGGCTAGTCCTGAAGATAAATAAAGCATAAGTCAAGCAGAAAGAGAGAAAATCGTTGCCTCACTAATTTCCCCTGTGTTCTAGGTTCCAAAAACATCTCTCACCAGATAGTAAAATGATCTGTTTGTGTCTGTCTCCTGCTCTGATCTATATCTTCCCACAGAACTAGGATCAGGGGGTCCCAGATGAGAATGCACCTGCCCTGGACTCCCCACCATCCCCAAGGCCCACACTGGACAGACCTCCCCCAGACAGCCTCATCATCACCCCCACCTCTCTAACTTCATCTCATCACTGCCCTCTTCACTCACTTCACTCCAGCCTCACTGCATTCTTTGCTATTCCTTCAAAACACAAAACTCACTCCTAAGTCAGAGCCTTCGCACCACTGTTCCCTCTGCCCGGCTCACTCTCCCTCCCAAAAGCACGGCTGGACCTGTCAGCTCATTCAACCCCAAAATTACCTGCTCAAAGAGGCTGTCCTGACCATCCTCTCTGAAAAGGTTCCTCTGAACTGGGCACAATGGCCCATGCCTATAGTCCCAGCTATTCGAGAGACTGAGGTGGGAGGATCACTTGAGCCAAGAAGTTGAAGTCCAGCCTGGGCAACATAGCGAGACATTATTTCTAAAAAAAAAAAAATTCTTTTAAGAAACAAAAATTTCCTCCATTACCCTCTCTCCCCTTCCCTGCTTTACTTTTCTTCGCATGTTTATCATCTCTTGGAATTACATTGTATATGTATTTATTCATTGATTCTGTCTCACCAATGAATACAGAACACCAAAGTTCTGTCAACTCTATTAGGACAGGGATTTTCATCTGCTGTGTTTATTGCTATATTCCTAACACTTAATACAGGGTTGGCACATAGTAGATACTCAGAAAATATTCACTTAATTAATTAGTTCATTAATTAATCAATTAGGGAAAAATCTGTCAGGATCCCCGCTACTCAGGTCACAGACTGGCTTTAGAAGCAGTTTCATCAGACCATTTGTTTTAAAAATCAGAGAAGTAAAGCAGGCTCAGTGACACGGCCAAGTCCCCCCAAGATAGGCATAAATTGGAAAACAGAGCACTCACACAAAAAAATGGCTGGCAGCGTGCACGGCATCTGTGGAGAGTGGTGGTATGCACTAAAGTACACCCACCCAAACGCGCGCACACTCACACACATGCACATCCAGCCCTATTTCTTTTGCTGCAGTTAAAATCCAGAATGGTGGCCGGCGCAATGGCTCACGCCTGTAATCCAGCACTGTGGGAGGCCAAGATGGGCGGATCATCTGAGGTCAGGAGTTTGAAACCAGCCTGACCAACGTGGAGAAACCCCATCTCTACTAAAAATACAAAATTAGCTGGACTTGGTGGTGCATGCCTGTAATCCCAGCTACTCGGGAGGCTGAGGCAGGAGAATCACTTGAACCTGGTAGGTGGAGGTTGCAGCGAGCCGAGATCGCACCATTGCACTCCAGCCTGGGCAACAAGAGTGAAACTCCACCTAAAAAAAAAAAAAAAAAAAAAAAATCCAGAAAGGCTTGACAATCTCAAAGAAGGAAAAAGAGGAGCATTGATGATGTTCATTGCATTTACTCAGAATATTAGAGAAGTGGAAACAACCTAAGTGTTCCACAGTGAGGGGTAGCTGTTAAGGAAATTAATGTACATAGAATTAGTTAAGTGCATCCATTTAATCAAGCAGTTATTTAAGTGATGAGTATGAGGACAATGTAGAAACACTGAAAATAATCGTGACCCATGTAAAGTGAAAAGGTCCTCTCAGCTCATTCAACCTCATATTAAGTTTATTTTCCAATGAATGAGATTATGTGAAAATGATGATAGTCATGCCAGGGTTATAGGATCACAGGTGCTTTTCTTTCTCTTCTCCAAATTACTTGTAATATTTGTAGATTGTCCTTATAACAACCATAGCGCATGTTCTCTAGGCTGTGCCAGTCTACAGTGAAACACAGAATCATAAGAACAGCCATAAAAATAGTTCTTCAACCACTTCGTTTGCCAAGGAAACAATTCAATTCTCCTCAGATGATTTTGCCAGTCGCCGAGGTTTGTGTGTGTGGCCACCCACAGTGTCCATCCTTTCCAGTTCCTTGGTTCTCTCTCACTAAAGCCATGAAGCCCCCTGAAAATGTCACCTCTGCTGGCAGAAAGTAGTTTTCCATCTGCTGTGCACACCTCTAGGTTTTGGACCAGTGTCTACTGTCTTCTGGTGCCTTCCGTCCTCAGTATGGGAGCCTGGGCCACACTACTGCCATTTTGTTCTCACCTGACAGGGTCTCAACAGCATCCTGCAGGGCCTGGATGCCATGGGAACCTCTCTGATAAGCAGTTATTGCCAAAGAGACCAGTTGCCCCAGCCAAGTGACTATGCTGCCACCCCTCAGAGTGGAAGTCCTTTTTCTGCTCACAGGTTTCCAGAAACACCATTGGCCTATGAAGGTCACTTTGTAGTCTGAAATCTCTGCATTTACCTTATAAATAGAAAATGATAGATTCAGTCACATGGGTAGTCCATTCTTCACACCGAGTGGCAACCTTTAGGCTCAACAAGGTAGGGATAATACAGAAGGGCCACAAGTTCAGCTGCTAGGATGGAACCATACCCTCTATCAGGAGAACTGTATCAGTTCCTTTAGAACAGATTTGCTTCTATGAATTCTTTTAGTTTTCCTTCATCTGAGAATGTCTTTATTTTGCCTTCATCCCTAAAGGATATTTTTGCTGGATTTTGAATTCTAGGTTAACAGTTATTTTCTTTCAGCACTTTATAAATACTGTATCACAGGCTTGGATTGGTGGCTCACACCTGTAATCCCAGCACTTTGGGAAGCCAAGGTGGATGGATTGCTTGAGCTCAGGAGTTCGAGACCAGCCTGGGCAACATAGTGAAACCCAGTCTCTACAGAAAATACCAAAATTAGCTGGGCATGGTGGTGCATGTGGCTGTAGTCCCAGCTACTTGGGGTGCTGAGACAAGAGGATCACTTGAGCCTGGGAGGTTGAGGCTATAGTGAGCCGTGTTTGCACCACTGCACTCCAGCCTGGGAAACAGAGTGAGACCCTTTCTTAAAAAATAATAAATAAATAAATAAATAAATAAATAAATAAATAAATAAAATACTGTATCACTACCTAAGGCCTTCATGGTTTCTGATGAGAAACCTGCAGTCATTCATATCATTGTGCCCCACAGATAATGAGTCATTTTTCTCTGGCTACTTTCAAGATTTTTGCTTTGTCTTTAGCTTTCAGTAGTTTGATTATGATGTGTCTGGATGTAGATTTCTTTGTGTTTACCCTGTTGGGGGTTTATTCAAGTCTTGAAGGTGTAAGTTTATATCTTTCACCAAACTTGGGACATTTAAAAACATTATTTAAATGTTTTTCAGCATCACTGTCTTTCATCTCCCTTCCTGGGCTCTTGATGACATAAATGGTAGACCTTTTGTTGTTGTTGCATATGTCAGAGAGGCCTGTTCTTTTTTTTTATTCTATTTTTTGTCTCTATGGTTTACAGTGAATAATTTCTATTTATCTACTTTTAAGTTCACTGACTCTTTCTTCTATCATTTCCATTCTGGTAATGAGTCCACCAGTGAATTTCTTGGTTTGGTTCTGATATTTCTAAGTTCTCAAATTTCCACTTATATCTTCTATTTCCGTACTAAGATTTTGTATGTTAATATTTGTTTCAAGAATATTCACAATTGCTCATTTGAGCACTTTTATAATAGCTGCTTCAAAGCCTTTGTCTTCTAATTCCAACATCTGTGAAATCTCATCATTTGTGTCTGTGGATTGTCTTTTTCAAAGAAAATTGGGGTGGGATGGGGAGCAGCTGGAGAACGACACAGAACCTGCAATGCACAGCAGGGGGATAAAGGCGAAGGTAACCTAAATTGTTATGGTTCTTTGTATGCTCAGTATTTTTTTATTTTATCCTGAACAATTTAGATATTATTTGGTGAGACTCTGGATCTTGTTTAAATATTACGAAAAATGTTAATATTTTGTTTTAGCAGGTGATGGACATGGTTAGGTTCAGTTTGCAAGTTCCAACCCACCTTCTGTGCGCTGTGATGTCAACATCCACTCAGTTTTCAAACTGCTTTTTGTCTCCATTTCAGGTGTGCACCACCCAGAAGCCAGTCTAGGAACCAGGTGATGACCTCTCTATTACTTCAGTTCTCAAAGGTCTTGGTATCCTCATTAAAACCAGATCCAAACATGTATGGCTTGGAAGTGAGCCCTGGAATTCATAAATAACTGTATGGAGTCACTTCCCTGAGCTCCACCCTCTCTGTAATCTCCCTGGTACTCTCAGTTCCCTGAGGCTCCCCTTTTTGATCCTCCACCCCAAATTGGGGTTCTGGTTACTCTGTTCTACACACGTCTATGTTTGTAGCCCATGTTCAGATCCAAGTGGCAGTAGAAGAGAGAGAGACAAAAATATCAATGGAAGCTAGTCTCACCCACCGTGGGATCACAGTTCTTCTGAAAAAAGAACAAGTTTACACTGCCTCAGTTTTGGCTCCTGTCAGTCCCGTTACTGACTGCTGACCCTACAGGTGTGGGTTTGCCCAGGGCCTGTGGCATGAGAAACAGAAAAAGATAATAATTTTTTTGAAAAAGAGAAGAGAGAGAGAATGGTCATGATCTCTCTGGACATTAGGAGTTCCCCTTTTCACTCCTTGGGCCAGAACTAAAGAACTTCTCCTGGAGCTGTCTGTGCCCCAGATCCCACTTCCAGTTTCTAGCTCTGTTAAGTTCAAACCAAGGGATACAAGAGTGGGGAAAGTGATAAACTCACTACTGGTTTGATGTACTTCAAATTCTGTGTTCTTCACCAATATTCCTTCTGCTGTTTTCTTTTCACCGTCCTCAAATAGCTGTTCTAAACTTTCTCTCCTGGAGTTATGACCAACAGAAATGATGGTTGGAGTGCACTTATCCCATCTTACCTAGAATCAGAACACCAGTGTCTTTCAATATAGAAATTTCACAATGAAATCCCATCTTCTTCTGAAAATCTGGCAATGATGAGCCTGCATTTCTGCATGGTGACAATGTGGAGGCCAACACTTGGCTGCCCCTCTAGACAGGCATGCCCTCTCTCACAGGCCAGTCTCACACATTTGTGTTATATTTGCAACCCCAGCTTCGGGAGACATTGAAACCAACCACTTCCAAAAGGTAACCACGTGGGCACCACTCAGCTTCAGCCATGCAGCTGCCTCTTGGTTCATTAGGTCTTTCTACGGCCAGCTCTTTCCTGCCTCCCCAGCCTCTGGCCCAGGTTCATCTCTCCAAGCCCTGGCTGAAGCCTCTTCTGCCCTGATCCACCCTGCCTTGGGGTCCTTGCTTTGATCTTCTGTCAACTCCCTTCCTTTCCCTTTTCCTTAGCTTCTCTCCCTCCTGCCATTCACCCAAGACTTCAGCCCAATCTGAGCAATTGGGTCCGGCTGTGCCCGCCTAGACTCCTTCTCTGTCTGTCCACCTGCCACCTATCTTTGAGAAAGGCACCAGCCACAGCCTTCAGGGCTTCCCTGCCTTTTCTCAGCCTTCCAGGGCCTGGCAATTTCTGCTGAAACTCTAATATCTTGCTGAAATATTAGGTCAAGAGGTACTGAAATGTTAAGACCCAGTAACTCATGGCATAAGGCTCTTCTCTAAGAATGGGTGGTTTATTTTATTATCTTAGTTTTGGGTTCTTTCATATATGTGATTCCCAAGACGTTTCTGGTTTGGAAAATCTCCAGAGGGAATAAGAGTTACTGACAAGTGGAAAGAGTCACATCTAATCAAGCTCTAAGACTAGCATCTTTCTATCTTTTCCTTCCTGTGGCTCACATGCCAGTCTGGGCAAATAGAAACAGACACAATCAGCAGTTGTTCAAGCCTTACCTGCCCCAACTCCCCTGGACTGCTGCTGGAATGACTTCAACATGCATGATCTTTCTCTGAGTCCCACTCCAGAAAGGATTGTACTGCTCTCCTGCATCAACTTTTGTGGACTGTTTCAAGCCCTTCGCTGTCTCACCAGCATGCACTGAAATGCACCTGTATGCCAGGAACTGTGTTGATTTAGCAGGTACAGAGACACAGCCAAGTGGGAGATTCAGAAAAGTTGAGTGGCAGTACAATAAAACAAGAACTAGGACAGGTAATGTGCAGAGGCTGGAAGAAAGCTGAATGGCAGAGCTGACTGAATGAAGGGGAGGCCAACCAGGTGGCTGCCTAGTGTGCCAGTCTCTAAGAGACCTCTAATCACCACTGTAGCAAACCGAAACCTGGGTGTCAGTGAAGTTTTTCACATGCAGTAACTAACCTAACGGGAAAAAAATACGTCGGTTCTACCCTGACAGAAGACGACAGCGCCCTCAAGTGGAAATTTTAGAAAACACTCCTCCGGGTGCCAGCTTCTCTCTGTTGAGGATTTTAGCTGTACAGTATTTTCACCCTTATCCATGGGGGATACGTTCCAAAACCGCAGGTGGATGTCTGAAACTGCGGGTGGTACTGAACCTTATACATCCTGTGTTTTTTAGATCTGATAACCGAAACAGCTACTAAGTAACTAATGAGTGGATAGCATATGCAGCATGGATCTTGCTGGACAAAGGGAGGATTTATTTCCCAGGCAGGACGGAGCAAGCAGGCACAAGATTTCATCACACTACTCAAAACAGTACTCAATTTAAAACTTATGAATTGTTTATTTCTTGGATTCTCCATTTAATGTCTTCAGACCACAGCTGACCATGTGTCACTGAAATCACAGAAAGCAAAATAGCAGATAATGGGAAGCTACTGTATACACATTGAAATTTGCAGGATTCTGGTCTATTTCTCGTTGCTACCCAGTCAGCTGAAATTTTGAAACCAGATAATTTTAGGCATGGGACTATTTTCTAAGAATAGGTAGTTTATTTCATTATTTTACTTTTGAACTTTTAACAGAGCTACCAAAAGTCTTCCAGGTTTGGAACATCACCCCATGAAACTGAAAAGAGAACAAAGAAGACTGACAAGTGAAATGCTTTTTGTAGAATAAGAACTCAAAAAATAAAAAGGAACTCTTAGGGGTATTTTGAAGACAACTTGGTAACTATGGTTACCTCTAATTAGTGAGCACCTTATGCTTTCCAGATTTGAGTGAAGAAAAGCAGAAAGAAAAAAACAATTCCAAATAAGCAAAAATGTTAAGTTCCATCGAGTACATGTAATCATGTATTTTGAACATAAAATCAAGATACAGAAGTTTGTTAATAGCAAATCAACTCCCCACCTTCACCTTCACCTCCTGTGTTTCTCCCTGCATAGCAACGACTCATAAACCAAAATTGGGAGTTATGAAAGTCTCCTCAAAGGAGGGGATGCCAGAGGTCAGGGTGCAGGAAGACAGGCAGCGCACTATAGAGGCAGCCTGACACGGGAGTCCTAACTGTGGCTGAATTAGGGTGAAACTGTCCAAATGAATGCCTCCTGTTCTATACTGGACACTGGGGATAGGATGAACCTTACTTTTGCTTCCTATCAGAAGTACTGAATTGGGACTCCGTAATTACTGGGATTTGAACTTGGGCAGAGAGAGAAGCTCCAAGGGAAACTGTTCTGGGTCTACCTCAGGTTTCCTATGAGAAGCCACAACACAAAAAACACACCCATGTACAGGGAAGAAGAGAAGAAGAGGATTCTACTGCACACACCGTGCCCTCAGACTCTCCCAGACCTGAGACCATTGTCAAAGCCCTATCTTCTAGTCAGAACAAGTCTCCAGCTGAATCCAGGCTGAGACATGCTTCTAACAGGAGGGAGGAAGGCTCTTGTCTCTCTGAGGGATTTCTCCACTTCAGGGGAGAAAGATTTCATCTACAATTAGTAAACTAACAAGACAGGTTTCCAGTGAATATTGGCCACAGTGTGCAGAATAAAATGGTTATCTTA
Organism: Homo sapiens; assembly: GCF_000001405.40. Lineage (NCBI taxonomy): Eukaryota > Metazoa > Chordata > Mammalia > Primates > Hominidae > Homo > Homo sapiens. The sequence goes on along the minus strand of NC_000003.12, from coordinate 42,246,109 downwards.
TTCTTTCTGGAAAAGAATGGTGGAGTTGGAACCTGGATAAGACAAACTTTGGCATATATGAGAACCCCCAAAGTTTTTCATTTTTTTATTCATTCATTCATTCAAAAGCTATTTACTGAAATGATCATGGTCCAGGCACTGTGCTGAGCACTAAAGATGCTGAAATGAGAGACAAACAGACTGACATCAGGGCTTTCTCATTCTAGTGGGAGGAGACAGATCTGTTCCAAAGGCAAAGCTGTAGGGATCATTTTCACTTGGATGGCTAACAGGCATCTCAATCTCAATATATCCAAATGAACTCTTGACTTTCCCTTCAAATTTCCTCTACCTAATGCCTTCCCCAACTCAGTTGATGGCAGCTCCATCCTTCCCATTGCTCAGGCCCAAATCCTTGGAACAATCTTTGACTCCCCCCTTCCCTTTACACCTTTCATCTAATCCATCAGCATATCTTGTCGGCTTCAAAATGTGTTTAGAATCCACTTACTTTTCACCACTTCCACTGTTGCCACCTTGGTCTGGGCCATTACTCTCCCTCCCCCTGGATTACTGTAAAAGCCTCCTAACTAGTCTTCCCACTTCCACCCTACAGTTTATATAGGTAATCACAACAATGCATTATAGTCCCTGTTTCTGAACAGGTCATGAGGCCATACTTGGTAATCATTATTTCCTTGCTTCACTACGCCTTCCATGTTCCTTGCAAGTTCACATATGCTCGGCCACCTATGGTTCAGATCTTTCTGAAATGAAAATTTGTATTCCTCCCACTGAGTAAAGAATTCTGAGCAGCTGAGGACAAAGGGAACATGAAATAGGTGGTAGAGGAGTGAAGTCACAATTACTAATCAGTAACAAGGACTACCACTCTGGCTTTTGTTCAAACTAGGGAATGCAGAGAATTACTTAAACTGGTGTTGGAAGACTGAAAAAGCAAAAAGGAACATTGAGATAACATAGTACTCGCAGTGGCAGGAATCAGAGTCCTTGCCTCTCTAGGGCTGGAGGAACAAAGCGAAATGGTTGGGATTAATACATTGAGAAGCTTAGAGGAGTGGCACGGAGCAGGTGGAACCCAAAGCTCTGAGGCTAGCGTGTTACCCGGCTGTTGTCACTGAGCAGGGCAGGGGGAAGGTGTGATAAGGTACATTCTAGGAATGAGGGGAAAACTACAGACCAAAACCAAATGCTGTTGTTGGGTGAAGGAGTTGCTGGGAGGACACTGACCGGAACAGCACACAGACAGGAAGAAACATGTCTCCTCTCTCTCCTCCGGCCCCCAGTGATGTCCCTATTGGCAGCTTCTGACGTGGAAGCGTGGTACAGTCCTAGCCCCAGGAGGGCATAAAATGGTGAATTTGGAGATAAGAGATAATAACTTAATAACAGGCACAATTGGTTTTCCCTTACTTTTTTTTTACATCTGGGTATAGACTATTCAAGTTTTCTTTTTTTTAATTATTTTATTATTATTATACTTTAAGTTTTAGGGTACATGTGCCCAATGTGCAGGTTAGTTACATATGTATGCATGTGACATGCTGGTGTGCTGCACCCATTAACTCGTCATTTAGCATTAGGTATATCTTCTGATGCAATCCCTCCCCCCTACCCCCACCCCACAACCGTCCTGAGTGTGATGTTCCCCTTCCTGTGTTCATGTGTTCTCACTGTTCAATTCCCACCTATGAGTGAGAACATGTGGTGTTTGGTTTTTTGTCCTTGCAATAGTTTACTGAGAATGATGGTTTCCAATTTCATCCATGTCCCTACAAAGTACATGAGCTCATCATTTTTTATGGCTGCATAGTATTCCATGCTGTATATGTGCCACATTTTCTTAATCCAGTCTATCATTGTTGGACATTTAGGTTGGTTCCAAGTCTTTGCTATTGTGAATAGTGCCGCAATAAACATACGTGTGCATGTGTCTTTATAGCAGCATGATTTATAGTCCTTTGGGTATATACCCGGTAATGGGATGGCTGGGTCAAATGGTATTTCTAGTTCTAGACCCCTGAGGAATCGCCACACTGACTTCCACAATGGTTGAACTAGTTTACAGTCCCACCAACAGTGTAAAAGTGTTCCTATTTCTCCACATCCTCTCCAGCACCTGTTGTTTCCTGACTTTTTAATGATTGCCCTTCTAACTGGTGTGAGATGGTATCTCATTGTGGTTTTGATTTGCATTTCTCTGATGGCCAGTGATGATGAGCATTTTTGCATGTGTTTTTTGCCTGCATAAATGTCTTCTTTTGAGAAGTGTCTGTTCATGTCCTTCACCCACTTTTTGATGGAGTTGTTTGTTTTTTTCTTGTAAATCTGTTTGACTTAATTGTAGATTCTGGATATTAGCCCTTTGTCAGATGAGTAGGTTGCGAAAATTTTCTCCCATTTTATAGGGTGCCTGTTCAGTCTGATGGTAGTTTCTTTTGCTGTGCAGAAGCTCTTTAGTTTAATTAGATCCCATTTGTCAATTTTGGCTTTTGTTGCCATTGCTTTTGGTGTTTTAGACATGAAGTCCTTGCCCATGCCTATGTCCTGAATGGTAATGCCTAGGTTTTCTTCTAGGGTTTTTATGGTTTTAGGTCTAACGTTTAAGTCTTTAATCCATCTTGAATTGATTTTTGTATAAGGTGTAAGGAAGGGATCCAGTTTCAGCTTTCTACATATGGCTAGCCAGTTTTCCCAGCACCATTTATTAAATAGGGAATCCTTTCCCCATTGCTTGTTTTTGTCAGGTTTGTCAAAGATCAGATAGTTGTAGATATGTGGCATTATTTCTGAGGGCTCTGTTCTGTTCCATTGATCTATATCTCTGTTTTGGTACCAGTACCATGCTGTTTTGGTTACTGTAGCCTTGTAGTATAATTTGAAGTCAGGTAGCGGGATGCCTCCAGCTTTGTTCTTTTGGCTTAGGATTGACTTGGCAATGAGGGCTCTTTTTTGGTTCCATATGAACTTGAAAGTAGTTTTTTCCAATTCTGTGAAGAAAGTCATTGGTAGCTTGATGGGTATGGCATTGAATCTATAAATTACCTTGGGTATTATGGCCATTTTCACGATATTGATTCTTCCTACCCATGAGCATGGAATGTTCTTCCATTTGTTTGTATCCTCTTTAATTTCATTGAGCATTGGTTTGTAGTTCTCCTTGAAGAGGTCCTTCACGTCCCTTGTAAGTTGGATTCCTAGGTATTTTATTCTCTTTGAAGCAATTGTGAATGGGAGTTCACTCATGATTTGGCTCTCTGTTTGTCTGTTATTGGTGTATAAGAATGCTTGTGATTTTTGTATATTGATTTTGTATCCTGAGACTTTGCTGAAGTTGCTTATCAGCTTAAGGAGATTTTGGGCTGAGACAATGGGGTTTCCTAGATATACAATCATGTCATCTGCAAACAGGGACAATTTGACTTCCTCTTTTCCTAATTGAATACACTTTATTTCCTTCTCCTGACTAATTGCCCTGGACAGAACTTCCAACACTATGTTGAATAGGAGTGGTGAGAGAGGGCATCCCTGTCTTGTGCCAGTTTTCAAAGGGAATGCTTCCAGTTTTTGCCATTCAGTATAATATTGGCTGTGGGTTTGTCATAGATAGCTCTTATTATTTTGAGATACGTCCCGTCAATACTGAATTTATTGAGAGTTTTTAGCATGAAGGTTGTTGAATTTTGTCAAAGGCCTTTTCTGCATCTATTGAGATAATCATGTGGTTTTTCTCTTTGGTTCTGTTTATATGCTGGATTACATTTATTGATTTGTGTATATTGAACCAGCCTTGCATCCCAGGGATGAAGCCCACTTGATCATGGTGGATAAGCTTTTTGATGTGCTGCTGGATTTGGTTTGCCAGTATTTTATTGAGGATTTTTGCATCAATGTTCATCAAGGATATTGGTCTAAAATTCTCTTTTTTGGTTGTGTCTCTGCCCGGCTTTGGTATCAGGATGATGCTGGCCTCATAAAATGAGTTAGGGAGGATTCCCTCTTTTTCTATTGATTGGAATAGTTTCAGAAGGAATGGTACCAGTTCCTCCTTGTACCTCTGGTAGAATTCAGCTGTGAATCCATCTGGTCCTGGACTCTTTTTCGTTGGTAAGTTATTGATTATTGCCACAATTTCAGAGCCTGTTATTGGTCTATTCAGATATTCAACTTCTTCCTGGTTTAGTCTTGGGAGGGTGTATGTGTCGAGGAATTTATCCATTTCTTCTAGATTTTCTAGTTTATTTGCGTAGAGGTGTTTGTAGTATTCTCTGATGGTAGTTTGTATTTCTGCAGGATCAGTGGTGATATCCCCTTTATCATTTTTTATTGCATCTATTTGATTCTTCTCTCTTTTTTTCTTTATTAGTCTTGCTAGCGGTCTATCAATTTTGTTGATCCTTTCAAAAAACCAGCTCCTGGATTCATTAATGTTTTGAAGGGTTTTTTGTGTCTCTATTTCCTTCAGTTTTGCTCTGATTTTAGTTATTTCTTGCCTTCTGCTAGCTTTCGAATGTGTTTGCTCTTCCTTTTCTAGTTCTTTTAATTGTGATATTAGGGTGTCAATTTTGGATCTTTCCTGCTTTCTCTTGTGGGCATTTAGTGCTATAAATTTCCCTCTACACACTGCTTTGAATGTGTCCCAGAGATTCTGGTATGTTGTGTCTTTGTTCTCATTGGTTTCAAAGAACATCTTTATTTCTGCCTTCATTTTGTTATGTACCCAGTAGTCATTCAGGAGCAGGTTGTTCAGTTTCCATGTAGTTGAGCAGTTTTGAGTGAGTTTCTTAATCCTGAGTTCTAGTTTGATTGCACTGTGGTCTGAGAGACAGTTTGTTATAATTTCTGTTCTTTTACATTTGCTGAGGAGAGCTTTACTTCCAAGTATGTGGTCAATTTTGGAATAGGTGTGGTGTGGTGCTGAAAAAAATGTATATTCTGTTGATTTGGGGTGGAGAGTTCTGTAGATGTCTATTAGGTCCGCTTGGTGCAGAGCTGAGTTCAATTCCTGGGTATCCTTGTTAACTTTCTGTCTTGTTGATCTGTCTAATGTTGACAGTGGGGTGTTAAAGTCTCCCATTATTATTGTGCAGGAGTCTAAGTCTCTTTGTAAGTCACTCAGGACTTGCTTTATGAATCTGGGTGCTCCTGTGTTGGGTGCATATATATTTAGGATAGTTTGCTCTTCTTGTTGAATTGATCCCTTTACCATTATGTAATGGCCTTCTTTGTCTCTTTTGATCTTTGTTGGTTTAAAGTCTGTTTTATCAGAGACTAGGATTGCAACCCCTGCCTTTTTTTGTTTTCCATTTGCTTGGTAGCTCTTCCTCCATCCTTTTATTTTAAGCCTATGTGTGTCTCTGCATGTGAGATGGGTTTCCTGAATACAGCACACTGATGGGTCTTGACTCTTTATCCAATTTGCCAGTCTGTGTCTTTTAATTGGAGCATTTAGTCCATTTACATTTAAAGTTAATATTGTTATGTGTGAATTTGATCCTGTCATTATGATGTTAGCTGGTTATTTTGCTCGTTAGTTGATGCAGTTTCTTCCTAGTCTCGATGGTCTTTACAATTTAGCATGATTTTGCAGTGGCTGGTACCGGTTGTTCCTTTCCGTGTTTAGTGCTTCCTTCAGGAGCTCTTTTAGGGCAGGCCTGGTGGTGACAGAATCTCTCAGCATTTGCTTGTCTGTAAAGTATTTTATTTCTCCTTCACTTATGAAGCTTAGTTTGGCTGGATATGAAATTCTGGTTTGAAAATTCTTTTCTTTAAGAATGTTGAATATTGGCCCCCACTCTCTTCTGGCTTGTAGAGTTTCTGCCGAGAAATCCGCTGTTAGTCTGATGGGCTTCCCTTTGAGGGTAACCCGACCTTTCTCTATGGCTGCCCTTAACATTTTTTCCTTCATTTCAATTTTGGTGAATCTGACAATTATGTGTCTTGGAGTTGCTCTTCTCGAGGAGTATCTTTGTGGCGTTCTCTGTATTTCCTGAATCTGAATGTTGGCCTGCCTTGCTACATTGGGGAAGTTCTCCAGGATAATATCCTGAAGAGTGTTTCCCAGCTTGGTTCCATTCTCCCCGTCACTTTCAGGTACACCAATCAGACGCAGATTTGGTCTTTTCATATAGTCCCATATTTCTTGGAGGCTTTGTTCATTTCTTTTTATTCTTTTTTCTCTAAACTTCCCTTCTCGCTTCATTTCATTCATTTCATCTTCCATCACTGATACCCTTTCTTCCAGTTGATCGCATCGGCTCCTGAGGCTTCTGCATTCTTCACGTAGTTCTCGAGCCTTGGCTTTCAGCTCCATCAGCTCCTTTAAGCACTTCTCCGTATTGGTTATTCTAGTTATACATTCTTCTAAATTGTTTTCAAACTTTTTAACTTCTTTGCCTTTGGTTTGAATTTCCTCCGGTAGCTCGGAGTAGTTTGATCATCTGAAGCCTTCTTCTCTCAACTCATCAAAGTCATTCTCCACCAAGCTTTGTTCTGTTGCTGGTGAGGAACTGCATTCCTTTGGAGGAGGAGAGGTGCTCTGCTTTTTAGAGTTTCCAGTTTTTCTGCTCTGTTTTTTCCCCATCTTTGTGGTTTTATCTACTTTTGGTCTTTGATGATGGTGATGTACAGTTGGGTTTTTGGTGTGGATGTCCTTTCTGTTTGTTAGTTTTCCTTCTAACAGACAGGACCCTCAGCTGCAGGTCTGTTGGAGTTTGCTAGAGGTCCACTCCAGACCCTGTCTGCCTGGGTATCAGCAGCGGTGGCTGCAGAACAGCGGATTTTCGTGAACCGCGAATGTTGCTGTCTGATCGTTCCTCTGGAAGTTTTGTCTCAGAGGAGTACCCGGCCGTGTGAGGTGTCAGTCTGCTCCTACTGGGGGGTGCCTCCCAGTTAGGCTGCTCGGGGGTCAGGGGTCAGGGATCCACTTGAGGAGGCAGTCTGCCAGTTCTCAGATCTCCAGCTGCATGCTGGGAGAACCACTGCTCTCTTCAAAGCTGTCAGACAGGGACATTTAAGTCTCAGATGGAAATGCAGAAACAACCTGCCTTCTGTGTCGCTCACGCTGGGAGCTGTAGACCGGAGCTGTTCCTATTCTGCCATCTTGGCTGCCCTATCTTCCCTTACTTTTTAACCCAGAATGTGTTATCATGGTTACCATGCCAATGCCTCCACAGGTTTCAGTACATCAAGAGAGGATCATGATGGAACAAAATGAGGTCTGAACCTCTTTCTTCTACAGATGCTGAACTTCCCTTCGGAGAATATCATGAATTTAATTTTGTTTGTGTGATGGATAGCTGTATTGTGCTAAATGGAAGTGTTTGTGGTGGTTGATGATATTTGCATTTTGAAGTTAAGTAAGGAAGAAGAGTGTAATTAGGTGTTAAACAGCCAAGGGGTGGACTGTAGTGGACATTCAACATTCTTCTTGTCTATTCAGCACCTTTAAACACCCTTCTTTTGTTTGGGAATTTTCTACCTCCCCAAAGTAGGAACCAGAAACTTTTTCCCGAGCCTCTTTTGCAGCTGGGCCACAGGCTTGTGAAGCTGGCCCCACCGGTAGTGTGGGCTGCAGTGTCAGTGCTCTCCTGGAGTGGGCTGGTCATATGATTTGCACATGTTCCTACCTCCCTGGCTTCCAAGCCTGATTCTCTGTCTTTAGGGAGATTGTGTTATCTAATTATGTTTTCCTTAATAAACCCTTTTTCTCCTTAAGCCATCTACAGCAGGTTTCTCCTGTTTATAACTAAGAGGCTTAACTGATGCAGATGTTAAGAATATCCCATTTATTTGATTACTCATATCTCTAAGTTTGAACTTCTTTAATTTTTGTGGGTATATAATAGGTATATCTATTTATGGAGTACATGAGATATTTTGATACAGGCATGCAAAGTGTAATAATCACGTTAGGGTAAATGGGGCATTCATTACCTCAAGCATTTATCCTTTGTGTTACAAACAGTCCACTTTTACTCTTTTAGTTATTTTAAAATATACAATTAAGTTATTTTTTACTATAGCCACTCTGTTGTGCTTTCAAATAGTAGGTCTTATTTATTCTTCCTAATTACCTTTTGTACCCATTAACCATCCCCATTTTCCACCCCCAACCTGCCACTACCCTTCCCAGCCTCTGGTAACTATCCTTCTATTCTCTATCTCTATGAGTTCAATTGTTTTAATTTTTAGCTCCCACAAATAAGTGAGAACACATAAAGTTTGTCTTTCTGTGCCTGGATTATTTCACTTAACATAACGACCTCTGGTTCTATCTATGTTGTTGCAAATTGACAAGATCTCATTCTTTTTATGGCTGAATGGTACTCTATTGTGTATATGTACCACATTTTCTTTATCCATTTGTTTGTTGATGGACGCTTAGGTTGCTTCCAAATCTTGGCTATTGTGAATAATGCTGCAATAAACATGGGAGTAAAGATATACTGATTTCTTCAATATACTGATTTCCTTTCTTTTGAGTATCTATCTAGGGGTAGGACTGTTGGAACATACGGTAGCACTATTTTTAGGTTTTTGTTGTTGTTGTTGTTTTGAGACAGAGTCTCACTCTTGTTCCCCAGGCTGGAGTGCAGTGGTGCGATCTCTGCTCACTGCAACCTCTGCCTCCCCAGTTTAAGTGATTCTCCTGCCTCAGCTTCCTGAGTAGCTGAGATTACAGGCACCCGCCACCACGCCCAGCTAATTTTTTGTATTTTTAGTAGAGTCAGGGTTTCAGTTTGTTGGCCAGGCTGCTCTCAAACTCCTGACCTCAGGCAATCGACCCGCCTCAGCTTCCCAAAGTGCTGGGATTACAGGCGTGAACCACCACGCCCAGCCTATTTTTGGTTTTTAGAGGAACCTACAAATTGTTCTCCATAGTGATTGTACTAATTTACATTATCACCAACAGTGTACAAGGGTTTTCTTTTCTCCACATCCCCGCCAGAGTTTGTTATTGCCTGACTTTTGGATAAAAGTCATTTTAATTAGGGTGAGATGATATTTCATTGTAGTTTTGATTTGCATTTCTCTGATGGTCAATGATATTGAGTACCTTTTAATATACCTGTTTGTCATTTGTATGTCTTCTTTTGAGAAATGTCTATTCAGATATTTTCCCCATTTTTTAGTTGGATTATTAGATTTTTTCCTATAGAGTTGTGTGAGCTCCTTATATATTCTGGTTATTAATTCCTTGTCAGATGGGTAGTTTGAAAATTTACCCTGTGGATTGTCTCTTCACTTTGTTGACTGTTTCCTTTGCTGTGCAGAAGCTGTTTAACTTGGTGTGATGCCATTTTCCAGTTTTGCTTTGGTTGCATGTGTTTGTGAAGTATTACTCAAGAAATCTTTGCCCAGTGCAATATCCTACAGAGTTTCCTTGATGTTTTCTTGTAGGAGTTTAATAGTTTGAGGTCTTAGATTTAAATTTTTAATCTATTTTGATTTCATTTCTGTATATGGAGAGAGATAGGGGTCTGGTTTCGTTCTTCGGCATATGGATGTCTAGTTTCCCAAGCACCACTTATCAAAGAGACTGCCCTTTCCCCAAGGTACATTCTCAGCACATTTGTCGAAAATGAACTCACTGTAGATGTATGGATTTGATTCTGGATTCTCTAGTCTGTTCGGTTTATGTGTCTGTTTTTATGCCAGTACCATGCTGTTTTGGCTACTATAGTATAATTTGAAGTCAGGTAATGTGATTCCTCCAGTTTTGTTCTTAGAATAGGTTTGGCTATTCTGTGTCTTTTGTGGTTCCATATAAATTTTAGAATTGTTTTTTCTATTTCTGTGAAGAATGTCACTGGTATTTTGGTAGGAATTGTATTAAATCTGTAGATTGCTTTGGATGGTATGGACATTTTAAAAATATTGACTCTTCCGATCCATAAACATGGAATATACTTCAATTTTCTGTGTCCTCTTCAATTACTTACATCAGTGTTTTATAGATTTTATTGTAGAAATCTTTCAATTATTTGGTTAAGTTAATTCCTAGGTGTCTTACTTTATTTGTGGCTATTGTAAATGGGATTACTTTCTCAATTTCTATTTCAGATTGTTCACTGCTGGCACAGAAAAATGCTAATGATTTTTGTATGTTAATTTTGTACCCTGAAACTTTACTGAATTTGTCTATCAGTTCTAATAGTTTTTGGTGGCATCGTTAGGTGTTTCCAAATATAAAATCATATTATCTGCAAACAAGGATAATTTGACTTCTTGCTTTCCAATTTGAATGCCCTTTATTTCTTTCTGTTGTCTGATTGCTCTAGCTAGGACTTCCAGTACTATGTTGAATAACAGTGGTGACAGTGGGCATCCTTGTTGTGTTCCAGATCTAAGAGGAAAGGTTTTCAGTTTTCCCCCACTCAGCATAATACTAGCTGTGGGTCTGTCATATGTGAGTTTTATTATGTTGAGGTATGTTCCTTCAATACCCTGGTTTTTGAGGGTTTTTATCATGAAGAGATGTTGAACTTTATCAAATGCTTTTTCTGCATCAATTTTAATGATCATATGGTTTTTATTCTTCATTCCATTGATATGATGTATCACATTAATTGATTTGCATATGTTGAACCATCCTTGCATCCCAGGGATAAATCCCATTTGGTCATGATGAGTGATCTTTTTAATGTGTTGTTGAATTCAGTTTGCTAGTATTTTCTTGAGGATTTTTGCATCAATATTCATCAGTGATATTGTTCTTGAAATTCCTCCTGAAGGATGTTTTTAAAATACAGGTGAGTGAGGGCATAATGGATGAAATAAGGCCCCACAAGAGGAGGGAGGGGCTGAGATCCATGTTACTGGTGGAGAAATGGGCCAGAATTGGGATGAAGAACCCAACCTCCTTTACAGCAGACAGGACAGAGAAAGCAATGAGTGAGCCCGTAGCAAGCTTACAGGCTTGATCCCAGAAAGTTGGAAGAATTCCTGTGTGATGCTTCTGCTTTCTTTAGGAAAGAGGGCAAATACATTTTGTTGAGAGTGAGAGTGAGAGAGAGAGAGAGAGAGAGAGATGGAGCAGAAAGTGAGGAATGAGGAAGGTTTGAGATCGTGCCCATAGAGAACGAGAGAGAGCTGACTGGAGAAACATAGGATCACCTGGCTTCATTGAAGGCCTGGCTGAGGTGGGAAACTATAAATTTGGCACTCATGGTTGTGGCAGTCACACTTACTGTTTTCACTGGAAGCCAGCAGTCCTGGTTTGGTCTGGAAAAAAGAAGGTGAACAGTTGAATGATCCAGAATTGAGTGCAACAGTGGACCATAAAACTTAGGAACTAAAGTATTGAAATTATAGGGCACAGTCTAGGCTGGATAGAAGAAAAAGTAAGAAGATTGTGGGGATGGGGGGGCACAGTTGATGGCAAATTAGAAAAGCAGAGGAGGCAGGGGACTAGATGTTTCTGTGAGGTCTAAGAACACAGGGGGAATGCTCTGACTGAGAGAGCCAGGTGCCAAGAGGTTGTGGTGAAAGAGTGGGGTAACTGATTTTTAAATTTCAGAAGTTGAGTGATTTCAGGTGGTAAGTTCAAGGATATGGCTTTGGGAGAGCTCATCAGAAATGGAAGGGTGATGAAGGCCAAAAGAGATGAGGAAGTAGAGGAACTGGGAGCCCAGAGCCAAATGGGTCATCCTTCATGGGTGGCTGAAGTTGTCCAGGTGACAGAAAGACTTAAGATGGTGAAAAGGACAAAGAGTTCAGAGTTGACATAGCAAAGAATTAAGGGAACCTCCAAGAAGCTGAGGGAGGGAGGTTGAGGGTAGCAGTTGGGAAACGTGAACTTCAACAGGGCAGGGGTTTTGAAAGAGGATAACGGAAGAGGAGCACGCCAAAGGCTGCAATAGCAAAAAGGACCAGAGCCCTCAGGAACATGTGGAGGAAGAATCTGTCCCACAGCAGGGTTCTTAGGGACCAGCCAGGTTTGGTCAGATGTGAGGTAGAGGATTCTTGTTGGTGGAGGTCACAGATGTGAAGGAGTCTGTTTACCTGGAACCGGGTACCAGGTAACAGGAAACAGCTGAGACGGCATGGTTCTGAGGAAGACAGGAGCCGAAGGGGCCCATTCCAAGGCATCACCTTCTTCCCACTCCTCTGCGCCGTGAGGGTGATTTGCTAAAAGCAAAAATGACAAATTATTTTTTAAAAGTTTCCTCATTGGGCTGGGCACAGTGGTTCATGCCTGTAATCCCAGCACTTTGGGAGGCCAAGGTGGGCAGATCATTTGAGGTCAGGAGTTCAAGACTAGCATGGCCAACATGGTGAAACCCATCTCTACTAAAAATAATACAAAAATTAGGCAGGTGTGGTGGCATGCACCTGTAGTCCCAGCTACTCAGGAGGCTGAGGCAGGAGAATCACTTGAACCCAGGAGGCGGAGGTTGCAGTGAGCTGAGATCTCGCCACTGCACTCCAGCCTGGGCAACAAAGCAAGACTCTGTCAAAAAAAAAAAAAAAAACTTCCTCATTTAGCAACTGGAAGTTTATTAGGTCTAGTGAAAAGTGCCTTTTACCATAGACATCCTCCTTAAAGGGTGGCCTATGGCTCATGCCAGTCCACAAACTGTCCCTGATGAAATAAGAACAGAAACTGAGAGTAAATGGTTACTTTTCAAGCAATTTGCATTGCCACGTTGTCCAAGTACATGCCAATGGTGTGGACCATTCAAGTGTCATTGCACTCTAATGGTGAGTTTTGGGTGGACAGGCAGCAAACTGACCACAGGCAGGAGGACCACATTACAACCCATGAGATTTTAAGGTTAGTTTGTCAACCGTAAGTCAAAAGCATATAAAAATCTGAGCAAATGTAAGCATTTCTTTTTTTTCTTTTTTTTTTTTTTTTGAGACTGAGTCTCGCCCTGTTTCCCAGGCTGGAGTACAGTGGCGCGATCTCTGCTCACTGCAACCTCCACCTCCAGGGTTCAAGCGATTCTCCTGCCTCAGCCTCCTGAGTAGCTAGGATTACAGGCGCCCACCATCAGACCCGGCTAATTTTTGTATTTTTAGTAGAGACGGGGTTTTGCCATTTTGGCCAGGCTGGTCTCGAACTCCTGACCTCAGGTGATCCGCCCGTCTTGGCCTCCCAAAGTGCTGGGATTACAGGCGTGAGCTACTGCGCCTGCCCAAGCATTTCTTTATTTTTCTAACTTGTTACTTTTACCATCAAGTTAATTCTAATCAAGTTTTTAAAAATTTATAGTTTAATATTATTATCTAAGTTGGAGATATAAAATTTGTATTGTTCATTTGTTAGCCAGACTTTACAGATTGTAAAACAAAGCCTCATAGAAAAATTTTGGCCAAAAAATTACTTTAAATGTCTTATCTTCCTTTCCAACCAACATCTCTCTCTGAGGCTGGTTTCTCTATTGTGAGTGTTATTAAAAGAAAACACAAGCTTATATGTTATCCCCTGCAAATAACACTATTGTTAATCTGAACTAGCTGAGATAAATTAAAAGAATCCAATCCTCATTTATCACATTAAAAACTTGAATATTGTATCAGGCAATATTTGCTATAATTAAAAAAGAAAATAAAAGAAAAAATAAAACTTCAATATTGATATATATTCAAAGTGAGAGTATGTATGTAATATAAAAAATCACGGCTTCACTTGTAACTTTTTGTTTAGTTATAACTGCAGAATGACAGGAGTATAATAGTGAATCTGTATTAAATGCTCTAGGTACACTTTCAATGAATAATACGTACTAACCTCATAATTCTTTTATATTTCCCTGTTTGTTCTCATATTTTTAAAAGGTAATTTTTTTTTTTTTTTGAGACGGAGTTTCACTCTTATTGCCCAGACTGGAGCACAATGGCACAATCTCACTCACTGCAACCTCTGCCTCCCAGGTTCAAGCGATTCTCCTGCCTCAGCCTCCCAAGTAGCTGAGATTACAGGCATACGCTACCAGGCCCGGCTAATTTTGTATTTTTAGTAGAGACAAGGTTTCACAATGTTGGTCAGGCTGGTCTCAAATTCCCTGACCTTAGGTGATCCACCAGCCTTGGCCTCCCAAAAGTGCTGGGATTACAGGTGTGAGCCACTGTGCCTGGCTTTGAAAGGTAATTTAATGTCTGTTGAAACTAATATTTTAAAATTTTGGCTTGTATTTTATACTTCTTTGGATGTATTTTATTTTTCCTGAAATTCTTTATTATTGTATTTTATAAAAATATTGGCCCATGATGGACAGATGATACAAATTTTAAAAAACAACACACCAGTCTTTCACCACTAAGATTTGAGAAGTATGGTTCTATGCATCCGTAAAGTCCCAGAGATGTGGCTGGCTATTTACACCAGATTAACTGCCCTTCACCCCTGTGAACAGTCACTCTGGGTCAGGACTCGAGCCTTGAGAGGGCAGCAGCAGAGGGGGACCAGAGCCAGGACTACAACTGGTGGGGTTGGGGGTGCTTACATACTGGGTTCCTGAGCCAGGCAACTCCACTTTCTTTGGTGGGTCACTTCCACAGTTTCTGCAGAACTCTGGAACAGCTAAACACACAGTACAATTTCTTCTCCAGTCATAGGCTAGTGGCCCAAGGGTGGCAAAGGCCACCATTGGCTGGAAATCATGCAAACAGGAGAGTCGGGGTCCAAGGCTACTGCTGCTACTCTGGTCCTTAGTGTCACAGGTGACTTAATAGAGGCCCCAGGGAGGACTATGAGTTTATGCAATTGAGGTGTGGGAGAACAATACATCACTGTTCTTTCTTTTTTGAAAAGAAGTACTTAAGCCTTTGCCTGTCACTTGAGAATCTCCTCTATCAATGGTCCCCACTGCTACCAGCTGCCTGGCCCTTGGAAACCCTGCTGGATTCTGCCCTTCCCTGCTCTTGGGGGGCCCTAGGTTCCCTCTCTTACTTTTTTCCCCTGAATCTTGTCACATCGATGTACAGGCATTGCTGAGCCTCAGCGCTGCTGGTCCTGGAGGCTGCTGGTCTAAGCTAAAGGCCTGGATTTCTCTCACTGGTTTTCAATTCTTTGGGACTTCAGAGCAGGATCAGCCTGAACTTTGGGCATTTGGCATGGTGAATGCCCAAGTACTGCCAAGCAAACATTTCCTTTAACCCTGGATTCAGTCATCGTGCTGTGGCTTTATAGAACTTAGGAACTACAGGCTAAAGTAGTACGGAGGAAAGGCTCTTACTTTCGGATGTTTTCAGAAAAAAAAAGCAAAGAAAACATTTTCTAAAAAGAAGATGCATTAGAAAGGAGCGGGTTGATTTCATAAGGTGGGAAGCACTCTAATACAGAATACGTTTTGTAAACTTTTTAAAAATGTCTTTCTACTTCCTGGTGCAGCAGGATGATAGGCAAGGTGGCCTCCTCCTCATTCTATGATTAATTTCTTCACTTGCACCCCAAGCCTGTGCACACGCTGTCCTCTTGTTCTGGAATGCCTCCCTCCAGTTCCCCTGGAGAACTGAGACCATGCTCATGCCTTCTTCAAGTGGCTTCTGAGACCCCAAGCAGAGGGACTCCCTCCACTGTCATCATGACCACTTCTGCTGCCTGCGCAGACGGAGCCCCTTTCAAGGGCTGGGACTGTGTCGGTTCCTCTCTGGATTCCCAGAGCAGCATGGAACTGAGTCACACTGAGGGAGGACTCAGGACATCTTGAGACGAAGAGTGGGACGGAGGAACCCAGGCTCAGGAGGGAAGACTCCTCCACCTAAGGAGTCCTTGGGGATCTGGCATGGCACCCCTACCCACCCGCCTTTCCCCCCTCCACCACCCCCCCGCCCTCCGCCAACCACAGCAGCCCCGAGAATCCACTGAAGCTCCAGAAGGGACGTCAGACTCCTGGTCCCAAGGAGGGGCTCTGGAATGTGAGGGGCCAGGCCTTCTTCCTGGCCATTTCCTCTCAACTTGCACCCCAGAAACAAGCACTCTGTTTACAGTGAGGATGTTGGGGGTTCCAGGAGGCAGAGTTGCCCGCCCTGAACTACTTTCCAGGGAAAAGCAAACCCATCTGATCTTGTGATTGGATTAGGGCGGTTTCTTCAGGTCTTTTGCTGTCTCCAAGTGCCCTCTGCTGGCTACAGAAAAAGAATTCCTTTTAGGATATGATGTTTTTGAGCCGTGAGCTCAGATGCACAAAAAATTTCATTTTTTTCTAAATCTCGACTTAATCCCTATTATAAGCTCTCAATTGACTCAGGTAATTCAGCATGACTTTCTTCCTCCACCAACTTCTCCCCAGGTGGCATCTAGGTTCTGGGTGCTGGCACTGGCCAGAGCTGCGGGGGAGGCTGGTGTCCACTTCCTTTGTCCTGTTGGCAAGGCTCTTCAGGACATACCTGCCTCTCTGCTCCCAGGCAGTGTGTGGAATGATTCCCACATCTGTCTGGGGCCAGGTACTTCAGGATCTCCTGGGACTTCTCCACTGAGACGTATCTGCTGGCACTTCTACTTCCTCACTGCCCCATGTGGTCCCTGCCCTGTGATGGGGTGAGTTGCTGGGGAGGGGCTCTGGAACATCCTTACTTCCCCAGGACCCCTGCCAAATGAGCTCATCTGTCCTTGGAGCCCCAAACTCATCAGGGGCTTCTCCTATAACCTTGGATGTGGCCCACAGATGGGGAAAGGACAAAGGCTCCCACACCGGTTGAACGCTGGCATCCCTTCCAACTCCCACGGCCTGGAGAATCTGCATGAAGTCCTTGTCCTTTGTGTTTGGCAAGCAGGAGTAGCACAGGAGGAGTAAGCAGTAAAAAGAGAAACTGTTTCACCAACTTGATGATTTAAAAATTTTTAAATATATATATATATATATATTTTTTTAAAGAGAGAGAGAGAAAAACTGGCTCCACAAGTTTCCTTCTAAATCTTTTGGTCTCACACCAAAACATGTACTCAGCTTTGTCCTTCCTTCCTTTCATGTTTGAAAACCAGGAATTTTATTATCTTTGTTTTCTGGTCTCACCAAATGCCTCTTTGACAACTTCTCCCTTAGGCCATGACGTCCTCTTTTGAACTTCCTGGGCTGGGAGAAGGGCTTGGGATACACATGAAGAAATTCGGCATAGAACAGGGACGATGCACCAAACCACCTTGAACATCCTCCCGTCACACATGAGACAGAAGAATGCCTTCTAGGGTTTACAAAACATCTATCAGTAGAGGGCATTAGAGGGCTTCCCATCTTTTGAGATGAACTCTTTTTGCTCCCACACCTTTTTATTATTTAAGTTTATTCTTTACTTTTTCCGAAAACACTTCAAAGTGACTTGCAGACACCAAGCCCCTTTATCTTAATCCTTTAGCTCCTAGGAAATAGGACATGCCCTTACATATACACAGTGCAATTATCAATCTCAGTAAATTTTATATTGATACAATTTTAAAAATACATGCTATATATTCAAATTTCTGGTTGTCCCAACACTGTCTTTTATAGCATTTTTTCCCACTCCAGTATCCCATTCAGATCATGAACTGCATTCGTTGCCTTGTCTCTTTATTCTCCTTTAATCTGGAACAGTTCCTTAGTCTTTGTCATGAAACTGACAATTTTTAAAGGGATAGGTACATTGTTTTACAAAATAATAAATGTCCCTCAAAATGTCAACCACATGGTTCAGGTTTTGCATTTGTGGCAGGAACAGCACAGCATGATGTGTGTCTCTCCCAGTACATCTCATAACAGGTGATGTCTTATAGCAGTTTGTCCCATTTTGGGTAATGTTAAATTTTACGACTTGTTTAAAGTGGCGTACCACAGAGTTATCCACTGCAAAGATATTGTCCCCCCTTTGTAAGTAATAAGCATTCTGTGGGAAGATACAATGGGTGTAAATATTCTGCTGCCTAACGAATTTTTACCCAATGGTTTCAATATCCATTGTTGTCTGAATTAGTTAGTATTATGGTTTCAAAACGGTGGTTGTTCTTTTTTTTTGAAACGGAGTTTCGCTCTTGTTCTGGAGTGCAATGGCACGATCTCGGCCCACCGCAACCTCGGCCTCCCGGGTTCAAGCGATTCTCCTGCCTTAGCTTCCCGTGTAGCTGGGATTACAGGCATGCGCCACCGTGCCCGGCTAATTTTGTATTTTTAGTAGAGACGGGGTTTCTCCATGTTGGTCAGGCTGGTCTTGAACTCCCAACCTCAGGTGATCCGCCCGTCTCGGCCTCCCAAAGTGCTGGGATTACTGGCATGAGCCACTACACCCAGTGAAATGGTAGTTTTTCTAATTCTATTGTCCCTTCTGTATTTGTCATTCACCTTCCTTCTACTGTAAGGAAGGGCATAGAGGAATGCATTCTAGGATCCCCTTTCCATCCTTCCTCTGCTTGGAATGCCTTCCCCACTTGGCAAATCCTGGAAACCCAGATACAGGGTCACCTTACCTCAAAGCTTTCCCTGCCCACCCACTCTCTCTCTCTTCCTTTCAATTAAGATGGGCTGCGGCTATCTGACCTTCTTAGAGCCCCTGAGACAAGGAGAGACTGGAAAGGGGAATTTGCGTCCCACAGCAGAACTCCCACCCAAACTCCACCTGGTCTAGTGCAGTGGGTCTCAAACTATGGTGCACACCAGAATCACCTTGAGGGCTTGTTAAAACACAGATACCTGGGCCCTATACCTGGGATTCTAAGGCACTATCAAAAAATCTTACTGGCTTAACAACAAAGTTTATTTCTCCATCAGGTTACATGTCAAATAGGTTGGCAGGAAGCTCTGGTCCACATACTTGGAGACTCAGGATGGTGGAGACTCCAGCACTTCAATACGTGACCTGAGGGTTTAACACACAGGAAGAGAGGAGCACAGAGTCATGCACGGGTTTTTCTCTGCTTATTGCCCATTGGCCAGCCACTAATCATGTGACCTGCTCGACTGCAATGGCTGGGAAATGGGGATCTGATGAATCATTTGGTGAGCACCATAATTTCTGCTACCACCACGCTCCCTCGATCCTACCAGCCCACTACCACACAGGCCTTCTCTTAGTTCTTCGAACGCACCAAAGTGCTTTTCTGCCTCCGGGCCTTTACACCAGCTGCTCTCTCTGCGGAAATGCTCTTGTGCCAGATCTCACATGCTTCACTCAAGTACCCCTCCCTGGAGTGGCTTTCTCTTACTGTCCAATCCAAAGCAGCCACCCACTCCTTCACACCACCCTGTTTTAATTCTCTGCACAGCCCTTGTTATTCTACACTTGGTGTTGTTCTCTCTAGATTGTACACTCCGTGACAGCAGAAACTGGCTCACTTATTCGTCCCCAGTACTTAAATGCCTGGCACATGGTAGGTGCTCAAAATACATTGACTCAACTAATTAACTCTAAGGTGCATTACTGTTTTCATGTCACAGGTTTAAAAAAAAAAAAAATGGAGGACCTAAAGAGGGTAAGTGGCTTGCCCAAGGTCACACCACTGCCAAATGGTTAGCACCTGACTTAAAATCCATGATGCCACATCCTACCACAGTGTTTATTTGCATAATCTCACTGCTTTCAAATATTGAGGTGGCAGAATATTTATTTTTTTCTTTTGTTCTTCTCACAATTCTCCATCTGGTGGACCTCCACTGTCCTTGGTTGTCTCTTAACTCTATGGAAGGCAATTTGGCAATAACCATCCAGGAATTTATTTCACAGATGTACTCACATATGTGGACAATTGCATATATGTAAGGTTTTTTCATTACAGTACCGTGATAGCAAAAGATTAGAATTAACCCAGTGACACCAGGCACAGTGGCTCACACCTGTAATCTCGGTGCTTTGGGAGGCTGAGGCAGGAGGATTGCTTGAGCCCAGGACTTCAAGAAGAGCATGAGCAACACGGTGAGACCCCCACCTCTACAAAGAATACAAAATAAAAATTAGCTGTGCATGGTGGCACACACCTGTGATCCCAGCTACTTGGGAGGCTGAGGCAGGAGGATTACTTGAGCCCAGGAGGTCAAGGCTGCAGTAAGCCATGTTCGTGCCACTGTACTGCAGCCTGGGCAATGGAGTGAGATCCTGTCTCCACAAAAAAAAAAAAAAAAAGAATTATCCCAGTGACCATCTGTAAGGGATGGTTCATAAAGGTATGTATAATTCACAGCAGGTGTATGCACACAGTGGAATAGTACACAGCCCTGAAAAGTGAGGGACATCTTCAGAGTCTGACTGGAAAGTTGTCTAAGGTATGATATCATGTTGAAAGAAAGAAGGCATGTAACAGTATGTGAAGTATATGCCTTTCATTTAATTTTGCAAAGAGCTAAACACTTTCAAGTCTTACATAAAGAGATCGTCTCCTTGATGAAAAGATAAAAACAAAATACAAATCAGAATACCAGTGTGGTTTCCATCATTTGAACTTATTTTATTGATACTCATTAGTGAATAAAATTGTGTTGATTTTTGATGCATTACAACACACTTTTTGGTAGTGGTTGCACAATGTTGACCGTTTATTTATTTACTATACTAAGTATTGCAACCTCTGAACTGCCAATTTTTACATGGTATTTCTGGCAATGATGAGTGGCTTCTCTCTCTGAATACATAAAATGGTCCATTCAGTCCATGGTTTTCATATTCCTTTGTTATTCTATCTACTGCTTTAAAATACATTCAAATAAAAAGATATAAGTTACTTGCAGTGAATGCACACATACAACAGCAGGGAGAGCTGAGAACATAATTAACCAATACTCTTGTGTTCAGAGAATAAATAGTCTGAAACCGTGGGACTGAGGCTTGTTCCTTAGGGGCTTTCTCAAAGTATCCTTGGTGGACATAAGGTTACCCTCACTCAATGGAAGGACACATCTTCTGCTGCCGGGGAGGACACAGCATGACAGTTTCATTTATATGGGATGTTTTCCTTCCATAAATGTCTGGAACACGGTGTCACAGGACACCATGGTGTACAGTGCAGCCCTCAAATTAGAATAAATAAGTCACATGGTTGGACTGGAATGCCACAGACACACTATGACTGAAACTGGAAGGAACGAGAATGTTTATTTAAAATACGGCAGACATAAATAATAAATAAAAGTTTAAAACTTAATCGGCGACAGCAACAGGACCAGCCTCCCTTGTTGCATTCATGATTCTTTTCACAAGCACCTGGATCTTTTCCTAAGGATAAAAAGAGGCACAAGGAGACAAAAGGCTTTGGAGGGAAAGAAAATATCTTGTTGTGACCATGTGCTGTTCTGAAACAAGAAGGAAAAGCATGTGGGCATTGAATGGCTGCAATCAAAGACCGCATGGTGACAGCACCCTGGCCAGCCTCGGGTTTCAGAAAAAGCGCTGGAGCCAGCGGAATACCAAAGCCTTGTTTCCCCCTGGAACCGGTTTGGTATTATGCCTGGTTGTGGTTCTTCCCCTCTACATTTGGTGTTGACACATTTCTTTAATAAGCTTTTTCCCTATCCTTTTTCCTTTCAGTCCTATTGTTAAAGGTGTCTTGGGTCCGGTCTTAAATCAATTTGGTTGTGACTCTGGGTCCCAGAAAAAAGCTGCTATCTCATTAGCGGCTTGGTGTGTTCGAAATTCATATTTGAACCACATAGAAAACATACACTACCAGTACCATTACTTCCCTGCATATATATGTAAAAAAAAGGAAAAATAAAACAAATCACACAGAACACAGAGGGGCTGCTGAACAACGCAGCATGAGTGTAAATACATTCTCTTTCGGGTCAGACATTTGGCCTGACAGCTGATTACAAAACACAGGATGACTTCAAGGGGAAGGCATGAAAACAAAAGGTCACACCTCAAAAAAGAAACGACTGTCCACTGAGGCAGAGCAGTGAAGGTCTTGAAGAAGCTGGGCCACCCATAAAAGAAAAGCCCTCCGATCAGGAAAGCCACGTCAGCTGCACGTGGCTGAGGATGGAGGCTCCTTACGCTCCTACAGGGTGGGCGAGGTGAGGTGTCCGATGACACCCAGATGTGTTATGACCCGTGCCGCGTGACAGCTCGTGGTGTGCCAGCCACGGAATTCACTGGTTTCCTATCCATGGGATAAGAACACACTTGGGAGTTTCAGTGCTTCTCAAAAGGAAAGAAGAAAGGACCCCACCTTCCCCCAGGTTAGCACAGGTGACGTCCTCGTGAGAGTGATGACAGTGCAGGGGCACTTCCTGTGGGATCGGAAGAAAGAGCAGGGCGGACACAAGGTCTCCAAGTCCTATGTACACATTTTACAAAGTTTCCACACTTCCTCCATTAGGCACGAGGTTGATTTGTCTAGCTTAGGAGGGGGTGGACAGAGAAGGGCAGAGGGAGGGAGTGCACTGTGGGGGGAAGAGAGGGAGGTGGGAGCAAGAGAGGAGAACGTGGGTCTCCTCTAGGGCAACCGGCCCCCCTCCAGTCCTCACCGTAAGCTAGTTTGTTTGGAGAGCTTAGCACCCATCAAGATGCCCGAGGTGAGAGTCACAGGAGCTTTCATCTGCATGCTAGATCCCACCATGGTGGGGAAGCTGCGATTCCGCCGGATGCCACTATTGAGCTGCAGCCCACCGATGGCACTGGTGACAGTGGGGCATCTGAGGGGCAGGCCCTCAGGTACCAGGCCTCTGGGAACAAGGGCTGGTGCTGGCCCCGGGGGCCCACAGAGGAGGGGTCCCTGCTCCTCAGTCAAGGTGGGGACATGGGCTCGCCCTGAGTTCACCACTTTGGCCACCCCAAACCTCCTGACTTTGTCCACGAGGTTGAGGTTGGAGACGGACACGTCGGTCTGGCTCTCGCTGCTGCGGACGTTCTTTTCTCTCACTTCCCTCAGGATGGAGCTGGCTGGCTTGGAAGCCAGGAAATTGTCGTAGGGAGGGCTCGTGCACTTGAACTCAAAGGAGGGTGGGGAGGATGTGGGTGTCTGCATAGGCGAGTTCGGCGGAGTAGAGGGGATCACAGCCATCTTGGGCGTGTAGGAGTGCAGGAGGGAGCCCCGGCCGGCCCTGTCCCAGCTCTGGGGGTCGTACACGGCAGCAGAAATGCCCCGCTCCTTCAACAGCCACACGAGCCCCAGGGATGTGCTCATGGTGGTCGTGGACTCACGGGTGTTAGTGAAGGACTCAGCCAGGCTCAGTCTCCGTGGAGTGCATGGTGTGGCCACCGGCGTGGATTTCAAGTGGCTGGTGCTGCCACAAGCTGGAGTTGGGGCTGAGTTAAGGCTGAAAGAAGAAATGACAGGTTATTCACCAGAAATGCCCATGAGCTCCAGAGAAAGGGTCAGTGGCCAGTTTCCTGCAGGGGGGGTAGGGACGACCCAGGACACGATGAGAGGGTTCCACCAGCTGAGGCCCCCAAAGGCTCTGTCCACGTCTGCTCCTCCCTCTCACCCTTCAAGGGAAGCATGGTTTAAGTTAACAGGAAGCTGCACATGATCCCCTTTGCCCATCCCTGGTTGGTGGGTACAGTTGTCCCCTTTGCAGATGAAGAAACAGGCTCAGAGCTAAGGGTTTACTTGGTGTCACATCTGGCTGTTAAGTGGACAACCCAAGTTGAGGGACTCTAAATCTGTTAGAGAACGGGAAAGGAAGCCCTTTGGCAAAGAGGCATTCTTTCTCCACCAAATTTACCCAGATTCCAGCATTCCTTCTTAGTACCTACTTCTCCCTGAAGCAAGACGTGAACCAGGACTCTGGGAGATGAGATACTCCTTATCTTAGGAAGGGTAAGGTTGGCCACAGTGCATGGACTGAGGCCAGGCTGTGCCCATCCAGTCAGTTGTGGCCGTGAGCTCCTGAATCCTGGGTGCAGAGCCCTTTCCTCTGCACCGTGCTGCCCTTAACCCTCTTTATATCCTTGCCCAAATCCATTCTAACCAGTGGAGTTAGAGGGTCGCGGGGAGACATGTCACATATGAAGAGATCTACATCAACGGTGCTACCCAGGGAAAGGCCCACTGAAATGTGTGGGGCCTGAGTTACGGAAGGAAAGCAGAAAGATTTGTTCATTCACTCGTGTTGTGCTCACTAGGGACTTGCTAGGTTCCAGCAGTTGGGATCCAGTCGTGGAGTCCATTAGGACAGAAAAGTTTCCAGAAGGGCAGCAGAGGGGAATGCATTGTTGTCTGCTTAAAAAGCAGGAAAGGTTCTTTTTTTTTTTTATAATTGCAATTACTTTTGCACCAACCTAATAATTCAGTATCCCTAAAAACTGTCAAAAATTGCCAATGCTGCCTCTATCTCAAGTCGTCACGGCGGGGTATTGGGGAAAATTTTCAACTAGTAATAAACCTCATTGGCTATGATACTGCCACTGTGCAAAGCTTGGAAAGGTTCTCTTTTAACAGCTGCTACAGGGATCCAGGGGAGGCCAAACAGGCATGGAAGCCCTATACTGCTTCTCAATGAGCAACCAAGGGGCAAAGATGCACAGCCCTCCTAACAGTCTCGTGGGACATGCCCTGGTGCCGGCTCCAGGATTTTGCTGGGGCTGCCAGTGTGCCTTGGAGCAGGTCAGCTGCATGGTCCCTAGGAGCTGGGGATGGAGACTTCTCTCCCCAGTCTGGCAGAAGGAAGTCCATGTACTCTGAGAAAGGCACCAAAGGAGGGAATGGGAAGGAAAAGGGCCCATTCTGGAGCAGGTCTTTGCGATGACCAGAGAAGGGGCCCCCTCCCTCGTGGGAAACACGAGGTTCAAAGCAACGTACAAGCTAGGGGAACCAACTGGCCCCACATTCAGGTGACCTCAGCCCTGGGAGGTCAGCACAGGGTGGGGATCCCAGAACAGGCCCATCTCACACAAGCTCAGGGGTGGGGATGCTGGTGGGCTGGGGGACTCGGAAAAGCATGATTAGAAACCACAACAAATTCCTAAGGTTAAACATGGATTTTTTCAGAAGGCATTTGTGGAGTTTTACAAATGTTGATGTACCCTCAGTAAAGGGCAAAAATGCTCTAGACTTAAAATCATGTTGATGTGGCCATCCCTAGGGAGATTTTGTTTCCATTTTGTTTGTTTCAATTGATTTGTTTCCATTTTATTTCAAGCAGCCTTTCTTTCAAACTCAAGCCAAAAAAAAAAAAAAAAAAAAAAGAGCCTTCTCTTGCTACTGACTTCCCAGGCTTTGTTCGGCCCTGACACAGCCACATGAAAACCTGTGTTTGGTTTGAGTCCTATGGCTACAGTCAGGAGTGCCATCTAGTTACCCAGGGCACCAGCCTCTCATAGGGAGAAGCTTGGTTCCATGGTTTTGAAAACAATCTCTTCCCAACATAAAGCCACAGGATGAGGAAGCCAAGTTCTCCAGGGGCAGAGAGACGGAGGAGACAAAGCTAATATTTATGATCCCCGTCTGGTGAGAACTTAGGGTTAGGCCTTTATTAGTGCTGGCACTCGGCTTGACTGGGGGTGTTTAGCTGGGTTAGGGGCATCGACCATCAAGGCCGAGTTAGCCAGGCACAACCACAGAGACACATCCAAGCCTAAGTCCCCGGGTTAGTGGCGGCCACGCGTGCACACACAGCTCCTTCCACAGGGCCCTGCCAGGGCAGGCACTGCTGGCGGTGTGCTCACCCCCTGCCTCGCCCGTGGGCTCAGACTCTCTGCCCTATATCTCCTCTCAGCTCAACGGGGCATATGGCTGCTTCGTCGTCCTCCTCACATGACCTGCGGAGAATTATTCATAGTTTAAGGTGCTCCCTGGCTGACTGTTCCCACCCCTTCTGCTTTACCTTCCAGCAACCCAGCATCTTACACCACAGAGGAAACAGCTGAGGGGGTCGTTCTACTCTGTTAGGGGAGAGCATTTTCTCTTTTGCTGGCAGCAGTGAAAGGCCTGAAATCAGGCCAAACAGACCAACTCACACCAGACAAGTCCTCCCCATAGATGGTGCTCCAGAGAGAAATGGACCATGCTGGGCACATGGCTCAATTTTGGAGTCTTCTCATTTTGGTCATTACCGTTTGGCTGTGCTGCATGGTTCCTGGGGCCTATTCCAGAGGCACAAGGGGTTCCACAGGGCTCAGTAACTCCATCCATAAATAAAAGAACTCTGTGCTCTACTGACAAACTTGGGGGCAAAAAATCCAACAGACTTTAGCCATAGGGCCTGGGTAGTGTCAACTTCAGCTGGTTAAGGAGCGGCCTAGGAATCCATTTCTAACTAAATAGCCAACTAAAAGGGCAACTAAAGGTGGGTCGGTCCAGGTCTCTTTATTTGAGCCAGATCCAAATAAATAATAGCCTCAACTCAAAAGGAAAGATGGGCTTGAACCCAGGAGGTGGAGGTTGCAGTGAGCCGAGATCACGCCACTACACTCCAGCCTGGGCAACAGAGCAAAACTCTGCCTCAAAAAAAAAAAAAAAAAAAAAAAAAAACACATAACAACAACAAAAGGAAGGATGGGACCCAGAACAAGTGCCTGCAAATGCTGAGATGCTTACACTGGCTTCAGTTGGTTTTTCTATGAGCCTCTCTACTTGGCTTTCCTCAACATTAAGCCTTGCAGGGAAGGGAGTGCCCTGACTTCACCCCACCCCTGCCCACCCCAAAGCCAGGGTCCCTTACCTTGGTGTGACCCGAGTGAGCTCATCTGAAGGATGCAGGATGCGACAGGTGGTGAAGGTGAAGGTGGAGTTGGTCTGAGACATGCACTTCCCAGGATGGTGCGCTAAATTGGGAGGAACAAAACATATTCCTTGCATCCAAGTACAACCACAATAAAAATTAAAATCCAGCATGTCACTCAACAGATGCAAGAAGTGATGAGCTACCTTGTTAACTGGATCTGGGCGAGGAAGGTGAAACGCAAATGTTCTGGATTGAAGGCGAGTCCTCAAAAATAACCACAATTTTGAGCACTGGTCTGCAGAGCACCAAATTCCAGCTTCCGACCCAATCCAGACTAGGTTTCTCATCAGTATTCTTGGGCCAGTAGTGGATCCAGTCTGGGGGTGGGAGGCGAGGGGGGTGGGGTAATGGGCCTTTGTGGGATAAATTTGGTTTCCCTCCTCAGGTCAGAACCTGCTGTCTTCTTTTGCTGCTTTACATTTCTTTGCATTGGCAACAGCTACCAAAGCTCTGCTCAGAGGAAGGGGAGAAGTACAGGCAGGGAGAGGCACTTGAAACCTGCAAACAGGGCAAGGCTCACAGCTCCCTTTCTGCTTACACAAAAAGGGGCCTGGGGATGCTGGCTCCACTACTGTCTATTTGTGATTGTTATGGTGGGAGATGGGGACTTCAGCTGCCTCAGCAACAACGTGGCAAGAGTTCCAGAGATCAGGGCTCTCTAGGGTCCTGAGCTCCAGGATCAGGTCTGGTCTGACACACAGCAGTGTGAGCAGGACAGGTCCCCATACCCCCTAGCTGCTAGCTGCTTTCTTGACATCTCTAAGATGTCTGATTTCTAATGAAAATGGGATGGCAACAAGTTGTTCTCAATTTACTTCCTTTTAATGTTCTAACAAGTTATTGCTGAGGTGGCTGAAGACTATGGTCTGCAGCAGATTAAATCATGGAAGTGTTAGGACCATGCATGAGAAAGCTGGCAAAGGAACAAGGAACAGAGTCTATGGGAGACATCATGATTGCAGAGGTCATCCTCATTCATAACTCAAGCATCAGGAAAAAAAATAATAATAAAATAAAAAAAAAAGATGCTGCCCGAAATAGCATGCACGATGAAGTGCCGGGATGATTCTCCCACCCAACCCCACCCCACCCTCTGCCCCTGTAGCAGCTCAGCCCCCAGAGACCTCCTGGGAGAAAACTGATTCAGATTTCAGAGGCCATGAGGATTCAAAGGCCATGAAGATTCAAAAGGCTGTGAACTAGAATCTTCTAGCTCCTTATGGTATATTTTCTCTTGGATTTGACAAAAAGGAAAACAATGGAATTGGTTGCTGCCCCAAACCTACAGGTCCACACAGTTGACTATGTCTTAAAAGAAAACCAGGAACCCGATGACACAAACAAAAAAATAAATGCTGGAGACACAGATTAAAGGTAGGCAGGACAAATCCAGAGTACAAAAGTGATGGTGACTAGAGGAACAAGGCAAGATGGTTTGCCCTGATTTTTAAGGTCTGACTCGGGTCTGTGTGTCAAAGCAGGCTCCCATGGCACCTGACGTGACAGCCAGCACCACGGCCACAGGAGAAAACTCTCAGCCATGGGGAGCTCCAGGCAAAGCAGGAGGGAAGGAAAAAAAAAACACATAAAAATAGCCTTTATGAATCTTTCTCAATCAGTGAACATAATGGCTCAGGAACTCCAATAAGTAAGAAACTGCCACAAGCAAAACAAAAATGGAGTAAGCTATGAAGAGAAGGCAACCAAACAATCACGATTCTCTTCCCGCAATAAGGTCTAGAAACAAAAATAACAAAAAGCCTGGGAAGAGCATCCCAAATAACAGGCATGAGGGGTTATTTGGGAAGGAGGAGAGGGGGAAAGCAGTAAATAGAAATAAGACAACACAGTTGAAAGAGAGATAACATTTAAAAGAAATCAAACAAGGGAAGGCTGGATTTAAAATCAGAAGCATACCCCCATTTAAACATATGGCCAGAATATCAAATCAAAAGGTCACAAATGTTCACTTCCTCCTCCACCCTCTTACATATTGGATCTTCAATTGCAATAGGGAGTGTAAGATGGACATTTTAGAGACGTAGTTGCATCAGCAGAAGCAAACCCATCTTATACAAATGGGTTTTGGGGATAGGAAAAGGCTGCTAAAAATTCACAAGTCACCATTCCCCAGAAGCAATGAATAGCCGTAGAAGACCAAGGAAGATCAACAAGTTTCCAAAGTGCTAAAGCCAGAGATTTGGCCCTTCCAAAATACCACCAGGACGCCTGGACCCGTGGGCTCTCCGCATGTCACCACTGACTGCCAGGATGCTGCTGCACCTCCCTTCCTTGAGACACAACAGAGAGACAGTGAGTCACCCAAGACTGGGATCATCAGAGGCTCCTCATGCTTGCTACAGAGAAGCAACGGGCTGATTCCTAAAGCCCTGGGTGCAGGAAGAGAGCAAGTTCTAAAAAAAAAAAAAAAAAAAAGAGAGAGAGAGAGAAACATAAAACATCCTTCTTGGCAGGAAATAGGGGGGTTGGGTGAGGGCTCACTGTGAAGTCACCAAGCCCATGCCACGCACCAAAGCCCCCTTCTTTATCTAAACAGAAAGTTCTTTGCAGAAGATGGTATTATGTGTTCATCCCATGCTGCTCATTTGGGAGCTCAAAGGATAGAGTTTCTTGGATTTAAGGCTTTAATTCCCTATTTAAATTCTTATTCTTTCTCTCAACCTGAGTGGAGGGCTTCCTAGTGTTTTGAAGAGACAGGCACATATTAAATGGGTTAGAGTATTAACAACGACAAATATTTTCATCATTTGATTTAGGAATGAATTTGGATTTACCAATAAAAACCCCTAATTCTTTTTTAATTGTTCTTCCTCCCCCAGATTCTGACACTGGTACAAAATGTGATACGCTTTAAACTTAATTAATCCTTGATTATTATTCAAGATCTCCTGTGTTGATGAACTGCCCGTAGCTGTCGTGCAGATGTTTTGTTCTTAAAACACACCACATGCAAGCACACATCCTTCAGCTAGCTACAGGTGGACACATCAGAGGACTTTGCAAGAGTGAGAACCACTCTTACTTTCACTCTTACAGAGTGAGACCTCACCTGCTCTCTCTAGTTGGACTCTGGTGAGCCTTCTGCCTGGAGTAGGTATGCTTGGTAAGTGGCACTGAGTGCCCATGCTCCTCGGGGGCCCATGATGCCTGGGACTGACTGAAAAACTGGGTGGTTGGGATCCTTCTGCTGCAGCCAGTGAGGAGGGAGCCCTGACACGGCCCCTACTCCCTGGATGCCCCTCAGACTGCACTATATAGAGCAGGGTGGCTGCTGCTCGGGCCTCCCAGGGAAAATACGTAGGAAGCCCACTGCTTCCCATGGCCCAGTGCTTTCACAGTGAGGAGAAGGGGACACAGAAGAGGCTGGGACACTCCGGTGGGGCCCAGAGGTTCCACAGGGATTTGCAGGATGATTGGAACTCTGCCCGTCTGGCCGCCCATAATACAATTTGTACACACCTGCTCATGCATTTTCTTCCCTTCTAATGGCGTTTTCCTTCCCGCATCCCTGGGAAGTGCTGGGGACAACAGAAGCTTTCTTCTCTCTAAAGGCCATCATAGAACCTAGTCCTTAAAAGAACCCTCACATGAGCCCAGAGACATTGGAAAATGCAACCGTACTTGGCATGTTGCTATGGGGAAATTGAGGGTGCAATATACACCCAGATACAGCTGCTTCCAAGGAAGCCTCTGAGAACGGAGAAACACTGGCCATGCCACACACCCAAGCTATTTTAAAAACTCACATAAATAACTTCTATAAATGTAAATTTACAAAAGCATCTCAAAATCTTGGAAAAGGGACTCCACCTTTGGGATGCACTGAGGGCCTTCCATGTTCTTTTTGCCACTCTTGGGAAGTGGCCGACTTGTGTAAAATAAACCCTATGACCCTGACCTTTCTTTCCTTGACTTAAGCATGTAGTGGGATGCTGCTGTCACATGACTTGGATCTGCTTTGCAAGTTCTATAAACTCCTCAACCAGTACACACACACACACACACACACACCCCAACAGTGGCACCCACAGGCCAGCCTGTTCAATCCAAGTAAAAACAAATCTATTGAAAATAAAAGCCATTGTCCATCCAGCTTAAGGGTGTGTCTTGGACTATCCCCTAGGAATATCAGTATATTTTAGTTGTTTAATGCCCAGCTTCTAATGACTTTGTTGCCTTTTGCTTGAGGGGTGGAAAGGGGAGAGGAAGATGTGTCTTTGCCTGTCAGCTGCATGAGAAACAGTTCCCTTTCCATTAAACAGATAGGGAAGAAGCAATGCTTTATCTCTTCCTAAAAGACTAAAATATCAGGGCATGGAAGATGCTCTAAAGACTTTCCTGTCTCTTCATTATGTAACTCTGCCCATGATATTTTCAGGGGGAAAAAAAGTTCTATGATGAGTTCACGTGGGAAAAGCTGCATAAATAGTTTGCCCTACGAGTCATCATTAATACAAGTACTATGTTAGGGATTCATGTGGCTTTAACAAGTGTTTTCTCTGGAGGTGAGGAGTCGGGGAATCAAGAGCAGTTTCAGATGCAACAGTGCAACTTTCTTGTTTTAAAAAATACAAAAGTGATTTTAAACTGTAATATGTTGTACAAGATAACACTTTTAAAGGCCTTAGTTCTGGGCTTCACAGAGGCTTGGTATTTATTTTTTTCTCTGCTTAAGCATTTCTTCAACAGAGCTCTCGACTGCCCCTGCAGCTCCGTAGAGGTCCCTGAGCTCCTCGGTGATCAGACATCTGGCCAGCAGGAACCTGGGAGGTTTCTATCACAGAGATTTCGAACCACACATCACAAGATCTTTTTCTGGTTTCTGCACAACTTATTTTTGGTTTCTGCAAAATTAAAAGTCGACTCTTCTTCCCACTACACCAAGTTGCCTACCCTGTTTCATCTGAAAAGTATGTGATTTAAGAGATAAACAATTTCACAGCATTGTGCAGAGAGGGTCAGAAATTCTCTCAAGTGCCCCTGGGGTATCTTCTAGAGAGAGGGGGATTTTTAGAATGCTATTAAAACGTCCAAAGGGCAAATGCAGAAATCCCTTTGTAGTCTTCAGACACCAACAAAGCTGGTCCCTATACCCTCTGTCCTCTTGTCCTTCCTTCTGTGGCAGACACCAACAGGTGAAGGGAGCTGGCCTGGCTGAGCTGCATCAAGACCTTTCCCCACTAGTGCGTTCAAGGCCAGCACAAGAGAGCACTTCACCTGTGCTTCACTAGGCAGTGTGGTTGCACAGCTCCTCCTCTCAACACAGGGTGCTCCCTCAAGGGCCCTCCACATTAGAAGGGTGTCAGGTTCAGACACCTCCTCAGCAACCCACGTGCCTCTAGGAGCACCAGGGGGCCCTCTGTAGTGTTCAGAGGTGAGGATACCAGAGAGAAAATGCTCAACAAGTGGGCTTTGTTCTGGATATTTTAAGCAGGGTTGACTCTATGCTGTTTGTTTTGAAGGAGTCAATTCTTTCATTCTTCATTCATTTTTCCACTTGCAGGTGGCAGTTGGCCTGTTTTACTCTGGCTTAATATATATTCTGACGGCAGAGCACAGGGCTTTCCTTAGCATCTCCTAATACAGGTGGGTGTGAGCCAACTATCCACTCTGTCCATAACAACAAAACTCCCTCATAACTGCCATAAAACCAGGCTGAATCGAAGTGTTCCCAACAGCATGGGAACTCACATCAACTCTCTCAGTGTAGACAATGGGAAGGAACTTGCCTGCACCCAAGGGTCTGTGAATCGAGCATACCAGACTTTTCCTTCCAGACCCATCAAGCCCCCAAACCAACTTCTCACAAGCCTGTCTGAACCCCAGTTCTGTGGTCTGTGGTGTACTGAAGAGGGGACAGGATACAAGCTGGCTGAGCTTTGCTCTAGCTGCCCCGCCCGGGCAAAGCTGCAGGAACACCCAGCTGGCCTGACTCCGCCTGGCTCCTTCTCACCACAAGCCCTTCTCTGCCCTTTCCTCACTCAGTCACTGCTCCTGACCTTGGGCCTATGTATCAAACAAGGAGGCAACGAAAGAAGCTGATTCCTGGCTTTCGCCTTGGTGGCCCAGTTGCTGGAGATTTAGGGAATTTTTTAAGGGCAATTTTAGCCAAGTGTGTTTTTTGTCTTCCATTCTGACTTTAAGATCTCAGCTCTAGGCCAGATGTGGTGGCTCACACCAGGAATCCCAGCACTTTGGGAGGTCGAGGCGGTCAGATCACTTGAAGCCAGGAATTCGAGACCAGCCTGGTTAACAGGGTGAAAGCCTGTCTCTACAAAAATACAAAAAATTAGCTGGAATGGTGACGTGTGCCTATAGTCCCAGCTACTTGGGAGGCTGAGGCAGGAAAAGCACTTGAACCGGGAGGTGGAAGTTGCAGTGAGCCGAGATTGCACCACTGCCCTCCAGCCTAGGCAACAGAGCAAGACTCCGTCTCAAAAAAAAAAAAAAAAAAAAAATCTCAGCTCCAATTAGGACATGGTTCTACTGCAGGGCCACTGCCAGGTAAGATGTCAAGATGCCATGATTCGTGTAAGTTTTTGAGGATATCTCCCCTCAATATGAACCAGTCTTGATGAGTAAAAGCATTAAAATAAACTGACTGTCAATTTTCTCTATCCATGTGGCTTGAATCCTACTTCTTTCTCACCTTTAAGGATCAAAGCATTCAAGATAATTCAACTGAACTGCCCATCCACTAGCCAACTACCAATTTAACTGTGTGACTTTAACTCTTAATCCTTTGCCACATGCAGGCTCTTCCCCACACAAATGCCTAAAATACAGAGTACTGACAGAAAAAGATGATAACTAGTTCTGATAAAGTATACTTTCTATATAAATTAAAACATAAAACATATCACTGAAATAAAGTAAAACTATAATCTAAAACTTTTTAAACAATCCATTTTAATCATCTAAATTATTTACAATACAATAACATGGATTCATCCTTTTTAAGACATGGGATTGTAAAAATCAACAAGTGAATGATGCTTCAAATAATACATTTAAATACATTAATCAAATTTTTTCAGTGCTTAAAACTTTTTCTCCATGGGACAGCAGGCTCTGGACAAAAGTGCCTAGCATACAAGTTTTCCCAATTTCCTTCTATCATACCAGCTGCACATAAAAAGGTTCATCACCTCCTGTCTCCAAAGTGTCTCCCTACTGAGTGTTCCCAGGCAGACAATAGTTCCTGGGATAGTGCTGTTTGGTAACAGAAAAGCCCAAGCGTAGAGGACGGATTAAAAGGCAGGGACCAGACCACCATGGATACAAATCCCAAGACAGAGGATGCCCCATGCCTTCCCCATGAAGCTTATCTGTCTGCCTGTGTCTCCATGATTGCAGGCATAGAGCTACTTGGGACCTCCAGGATGATTTACTTAGCGATATGCTTTTTACATTCTAAGAATCAAAATGGTCCTGTAATTCCCAATAGAGAAAATAGAGCCAATTCATTGTTCTCCCCTCTCCCCTCTGAAGCCAGTTTTTAAAGATGAGCCTTACCCAGAAAATAAGCCCCAAAGAACTCTCATCTAAATGATCAGACCCTTCCTAAATTACCTTTGGCAACCTAGGTAATTCTTTTTTATTACACACCTCCAACCTGACCCTTTCTACAGTTTCAACTATAAATGTTCATGCCCCTCGTCAAATAACGTTGCTAGGATGAATTTGCCACAGGTTTGAGTACAGAGAGAACAAGCAAGAAAAATGTCAGTGTTTATTTTAAGGAGAGTGGCCAGGATGTCAGTCCTCATAATTGGTCCCTTCTCTCTCTCTATCCTCCAAGGTAAGTTCTTTGTTGACTTGATAAGCTTTAGTCCTTCTGTACAACTTCTAGAAGATGCACTTAATGGTGCTTCTTTGCACTTCCAGAACTCACCTTCTATTCTACCTGTAAGGCTGTAGGGGAGCATCCCAATCAACATAAGGCCTACCCCTTTAGCCACGAAAATCAGCCAGGCATCATGTTTCTGCACCACCACCTGCCTTCCTGACGGACACTGGTGCTGATGACAAAAATGGGACAGTACCGCAGCTGGTTTCTCTTTTTCGAGTGTGTAGATAACAAATAAAAAACATTTTCATTCCCTCACAAGCTTAATCTAGTAATATAACTGCCTAAAAAAAATCAAACCATAAATAAACCTATGTGCTAAACAAATCACATGACTTGATGACTTCTCTAAAATTAATGTCAAGGAAAAAAGGAAAAGTTGATCCCAAGTAAAATCCCTTGACCACAGCTGTCTGAAATTAGCCAGGGGAATGGGAGACACCACCAAGAACCTCAGCTCTTTCCTGCCCTGTATTTCAAGGGGAGTGTTGTGGCCTTCACAAATGAAAATTATGAATCACAAAGATAAACGTCCTCACTTCTAACCTGGTGAATCCTCAGGAATGTCATGAGGATGACAACACAGGGTTAATTCATTTTTTCTCAGTCTCCCCCCTGACTCCACAAAAGCTTTGCCTTCCCAACACAAGGGGCTGGGAGGTCCAGTCTAGACAGAGCATGCTGTTGGGGTAAACAGTAACCATGTGATCCCATGATTCCCAGAGCTCTGAGCACAAAGCTTTTCATCCCAGTGGCAACTGGAATGTGGGTAATTCTGTAAACTCATGGCCACACCTTTAATGCTTGGGGACAGTGGGTGGAGTCAGCCAGAGCTCTTTTCCAACTTCATCTAGGGTCTTCTCTCTGGAAAAGCTTAGTGACGTTCTCCGAAGGTTTATTTGGTTAAGGAGTATTGCTAAAACACTTTTTAAAAATCCACTTTGAACACATGTGTAAGCTGAAAAGAAAATGACATATATACCTCCATTGAAGCTGGGAAAGTGAAAAGGCTGATGAAATGTCTGAAATCCTGAGCCTTTCCTGGTTCTATTTTAATACAGCGTACAGGTAACAGATGATCTCATTTACCTTCTGAATGACCCAGCACTCAATTTCCCTAAAACTGCTCAGCTCCACTTGGAAATCACCAGGGGACTTGAGAATCTTCCCCTTAGACTCAGGGAGACACCCAGACCAGGAAGAAGGGCACTGATGTTTTCAGGGACCCAAAAGCCCACTTTTTTTTTTTTTTTTTTTTTTAGCAGCCTTTCCTGCTCCCACTTTAAAGATCCCTGATGGGCCATGCACCTCCAAGATGGGCAGGGGAGCTACACCCATTGTTACAAATAGGAGGCATCAGACTCTGTATTTAAAAACAGAACTGTGCAATGAGAATGCTTTAATCATCACCCACACAGACGAGCGGAAGCTACAGACAGAGAACCACTACGGATGGTGCCTGGAACAGAGGTGAGAATGGCCCAAAACTCTGCCTCCGGGAAAGGTGCCAAGTTTACAGGACTTATCGTGGTGCCCTCACCAGACCCCTCCTCCTCCTCCTCCTCCTCCTCCTCCTCCGTGGCCGCTGGCGGCTCCTGCATCTCCTCTGGGGAAGCCTGAGGCCGGCTCGGGTAACTTCTGCTGCCTGAGACAGTCACACGTGCTTGGGACCTCTCACCTGAGGTCTCTGGGTGCTGAACTGGAGTGGAGGTAGCTAGGCGTGGGAGAGAAATGTGGTCACCTGTGTCATCTTCTTCAAAGTCGTTAAGGCAGTACACTTCGTCCAGGTCAACATCCAGCGTCCGGAAGCCCTTGGTGACCACACCGGGCCGGGGGTCCAGGATGCCCCCAAGGTGAGGTTGGGCCAACTGCTGCCAGTGGTGAAGTGTGGCGGAACCTTGCAGGAGAAAGGGAAGGGAAGAAGGGGGACAAGGAGAAGAGAGGGTTAGGATGGAAGTCCAAGACAATGGCTGTTTACCACCCTCAAAGTGCTTAGCGTGAACCCCAGCAGGGTCTGGGCCTCCAGGTGGACTGCAGCGGGAACTTCAGTGGAGCCGCCTTAGCCCTTCCTGCCATGAAACAGAAGCCAAACCCTACCATGCTCAGAAGGAATAGCAAGTTAAGAAATCAACCATTTTTTTTTTAAAGTAAAATCCACACCATAGTATGTGCAAAAGAGGTTTGGGGCAAGGTCTTTATTTTAATCAACTGATGTCAACCCCAGAACTCAACATCTTCTCATTTTACAAAATGGAAGGGGGAAAATGGCAAGATAAGCACAAAAGCGGGGCCACATGTACGTATTCTATGCCAAATACACACTCCTGGGAACACGGAAGACATAAGCTCAGGCAGAATAAGATCATGTCAAACCAAGCCCACGACCAACAGCAAGAGAAAAGCAAAAAGAAATGAAAGCAGTACACAGAGATGTGTGGCAGATGTGGCCATCACCTCCTTTACTTAGGTTTTCTGTATTTTGCCAGCAACTTTGAGAGGCTGCCGGGTTAGGGAGAAGGAATTGGGTTAAAGAGGTGTGATTTAAGAACATAGTAAGTCCACACAGAGGTCTAAAGCAGGGGAGCCCATCTTCTCGATGACACCAAACCCCAGGACTCACATGACATCATGCAAGGTCTGTAATAACACTGGAGTGTGTCCCTGAAGACCTCAAGGTGTCACAAGTGTTCTACAAAGAGAAGTGTTCCTAGGCCAAGCATGCTCAGGAAACTTGAGTTAAGTGTTTTTACTGAGGGGCATCACAGAACCTTTAGTATGCTACGGTGTTCTTGCCAACTTACTTGACAGAGCAACCCATTTTACCCTTGGAACACTTATTAACACCTCACATGACACCATGCTAGTGCATGGCCCGTGAGGCTGGCAGGGCTAGCCCCATTCTACAGATTAAGAAGGCACCCAAATATGCATGGCCACACAAATAAATATTCCATGCTCAAAGGAGAGACTTCTGAAGAGGTTCTCGGGCACCGAAAGGCAGGAGGCTTCCTGCACAAATGGATGCTCGGGCAGTCACCACTGGTTTACCAAGGGTATACTTTCTGGGTAGGCAAGAAGCCCTCCAGGATACCAGGTTGCCCTGGGGAGCGAAGAAAAGGGAGTCAAAGATGCCAGGAGTCGGCAGCTCAGGAAGTCAAGACAAAAGAGAAGGGAACACAGGCAGGCCGAGGTGGGAGGCGGTGGGGTGAGGGAGAGGCCGCATGGTGTGCGCAGAGTCTGCCATTTCCAAACACCCCTTGGAAATAACTTCTCATGTGTCGATCTCAGCCAGGGAGGCTTGAAAGGGATTTATAAATGAACAATTTCAAATCCACTCAAAAGGAAAAAAAAGGTGCACACTGCCAATACATGTTTAAAGAGTTCCCAGACACCCACATCAAGGCTTATCCCAGTTTTAAGGGTTCACGGGTACAATAGCAACATACTTAATTTGGATCTATTAAATATAAATAGAAAATATTCTAAATTCAAGAAAAAAAGAAATAAGAATGACTATAACGAAAGAGGGTATCACATATCCGTTCTCTCACTAGGTGCTAAGATGCATCTAGAGCGGTGTTCTCAACTAGGGACAATTTTGCGCCCCGTACCCCACTCCCCCAGGGACATTTGGTAATGTCTGGAGACACGTTTGGTTGTCACAGCTGTGGACGAACGGCATCTGGTGCTAATGGCATCTAGGGGGTAAAAGCCAGAGATGCTGCCAAACATCCCACAATGTACAGGACAGCCCCCACAACAAAGAACAAACTGGTCCCAAATGTCAGCAGGGCTGGGATTGAGAAGCCTTTCTCTAGAGCTGTGGTTCTTAACTCTCAGATGTTTCGAGAATCTGAAGGAAGCTGTGGACCCACTTCCTAAAGGAAGTGTGCATGCTAGCAACACTGTGCAAACAACGCCGGGGCTTCGCAGACCTGCAGAGACCAGTTCGTGGGCTCCCGAGTCCCAGATGCCACAGCATCACTGTGATTTTTTAAATTAAGCTTCCCTATATTGAGGCAGGCCTGCATCGCAGTTTGTTTTACATGTATTATATCAGCTCACTCCTTGAAACCATCCTAGGAACTGAGTATGATTATATACTTTACAGATAGGGGAATGGTGGCTGCCTGAAGTTAGATAACTTTCCAAAGCCACTTAATTAGTGGTGGCATAGCCGGGGTTCAGAACTAACCCATTTGATGGGTTCACTGCCCACCCATCAAAACCCACAGGTCTGAGAACAAGAAGGACATCAGTGTCCCAGCTGCACAAATGGTCAGCAGCAGAATTTCCAGATGGGTGTCCAGGGCCTGCCAGGAGATATTCCTGCTGATAGGAGTTCTCTGCTGTCCCTGCGGACTCCCATTCACACTACCTAATGGGCCCCAGTACAAATGCTCACTGGCTGTGCAGGCACATTCCTGATAACAAAATAGCACCACGAGAAGTCTTAAAGTAGCCACTGTACTGCCATGTTCAGTTTGGGACTGTACACTGGAGTCTGAGAAGGATGATGAGAAAACCCCATGTACAATATGGCCACGTCACCTCTACTTTTGGAAGGGAAAAGGGGGGTATGCCAATAGACTCTGGGAAGTGAAGAACCCTGGTAAGGAAATGCCAACCTCCTCATCCTTCTGAAGGGGGTCTGAGATGTTTACAATTCACTGGGAAAGAACCCAGGGAGGCTGGAGGTCTGGGCCCTGACAAGAGTCTCATAGGCCTTTCTCCTCCAACTGTTCAACAGGCTGCCCCATCACTCCCTCTCCTCACCCGCTCCCAAGGATGGGCTGAAGAGAAAGAAATGAGGCTACAAAGGGTCTGCTGTTTGGAGTTAAGGATGCCACAGAAATGCATGGAATTACTTGCATTCTCTGACACTCCACAGCCAAGGAAATTTAGTGAAATTACAACTAAAACATTATGTGAAAAGACGCATCATGCTCAGATTTTTATCCCATGCCTTGGGATGTAAGAACACCCATGTAAGAACAGCCAACTTTTACTGGGCTTTTACTAAGCGCCAGACACTTTTCTGAGGTCTACATTTATAATTCACTTAATCTTCACGTTATCCCTGCTGTCTGCATTCTGCAGATGAGGAAACTTGAGTACGGGAAGGGAAAGTAACTTGCTAGAGGCTACAGAGCTGGCAAGTGGCTTGACTGATCTGGGACTGAAACCAAGGCTGGCTCCAGTGTCCATTCTCTTAACTCTCAGCAGTGACAGGCCTTACACATGAGAGCCTCCGAAACCTAGTCAATAACACAACTGAATGGCTTTCTAGATTCTCATGTGGGTGCTTTCTCAAACCTGACTGTGCTATTTCAGTTATGTCATGCTATGGGGCTCATGGACTATCTCCACTTCTGGCTGGTTCCAAAGTCCCAGCGGGGTTTGCCAAACCCATCAACTGGGCAGAACACCTCATGCTTCACCTCCCTGCTGCTGCCTAAACCATCATGTGGGAATTCTACCAATCCCCTGGCTGCCTGGAGTCCTTCCTTTGACATAAGAAGGTATAAGAATTAAAAAATAAATATGAATTGCATCTTATTCAGAGCCCAAGTTACCTCTTTCTTTCCATTTCTCCAGCTCATTCCCCAGCCTGGCTTCCTTTACTTGCCAAACACTGTAATATGAGCTACCTCCCATTACCAACTCAAGACCTGCTCACTCCTCCCACCCACATTAAAACCAGGCAGGAATTAGGCAAACAGGGCAAGGAAAGAGAGGAAACTTCATGTTCCTGGTTGGCCCCAAGATAAAGTTCTATGGGAAAAGGGCACGGACAGTGGGGAAAACATGACTATGGTCATTGCGTCCTTCCCCCTCTGCTTTCCTTCCATACCCCAGTGTTCCAGCTAAAACATTTTCAAGTCATCAAAGGAGAGGAAACCCCAAAATCCACTGATGTCAGAGGAGCATCAGGGCTTAGATACTAGAATGAAACCTGCTGGATAATGTACAGCTTTGAAGTGTATCCTTTCCCTTATTTACATATTATTTATTTGGAAATGCTACCTTGGTTATGATTAAGCAGAAAGGAAGTGCAAATTACAGGAAAAAAATACTGCCCGCCTTGGTCTTTTTAACACAGATATCTTTCTAGTTTGAATGGTTTGTTTGTTCTTCACCTGCTTAAAACTGGTAAGGTAAGATGAAGAGACAAGAAAGTGCTAGCACTCTTAAACACTTAGCTTTTTGGCTTTCACAATAAGCAGATGGCAAGATTAATTCAACAGGTAACGGAGCCAGATGGAAAACACTGATTGGCTATCTGCTATGATCTCAGCCAACAGTCTCTAGGGACCTCACCCCAGGTACATTTACCTGGGCTGCTGGTGATTATGGGAATCTTACTAGCTTCTCAGTGGGCCAATAGAAAAAGATAATTTAAGAACATGACCCTAGTGCTGGTCCAGATCTCAATACTAGTAACTCAGCCCTACAGACCTGGATTGGAGCAAGCTTGGGAAGCCAACATTTTAATAAGCACCTATTAGATGCCAGGTACAATATAAAATACTTCACATTTACTCCTCACCACAGTCTGGTCTGATGGCTATCAGCCTATTTCACAACCACAACTAAATAGGAAACAGGGCTCAAAAAGTGGGGTGATTTATCTAATGTCACAGTCAGAGCTGTACTGAACCTAGCCCAGGCTGACTTCTGTGTCAGCATCCCATCTTATCATATTAAACATGGTAACACAAAAAATAACTGTGGAGGGGAGGGAAAAAAGAAAATACTGGTTGTAACAGCTAAGAAGTCTGAGCCAGGTGTGGTGACTCATGCCTGTAATCCTAACACTTTGGGAGGCTGAGGTGGAAGGGTAACTTGAGGGCAATGGTTCAAGACCGGCCTAGGCAACATAGTAAGACCCTGTCTCTACAAATAAATAAATTAGCCAGGTGTGGTGGTGCAGTCCTGTAGTCCTAGCTACTTGGGAAGCTGAGGCGGGAGGATTGCTTGAGCCCAGGAATTCAGGCATGTAGTGAGCTATGATCACACTACTGTACTGCAGCCTGGGTGACACAGCGAGACCCTGTTTCAAAAACTAAATACATAAATAAACAGCTAAGAAGTCAGAGAACTACAAAATGGAATCAAAAGAATCTGTATCATGAGGTTGTGTTATAGGCCACTGTGATAAGACAAATAACTTTTTAATTGTATTGTTTTAGCCTCCTGGGTAGCAGAGCACTATAGATGAAATTCACCTTGCTAATCTAACAGGATTTCCTATTATCCTATTAACTAATCACAAAAATACTGCCAAGTCACAAAATTAAAAGACATAAAGATGAACTGGCTAAAACATGTGCTTTGAAAATAAATTCAAAAACATATTCTTAGATGATCTAATGAAACACAGAGTCAAATATAGAAAGCAGACAAGACAGAGATGATAAATTCCAATGATCTTTGAGTGACAAAGGAGAAAAAAGAAAAGTAAGGCAGAAAGTAAAATTGCAGAAATGAAAGATTTTATTGAAGAACACACACAATGTGGATCAGAAAACAATCACCAAGCTTACAACTAAATAAACAATTAAAAAAGAGTAAGCTATACCTTTTCTGAACTCTAAGAAAGACCCCAATTATACAATTTTAAAATAATAATAAAAACAAACTAGCCCACCCTCTTCCTTTGGAGACTGTGGAACCCAGTCATGTCTTGGGTCTTTAACAAGCACAACCTTACCTTATAGCATGCAGTCTCACAGGGGCAATATTGCTCCCAAGAAGCAAAAACAGGTTCTTTTGAGGTAAACATAATTGGATTCTTTTTAATTTTAATACCACAGATGTATTGCTTATGTATTGTTTATGTATATACATATAGTACATAAACAATATATATGTGGTATTAAAATGTCTTTGGGGGGTGATTAGGAAAAAACGTCTAAGAAGGCTCCTTAGAGGGGACAATAATTTTTTTAAAGTTGGGAAAGTTCTGCCTTACAGAAGTTCTGATTTGGCTTTGCATCGTAAGTGTAACACAGAGTTTTAAAACACCTTCTCAAACGTATATGGCTTTCCAAACTAAAGGAGTAAAAAATGAAAAATATAAGCACTTGGTGGCTCTTGGCAGAGTAGCAGCAGGTAGAGGGAAAACATTTTATAAGTGCCTAAATTAAAAAAAAAAAAAAAAAAAAAGAGGCAGGAGGGCAAGAGGGAGAGAGGGAAGGAGGAAGTTTTTCCCATGAGTTTAATCATCTGAGATGCCCCTGATACTAACACATGAACTGACCCTGAAAAAGGGTGGCTTACGGAGGTACAAAACTCACTTGTCTCCACAGCCACCCCTTCCTGGACTCCAAATTGTAGACTCTAGGAGCCGCGCTCAGAACATACTGCATCTGCCAAAAGCCACAACCTTGCTATATGAAGTTCAAATCAGAACACATAAGCCCACAAATCACATTCAGGTGGTTATGGGGAAAAAAAAATCCCCATTTAATAGAGTTTGCTTGGAACCTCTCCCCGACACCAAAACTGCAGAAAAGCTAAAGCATTAATTTTCTGCATTCCTCACACCCACAGGCAAAACCTAATTAATTTTTGAATCAGTTAGCAGTGCCTCTACCGCCACAAAAGTTTTTATTTCTAAGGTTCTAAAGGCAAAGGAAAGAACTAGAAGACCACAGTGCACATGCTTGTCTTTCCTCGGCGAGTTTCATGGCCTATGTGTGCATTGTCACACCTGCCAGCCAGAGGGGAGGGACGGAGGCCTAGGCTGAGCACCACCCTCAGAGGAACTCAAACCAGCAGCGCGGGTGGCTGTCGCGGAAGAAAAAGGAGTAGGCGTGACAGAGGTGCCCCGCCTTCCGCAGGTGGATCAGGGACCAAAGGGAGTCCCCCAGGAGGACAGAGAGGGGCCGAGGCCCCGCGTGATCACCTTCCAGCGGCTTCACGATCTGGAGCTTCTCAGGCAGGTAGGAGCGGCTGCTGAAGGACATGCCAGAGAAGCCGGTGAACTCGGAGAAGCGGGAGTGCGTGCCCAGGGACATGATGCTCTCAGTGGGTGTGAGGGAGCCGCTGCGCAGCTCGCCCTTCTCCGCCAGCTCCTGGAGCTTCCTCTCTTGCTCCTCCTCAAAGAACCTCCTCTCCGAGAGGTAGTTCTCCCGGCGCAGGGACAGCCGCCTCAGCGCCGTCTCCAGGTCGTGGGAGCCTGGGGTGCCCGGCGTCCCCGGCTTCTTACTCCGCTCATCGTTTCTGGAAGAAGAAAGGGGTGTGAGGGTGGAATGCCAGCAGGGCTCCAAGGCCACAGAGGCCCGACTGCTCAATGCACAGCGGTGGACGTTCCCTGGGGCTACAGGATTCTCCATGGGAACCAAGGCAAGCAGTTGACATTTAGGCAACAGGGGGAAATAAATTCGTGTCCAGAACCACTCCCGCCAGGGGTCTTTTTTAGTGGGGTTGAGGTGGGGTGAGGACTAAGGTGGGATGAATATCTG
This sequence comes from Homo sapiens, assembly GCF_000001405.40. Taxonomy (NCBI): domain Eukaryota; kingdom Metazoa; phylum Chordata; class Mammalia; order Primates; family Hominidae; genus Homo; species Homo sapiens. Next base: position 42,202,193 of record NC_000003.12, on the reverse strand, counting down.
CACACAGACTAAGTAAATTCAGTCCCTGTAAACATCTCCCTGAAGAACCTTTAGGAAGAAACCTGTAGGTTGCTGTTCCTGGCTACCAGAAGGATAATGGGGTTAAGGCATGTTTCTCTCTTCTCTTGAAGGAAAAGAGCCCAGACCCCAACTCTGAACAAAACCTGCTCTGATCAAGGAGCTTCCTGTCTGTCTGTTCCAACTGGTCCGGAAGAATCAATTTTATTAAGTCAGAGGAAAAGGATGCACAAAGTAGACAATGGTGTGTGTGTGTGTGTGTGTGTGTGTGTGTGTGTGTGTGTGTGTGTGTCCGTCTGTCCGTCCGTCCGTCCGTCCGTCCAGGTTCTGCAGGGCTTCAGGACAAAGAGGAACTGACCATTCCTGAGGAAAGCCCAGTCCTGGGCACCTTGGCCCCCCTGCACCCCACCCTCTGAACCTTGTGACCACATTCTGGTCACAAGACAGACAGCCTGAGTCCTCCTCAGCCTTTCCAACATCAAGCTACAAAACGGTCACAAAACAAATGTCTATTCTGTAGCCTTACCGTGAAGATTAACAAAAAAAAAAATATTCATTAATCCTTCCCCCAAGCATTTCACAGGAAAGCAGACTTTCTGGTATCATCTTGTTATACATCTTTAAGCTGATTAAAATATCATATCAAGGATAGGCATAGGCTCAAGTGGGTAAGCAGAACAGATTTGGAGAACTGTAAGGTCCGCTTTTTTTTTTTGAGACAGAGTCTCACTCTGTCACCCAGACAGGAGTGCAGTGGTGCAATTATCAGCTTGCTGCAACCTCCACCTCCCGGGTTCAAGCGATTCTCCTGCCTCAGCCTCCTGAGTAGCTGAGATTACAGGTGCATGCCACCATGCCCAGCTAATTTTTTGTATGTTTAGTAGACATGGGATTTTGCAATGTTGCCCAGGCTGGTCTCAAACTCCTGAGCTCAGGCAATCCTCCCGCCTCGGTCTCCGAAAGTGCTAGGATTATAGGCGCGAGCCACCACGCCCGGCCAGGTCTGTATTTTTCAGGTGACTCTCATCTACCTCCCTCTTAATAATTACTGAGCCTGCAGACAATCCATACTACCACTCCTCACCCCAAAACAGAGAAGTGAAAACTCCCAGCTTGCTCACCCCAGGTCGGCTGCCTCTGTTTCCAGAATGATGCTGTTGGTCTTGTTGTCGAGGACGACGTTGCCTATGTCGCTGCCGTAGAAGCTGGACCGGGGGGTGCTGACGCAGCTGGACAGGAGGGAGTTCATGGCCGAGGACTGGTTGGAGCCGGGGATGTTCATGGGAGAAGGGGTCAGAGATCTCTGCTTGACAACCTGGTTGATGTTTCTTACTGTCTCAAAGACACGCTTCTGGTGACTAGGGAGAATGCACGGCATCCGTGAGTGAGCAAATGCGGGCACAACCCTGGAGTTTAACCCTCCAAAAATGATCAACTGAGCCAAAAGGGCACCTGGCCTATGACGAGTCCCCCAGCAGCCTGCTATCCTGTGCCTGCCACCTGTTTCTTAGGGTATTGGCTGCCTCCTTCACAATGCGAAATTTGAGAGATTCAACACCCACTAAACCCAGGACTCGAACGCATGGTTGTATCCTAAAGGTGATGCCAGCAAGAGTGAAATTGTGTTTCACATCCCTAAAGCTTAACCCACAAATAAAAATACTTAAGTATGACTTTTGTCTCCTAGATTTCTTTTTTCATAATATTCACTAGAATAAACGCTGCAGCAGGGCAGTGTTTACTGCTCAGCGCAGCAGAAATCAATCAATACTTGTAGAATGGATATTTGTTGAACATTCATATAAAAAAAGGAAGACTTCAAGTTAGTCTTTCACTTCTATAATAAGATGATAAATACTAGATTTGTCTAATTTTGGAAAGTGTTATTTTAGGAGCAGAACCACTTTGATGCTCATTTGTTCCCTTTTAAAGAGAAAAGGGTAGGCATGTTTTTACAATGGCCACTTCCTTCTGGGCTGCAGAGGGTGTCACACATATACCAAACCTCACTTGGACACTTGCCACTCCCAGGATCTCATTTAAGTTCTGTCTATGGAGTCTGAGTACACAGAAAACACAATGAAACCTGGTCCACATGTTCCTTACAAACACCTTGGGGCAGGTTAAGTACAAGAGTTGAGGTAGGAAGACAGATGGTAGAAGCTCATATCCCTAGGTGTATTCAGATGGAGATGGAAGCCTTGCACAAAATCTTTGAAGACCCCTCTGAATCTCACACTACGTTGATTTTAAATTTTTTAAATGTTTTCCACTGAAAGGAAAGATAAAAACGTGTAGCTATATCAAGACAAAGCTTGTGTTAAGAGAGATGGGAAAGACATCTCTCCTTTTCTAGGACTTTCTGGAAGTTCACAATTTGTCTTTAAAACCTAAGAAGAAGAGGAGCACAGTGGCTCACAGGCCAGTGGTGGCTCACGCCTGTAATCCCAACACTTTGGGAAGGCCAAGGCAGGACGATCACTTGAAGCCAGGAGTTTGAGATCAGCCTGAGCAACATGGTGAAGCCCTATGTCTACAAAAGATTTTTTTAAATTAGCTGGAAATGGTGGCATGCGCCTGTAGTCCTAGCTACTCAAGAGGCTGAGGCAGCAGTATTACTTGAGCCTAGGAGTTCGAGGCTGCAGTGAGCTATGATCACACCACTGCACTCTGGCGTGCCCAATAAAGTGAGACACCCCATCTCTAAAAAATAAATAAATAAAAATTAACACTAACAAAAGATAATAAGAGGAGCTGAGGGATGCTGTCAGCTGTGTTCTATTATTTCCCTTAATCTGGACTGGGAAGGACAATAGTCAATCACTGTCGGTACCCAGAGCCTCAACATTGCTAGGTTTTGAACACTGCACTGGTCCAAGTTGGTCTCTGGGAATCTCAAAACTGTAAAAACTGTGGCCGTACGTGATGTCTGGAGACTCGGCCTCTTCCAACTGCAGCTCCTTGCGCATCGTTCCCTCAATCTCTGCTGCCAAGGAATCCTGGGAAAAGCCAGAAAGACAAATGTCAAGTGAGCGCCAATTCAAATGCTCTGTCTCTAAAAGAGGTATGCACCCAGGTGGGCCATGGAGAGTAAACCAAGGCATCAGAAGCTCACGGTCTTCCCACAACACAAACTTAACAGCACTCTCTGTTGTCAGAGACCCTGGCTGAGCAGTTTCCCAGGCAGGTTCTGAGTGTGGCAGTGCCACTGGGCACTGAGTGTAAAGCTGCTGACTCATATGCCATTAGGTGTCTAAAAGCAAACCCTATGCTCCGTTGGCCAAACCATGGAGCTGTAACCATGGCTACGAGATGGGATGCAGAACTTATGAGGGAGGGGTGATGTGTTCAGAATGATGGAGACAGGTGAATTTCCAAATACCTCTGAGCTTACAGTGAGATATGGCAACAGAGCCCATACAAGCCACACAAAGCTATTGTCCCCCTAGTCTACAGGGTCTGTCACACCCCCTCTGTGTCTAAGATTCTGACACCAAGAATAGACCAAGGGCCTCCAACTTCGGCTCCTGGGGAAGCCTTTCCCACCTCCAAAGGGCACTCTGGTTCTGTGCTAGTGAGAGGGTCTCTACAGACGTGACGTGAGTCACACGCACTGCCATCTCTAGGTCCCTGCTCTCATCCTCCCTGGCCTCCTGCAAGGGAAGTTCCTCTCACCGCCAACTATCCATGGCCCACCCACCTTTAAACAACCTGCCCAGGAAATGTAGGATTCCTGTTTCCACTAGGAATCTCACATTTTTTTCTGAAGCAGACACCAAACACAGTAAGTCTTTGCCACTCTTCTCAACAGCTCACATGTTTCTCTCTCCAGCTTTGTGGGTCAGGGGAAGGCTAGTCACTGATGGCTTCTCACTTCACCAATGGGCCAGGCCTCAAGCTGAGACTCAACATTAAAGGCTGCCAGATGGATGTCCCCTCTCCTGTACCACCCATCACTCAGCACTGTAGGAGGTGGAGCCTAACACACAATCCTTTACACATGGTAGATACCCACAGGACCAAGTGTGTGCAGAAAAGCACCAGTTCAGCACCAGAGGAGGATATCCATGGAGGATAACCTGAAGGGAAAGGCTAAATTCATGTTAAACAACAGAACAACCTGTGATGATGGACGCATCCTCTGTGCTGGGACATATGTACATGTGGAAACCACCAGCCAGGGGTGGCTAGTGAGCACAAGAAATGTGGCTTGTGACTGAGGACCTGAATTCGTAATTATATTTTAACTTAATTGATTTAAATTTGCACAGCCACATGTGGCCAGTGGCTTCCCAGCAGATACCGCCTGGGGACTCCAGGGCATCCACCTCAGCAGCTTCATGGTCCATGCGGATGCTCCGGTCTGGAGGCTGGAACCAAGCGGGGAGACTCCACAGGAGTCAGCAGGAAGTGAGATGAATAAAGGGCTAGCAGGCTTTTTTCAGTCCTTGTTCACAAATATGCATTTTATTTTGTAATTATTACCCACAGATTGCCATTAAACGTTATGTCCAGTAAGGACTTCCCTAGGTGAGTCTGACATCTTTTAAGCCAGCTTATTTTTTAATACTGTTATTCACCACATAATTTACAAATAGAGAAGAAAGGACCTTCATACACCTTAAGAAAAATGAAGTGTCAAATTACTACAGTCAGCCCTCCGTATCTGTGGGTTCCACTTCTTCAGATTCAACTAATCTTAGATAGAAAATTTGGGGGGAAAAAAAACAAAAAATAATACAAATTTAAAAATCGGTACAGTATAACAACTCCTTACATGGCATTTACATTGTATGAGGTATTACCAGCAATCTAGAGATGATCTTTTTGTATGTGGAAGGGCATGCATAGGTTATAAGCAAACACTATGCCCTTTTATATCAGAGACTTAGGCATTGAAGGATTTGGTATCTGCAGGGGGTCCTGGAACCAATCCCCCTCAGATACTCAGGGATGACTGTAATTTCAAAGCCATACTGAGAAAAAGTCACATGCAGGCTCTGTGACTTGTTTTTGGCCATGACCCTCTCCCCTCTGGCAATCCAGGCAAGTCTGTGGACTCCTTCCTGGAATAATATTTTTAGGCAAATAAAATTATGATTATAAAAGAAGGCAGATATGTATCAATATAACAACGTGTGTGTGTGTGTGTGTGTGTGTGTGTGTGTGTGTGAGAGAGAGAGAGAGAGAGAAAGAGAAAGAGAGAGAGAGAGAGAGAGGAGAAAGGAGAGAGAAATTAGTTCAGGACTGGTTACTGCTGTCATTTTGAAGTGGAGATCAGCATCTGTGGTGTTGTGAGGCAGCTGTAACAACTGAAATGTGCCATAGGGCCAGGCGCGGCGGCTCATGCCTGTAATCCTAGCACTTTGGGAGGCCGAGACGGGTGGATCACCTGAGGTAAGGAATTCGAGACCAGCTTGGCCAACATGGTGAAACCCCATCTCTACTAAAAATACAAAAAAAAAAAAAAATTAGCCGGGCGTGGTGGCACATGCCTGTAGTCCCAGCTACTTGGGAGGTTGAGGCAGGAGAATCGCTTGAACTCAGGAGAGGGAGGTTGCAGTGAGCCAAGATCGCACCACTGCACTCCAGCCTGGATGACAGAGCAAGACTCCGTCTCAAAAAAAAAAAAAAAAGAAGAAGAGAAAAAGAAATGTGCCATAAAAATACCTGTGATTTCTAATGATGACAAAGTCACAAGCAGTGCTAATATCACTGTGACCTGGTGACCTTCATACAGGAAGGAAATATTGAGTACAATTAGGAACTAATTTCACAGGCCCCCCCCAAATTTCGTCTGTGGATCCCAGATGAACTCCTGCCATTGGGCAAGAGAATTGGGAACATAGTTGTGCAAAAACTGCTACTCACTGTTTTATTCAGCGATTAGAATGGCTAGGAGCAAAAGAGGCAGATCTGGGCGTTCTGCATGATGCAATCTTTAGACTGCTTTAAATACCTTTAATGCATAATACACTTTAAAAATAGCCATCTTCAAAAACTGGGCTGTGCCAAGAGCTACAGAAAAAGGCAAACAAAAACTTTACCTCAGCAAATATGAAAGCTGAGAATCCCTCAAAAAGAAACTGAAATGCAAATTTCAATTCGACTTTTCTCACACAATAGTTCAGTTTTCAAAGAGAGGTCTGCCCTTGAGAGTGGGGAAGGCAGTGGAGTGGATCCTGGGTGCCCAGGAAACAAGACAGCGCCAGGAGCTCACTGCACCAAGATGACAAGCCAGGAAGGAGGGAACCCAGGTAAGGAGCCTGCAAAGCTACACAGGCCAGCGTGTGAGCCAAGTGTGGTTAGCGCTAGATCAGGGAACTTGGGGGACTGAATATTCTTTGCTGCTTTTACTGAGATTCCTGGAATCACTGGATCACCCATCTGTGCCCTAGAAAGCTGACTATGTTATATGTCTTTCTTTTTGTTTCCCTCAGATTTCAGTGAAGCTTCTTGAGGCGGAGAGGGGGTGGTGGCTATTCTAGCCTGACTTCCTGACTTTGATGCATGGGAGCAAAGAAGAAAAGAAATCACGATTTAGGGAAGGTGGGCCAGACAACAAGGAGTGGGGGATGGGGATAGTATCTGCTGGGGGTCAGCAATGGGGGCTGAAGGGAAAGAGCTCCAAGGAAAAGGCCAATTTCAGAAGGGACAGAATCTCACGAGCATTTACGCAGCCATCCGCTCCTATCTCACTTGGGGGAGTTTCTCTCAAAAGCTCTTCTCTCCTCAGAGAGCATTTAGCATTTCATCAAACCATGGAAATAGAGCTGGAATACACAGGAGTTCTTGAGTTTGCTCTTTAGGCCATCTGTCTATCTGTCCAACTATCCGTCTAAACGTAATGTCTATTAAATGTCTACAATGCATCATGTCAGTGCTCAGGAAGTTTTGGATTGTGAAGCATTCTGGATTAGAGATGCTCAACCTGTATGAGTCAGATCTTCCAAATACCTCAGGTTCCCACTAAAGCAAGTTCCTACTAAATTTATCTTTTAATGGCAGGAGTAGAAAAGACCACAGATTTAGAGGAACAGAAAATAACCAATTTGTCTTATGTAGTTAAGAAACCACCAGTCAGATTCAAGTGTCCTTGATTCAGACTCAGATCTGAACTGTACAACGAGAAGCGAACTGTGAACACCCAACTCCAGTGGCCAGAATGTCAGACACTGTGCTCCTGTCACCAGAACCCCTCCTGTCCTCTGGCTGGGAAGAAAGCACAGCTCACCATGGGAAACAGGCCCAGTGAGTGGTAGCGCCGAGACGTGGTATTGGGCATGGTTTTGTTCCGGAGGTTCTTCAGCTCCTCCTGCGCCTCATGCAGCATCTCCATGCACTCTGCGTACTTGTCCTCCAGCTCACGCAGCTGCAGGCAGGAAAGACACAGAGGGTCAGGATCTCCTGAGCACCCAGGTGTACACACATCTGCCCATCCGAAGGCCAGAAAGACACAGCAATCTAAGAGTCCCCAGCACGTGTGGAACCAGCTGCCCTGTGCGCCTGTGGCCAAATAACAGAATTTTCAAAGGCTTGCTTTTTCTTTGACTTGAGGCAAGCTTACAGACTCAGAAATCTTCTAAAATACCAACAATGGGCAAATGAAACAAAACCAACTTCATGCAAAAGAAAAATCAGGCTAGGAATGATGGCTTACAGCTGTAATCTCAGCACTTTGGGAGGGCAAGGCAGGCAGTTTGCTTGGGCACAGAAGCTGAGACCAGCCTGGGCGACATGGGAAAACCTCATCTTTCAAAAAAAAAAAAGCAAAAATTAGGTGGGTGTGGTAGCCCACACCTGTAGTCCCAGATACTCAGGAGGATCACCTGAGCCTGGAGAGGTCGAGGCTGCGGTGAGCCATGCTCATGCCACTGTACTCCAGCCTGGGTGACAGAATGAGACCCCATCTCAAAAAGAGAAAAAGAGAGAAAGAAAAAGAAAATCGTCACACCCATGTTTCAAGCCACACCTGTGAGATTCCTCTCCCAGAGTGCTCTGTGTTGTATTGTTTCATTTCTTTGAACATTTTTTGGACACCTGCACGTGCCAGGCTCAGCTGGTGTAGAGCCCTGCCACACAGGTGCCCATAACCAGTAACAGTGTCAGTGGGCACAGAACCAAGGTGCAACTGGGTTTACTCTCCCACGAATAAAAATGAAATGAAATTCAAAATAAAAACAGTAGTTGCGATGGACGTGACTAAAGCTGTCCGGGAAGGCTAATCCACCTTGGCTGCAATCAGAGGCACTGAAGGAATGAGGGAGAGGTGCTCACCTCGGCTGTGAGCTGCCGCTGGGCATCCTTAGCAGCCCCCAGATGCTGGACAAGTTCTTCATTTTCCACTGCGCACTAAAGCATGGCAAAGATAGATCACTTCCTAAGATACTTGGTAAAAGTCCAACTTTTTCCCTCTTATTAACCTAATCTGTAATGAACTCATCACTTTCTACAAGGACATGCTCATCTTATACTCAAATTCTGCTTTTTATATTATTTTGAAGGTAAAGTCTTTCCTATATCCACATTCATTCTCTATAGCCCACCGCCCCACCCCCATCTTCCAAAGCTCTCTGGAAGCATTTTACCCCACACTAATAGCAAAGTCCATTTTGCTGCCTCTTCTTAAATCTGAAGAGGATACTGCTCTACTGCAGCACATATCTAGTGCACTGTGTAAAAACAAATACTAGACTAGATGATCCATAAGTTAAACTGCAAAAGTCCATATTTACAACATCTTTTTAATGAATTCAATATAATTTTAGGAGATAAGAGGTCACAAATAAGACTCGTCACCAATTCAGGTAATCAGTTTTATACTACTGAGTCCACTAAGCTTTTTCTGCAAAGCGGCAACACGAACTGCTAAGATATGAAACTAAAGAGCACTGTCTTCTGGAGTAAATGTCCCTTCCCCGTCTCAGCATGGCCATTGTTGTATCAGCCAGATAAACAGAGAAGCCTTACAGCTTTTGCCTTTTTCTGCAAATCAACTATTTGCGATAGCAGGTGTGTGATCTCCTCTTGCTGGCGGGCAGCATCTTCCGTCTTCTTGGCCAGTTCCTCTGAGATACTAGCAATCTGGACATTGGCATCCCCTTTGACAAAGAAGCAACAATCAGGAGAGGAAGTCAGAAAACCACACATGCAGACCCAGAGAGAATGGTTTCTTTGTGGTTTGCACAAGAAAAACCATCCTTACTAAAAGACAGGGTAGAGTGGGGAGGGTGCAGGAAGGAACTCATAATGACCATTTTCCCACATGGAGAAGCAAAGCAGCTTCTTCAGGGCTCAATCAGTTATGAAAAAGAATCTCACCCCATTAGATAGCACTCCTGAGCTCAGTGTAGGGTCCCAAGCCCACCAACCAAGGCTGTCTCCCCAGAACAAATCAGGAAGGCTCCAGTGGTCAGATAGAAAGTGACAAACAAAACATGAGTGCATCTAGCCACATCCTCACATTCCACACAAGAGAACCCATGTGACTAAACAGGAATCCCCTGCTGCACCCAGTTCTAAAAAGGAACTACTGACTGCACAGTGCAATTTCCTTGGAGTTTTCAACCCATATTCAGAGTCATAACTCACTTGACTAGATTTGAACATGAGGTGTGTTTCATCATTATTTTGCTGAAATGCAAAATACTTAGTACTTTGACGAAATGCAAAATAGTACTTTGACGAAATGCAAAATACTTAGTACTTTGACGAAATGCAAAATACTTAGTACTTTGACGAAATGCAAAATACTTAGTACTTTGACGAAATGCAATATACTTAGTATTTTGACCTTTGGTCTTAACTTGTAAACTTAAAATGAAGAGGAGGAGAGAAATATTTATTTGCAAAGGTGAGAACCCTGGCTTCAGCTTCCACAAATCAAATTACTGGTAGTAAGCTGTTCTGCCACATTTTCAACACAGTTTTCTGTAGCTGGGCCTAACTTAGGCATTAAAAAATTCCAATATTCTGGCCAGGGGTGGTGGCTCACGCCTGTAATCCCAGCACTTTGGGAGGCCAAGGCAGGTGGATCACCTGAGGTCAGGAGTTCAAGACCAGCCTGGCCAACATGGTGAAACCTTGCCTCTACAAAAATACAAAAAAATAGCCAGGCATGATGGTGGGTGCCTGTAATCCTAGCTACTTGAGAGGCTAAGCTGGCAGAATCACTTGAACCCGGGAGGCAGAGGTTGCAGTGAGCCGAGATCGCAACTACTGTACTCTAGCCTGGGTGACAGAGTGAGACTCTGTCTCAAAAAAAAAAAAAAAAAAAAAAATTCCAATATTCCAGTATAAAGCCAAAATTAAATTTAAATATCCACCTCAGTGATAAACTGAGATAATACATAGCTGGCAACTTAGCACTAAATAATAGAGAGGGGGTGCCACACAAGGTTGGGGAGGCCTCTAGTTTTAAGAAAAATGCTGCTGAGCCGTAGGCTGGCAGGAGACTGCACTTTAGCAAGGCTGACGCAAATCTGTCTAATCATGACAGCAGATGCAAGGAAGTAAGAAGACAGCAGTGCGGGGACATACTCAGCTCCTTCACGCAGTCATTGACCAGCTGCTGCTCCTTCTCCTCATAGGTGATGGTCTCTGTCTTCAGCTGGCTGGCCTGTAGACAAGACCCAGGTCAGAGGCCCCACATTCTCACCTGGCCTGGTGGTGCAGGCAAGGGCTGAGGCATAAAGCAAAGGCTAACTGGGGTCTGGGAAGCTGCCCTTAGCATTCCCCCACCTGTCACCCATCGTACCCTCAAATACAGAAAGTCCATCTGAATTCCCAGCTTAATAATGGATGTGCACTCAAAGCTGAAAACCTGAAAAACGCATACCACTAGAGGGCGCCACACACAGCTACGGGCACAGGTGCTCTACAGCTTGCTCTGTTAAAAACACCACGAACACCACCATCCTATCATTGTATCTGTTATTTGTGGCTGTCCTGGCTCATAAATATGGATGCTCTGTGACCCGCACAGTGCCTAGGACACTACCCACAGCAGGCATCCTAAGGATAACCACACAGGAATGGCTAACACTTACTATGTGCCAGGCACTGAACATATGAGGTCCCAAGTTGGAGTTAAACCTGCTGTGTTCAAGCTTAGTAAGAACAAGGTCCAACACAAAAGCATTAAAATGCAGAGGCACAAGAGCCACCCCAGGACTCTGGACAACTTGCCCTGGCTGAAAAGGGTGGGATGATAGAGATCTGAAGGCCCAAAGAAGAAGCCCCGAGACCAGGCGCAGTGGCTCACACCTATAATCCCAGCACTTTGGGAGGCCGAGATGGGAGGGCTGCTTGAGCCAAGATCACGCCACTGTACTCCAGCGTGGGTGACAGAGCAAGACTCCCATGGAGGGAGGGAGGGAGGAAGGGAGAGAGGGAGGGAGGGAGGAGAGAAAGAGGGAGAGAAAGAGGCAAAGCAAGCAAGCAAGCAAGAGCCCCAGTTAGACAGAAGTGTCTCTGAGCCCTCAGTCCTGGCCCCAGAAAATCATTACACTTCAGAAAATGGATGTGGGGTAGCAGGAATCTGTAGCTGGGATCAGATTCCCTCAGCTAGCTTTGGGTGAGTTGCTGGGCGCCCGGGGCTGGAGCATTTACCTGGGGCAGGTGCTGGAAGAGGTAGCACTGAACTCAGAATAGGGAGCACAGGGCTGTTGCCTTGCCCAGCAACTGGCTGGCAGAGGAAACCTAGGCAGACTTCTTGGTCAATCTGGGTTTACATGACCCATCAGTGAACAAGGTGCTGGAAGAGGTGAGGTCTAACAGAACAAGATGTGCAGAAGAGCATCTTGTTCAGACGGGACATGAAGATCTTACCAAGGTGTGGGCAAGTTCAAGTTGACAGATGGTCTGCACTATTAAGGGGCTCTCAAGAACCCAGGGCCAGCCTAGGTGGGCACACAGCTCCAACCTGACACACAGGGGCCTGATAAACAGGGCCGTACTGTACCACACCATACCTCGGCTAGAGAACAGAAACTCACCACTAATTAAGACAAACAGTACTAAATTTGCACCTATCGGTGTTTCTAGAGAGGGGCAGTGGGTGAAGGTGAAAAACAAGGGGCTTAGAGTCACAGACTTGCAAATCCTAGCTTTGTCATTTACTCACTCAAATGACCTCGGGTTATCAAAACACCTAGCAGCCTGGGGCCCACCGTTCCAATGAGAATCAAAGTAACGAGCTTTCAGCCCTGCTGTGAACTCTAAAAAAAAAATGTGGGCAAAATGCCTGGCACACTGCCTTGCCAATAAAACAAACTCAAAAGCATGAGTCCCCAAGTTGCCTCAGCTCAACCTTTTTGAGTTAATTGTTTAAGAAATATATGACTCTGCCAGGCACGGTGGCTCACGCCTGTAACCCCAGCACTTTGGGAGGCCGAGGCAGGTGGATCACCTGAGGTCAGGAGTTCAAGACCAGCCTGACCAGTATGGTGAAACCTCGTCTCTACTAAAAATACAAAAATTAGCTGGGCATGGTGGCATGCGTCTGTAGTCCCAGCTACTCAGGAGGCTAAGACAGGAGAATAGCTTGAACCTGGGAGGCGAAGGTTGCAGAGCCAAGATCGCACCACTGCACTCCAGCCTGGGTGACATAGCGAGACTCCATCTCAAAAAAAAAGAAAAAAAGAAAAAGAAATATGGCTCTCTCTGAGCACCCATGGACTACTTCCTTGAGCATCTGATCTGTGGCAGCATGAAAACAAGGCTGGGTTTCTCCACAGGTGCTGTGGTCAGAGCTGGAGAACACCATGGGAGACCTCACTGCAGGAGTGACTGTGAAGGAGGGGCCCTCCAACTCTTCCCAGTCCACACACCATGTCATTCACCAGGTTTGCCTGCCCCAGCCAGGGAGGCATGTGTTGGGCTGGAAGGCAGTGCCCAGAGCATAGAGGAGGCACATCTGCCGAGCGCCTGGTACAGCTCTTCACAGACTGCCAGCTTTGAGGAGGGCACTTAACCATGGTTGTCCTTGCCAGATAAGGCGAATGGGGCCACCACCCTTCTAGCAGGGGCAAGAGAAGGGAGGGCACATCACCTCGGATCGAAGTACAACATTCTCCTCTTCAAGGTCTTTCAGCTTCTTTTGAAGAGAATCCAAATGAAAGTAATTCTGGACTGAGGAGGACGACTCATTCCTCTTCAACCTGGGGGAGAAAGTACGCTCACAACCTAGGGAGACGCATTTCCTCCCACCACCTGGCAAACCATGTGGAGACACAAAGAAGGGCTTGCAGGAAGGACAATGACCCACCAGACGGCTCTCCCAACCCCAGGAAGACAGCGCCCCCAGTGCACAGGCTCACCACCAATTCTGAACCCACATCTCAACCCTTTATCCACAACTTGCCACATCACCTTAGAATTCAGGGGACCAACTCTGTTTAAAGCCTACACAATTCCAGGATGTCTGGGAGTTTATTTAATACTCACAATGCATTTGTAAGTACTCTGTATGTTTTAACTCAATTAATGCTTATAACTCTGTGACCTAAGTTCTACTGTTATCTCCATTTTACAAATGACAAAACAAGTACAGAGGTTAAGTAACCTAGCCAACAGCATGCAGCTAGTAAGTCCCAGAGCCAAGATCTGCAACCAGCCCACTGGGCTCTGGAGTTCATGCTCCCAACATGAGGATCTGCTGACTCTCAGAGAAGACACCACGCCTTCTGTCCCAAGGACCTGCCACAGCACCTCTGGCTCCAGAACCCTGAATACTCTCCAACAGCAGAGCCTAACCCATTATCCATTAATGTGCCAGGGCAAATCAATCTAAATTGACAAATAAGCAATAAGACCCAGGAAAAGGAAAACTAAAAACCTGTCCATCCATATCCCGCTAAAATAGTAAAATCAATCTGTTTGAGGCACTTGGAGGTGTTTGGTCCAGAGAAGGCTGAGAGCAGCTGACCTCCATTGCTGCTGAAGGTGACCCTGTCTAGGTGACTCCAAGGACATCAACAGCGGCCAGCCTGTGCTCTGGCCTCCAGAAATACAGCCCTCTGGTGACTTACGGGGTTGAGCAAACGGACTCGGGCTCACTCTCCTCCGCAGCGCTGGTGTAGAACTGAAGCAGCTCATCCTTCATGGACAGCTCATGCCGGAGCTGAGACACCTGCACAAGCAGAGCAGGCCCATCATTTGCTTCCCAAAAGGTGATACTGTCCCCCCCGACTCACATTCCAACACTTAACACTTAGGGACAATATTTTTCTGAAAATTCACCATTGAAAGTGAAAGCATTTAAACTGATTTTGTGCTATTCAAAAAAAGAGGCTTTCATTTAATCTATTTAAAAGAAACACAATTACTTTTTGGTAGAAAGCTGTCTAAATTCATAATTTTTACTTTGGTACAGGGAGGAGCAGAGAGGGGACTAGAATGATGCTTGGGGGCCGGGCACGGTGGCTGGCACCTGTAAACCCAGCATTTTGGGAGGCCGAGGCAGGCAGATCATCTGAAGTCAGGAGTTCGAGACCAGCCTGACCAACATGGTGAAACCCCGTCTCTACTAAAAATAAAAAATTAGCGAAGAGTGGTGGCATGTGCCTGTAATCCCAGCTACTCGGGAGGCTGAGGCAGGAGAATTGCTTGAACACGGGAGGCAGGGGTTGTAGTGAGCTGAGATCACACCACTGCACTCCAGCCTGGGCAACAGAGCAAAACTCCATCTCAAAAAAAAGAAAAAAGAATGATGCTTGTGGGGATGCAACTATTCAGGGGCTTTGGAAATAGCCAGATGATCAGCTGGGCAAATAGCCAGAAAAATTGATCATGTTACTAAATGAAAGAAAAGGCCATTCATTCACTTCTGCCAGAACCAAATCCCAACTCCAAATAGGGTCCTGGAGATGCCAGCTCTGCACGGGCAATACAGGCAGCTCACCGACCCTTGCTCTCACACTTGGATGACCACACAGCCCCATTCTGTGATGCACCCTCACAAGGCTCCTGGACAAGCCCAGCCAGACCTCGTTCCGTGCTCAATGCTTACTAGATAGGAATTTCACACACAGGAAGAAAAGAGCCAACCATCAGGGAATGGCTACATTGACTTCTGCTGAGATGGCTTTGCAAATCACCCTGATTTGTACTTAAGGTTTTTAAATAAAGTTGGACTGTAAAAGTTTTCATCTGCCCTTTCACTCTGCAGTACTGAAGAATAGGGAACCAGTGCTATAAGAAGAATTGCAGTTACGTTTTAACTCTTTCTTGTTTATAATTTGACTTAGGGTCTATGGTTTATTGCAACTTTTCTACAAAACAGAGTGAATTATTACGTCTTCCATGGAGAAGACAATTTTACGTGCATAAAAGTTTTAGCTTCGACACCTAGACTGATAATTTAATAATATGCCAAAGGGAAACATTCATAGCTTTCAAATTCAAAGCTTTTCCAAGGGGGAAAAAAGGCATTTCCACTCCCAGAGAGCTGGATCCTCTTTGTGCAAGGTGAGGCTTGTCCCAAGCAAGAACAGTATAGTGAAGAAGCTGACGGGTGACCATTTGTGAGTTACTGGCTGGCATGTCCCTCTGCTCAGAAGTGGCTAGGAGGGGGCCAGGCTGACCCAGCATGCCTTCTCACCAGTCACATGAGAGGGAATCCAGGTCGTGACTCTGGGGGCAGGGAATGCACGAATCACTTTATTTCTCCTAAAATACAACAGCATTCTCCCTTATCAAATCTTAAAGCCCAGGATTAAAACTTTTCTTACATAGTGGCGACTATGCTTCATCATATTAAAACTACTGTTAAACCCAGACAACAATGTACTGGGAATAGCTTTAACAAGGAAAAAGGTTGAATACATCTTAGGAACATGAACAAGGGCATCCACTCCCACTAAGAAAGTTTCTGATAGAAAATAAGGGAGAAGAGGCCAGGCGCAGGGGCTCACACCTGTAATCCCAGCATTTTGGGAGACCAAGGCGGGTGGATTGCTTGAGCCCAGGAGTTTGAGACCAGCCTGGACAACATGGTGAAACCCTTCTCTATAAAAAACACAAAAATTAGCCAGGCATGGTGGCACATGTCTGTAGTCCCAGCTACTCAGGAGGCTGAGGTGGGAGGATCGCTTGAATCCAGGAGGTCAAGGCTGCAGTGAGCTGTGATCTCACGACTGCACTCTAGCCTGAGTGACAGAGTGAGACCTTATCTCAAAAAAAAAAAAAAAAAAAAAAAAAAAGGCTGGGCACAGTGGCTCATGCCTGTAATCCCAGCACTTTGGGAGGCTGAGGCGGGCGGATGACCTGAGGTCAGGAGTTCGAGACCAACCTGGCCAACGTGGTGAAACCCCGTCTCTACCAAAAATATTAAAAAATTAGCTGGGTGTGGTGGCAGGCACCTGTAATCCCAGCTACTCGGGAGGCTGAGGCAGGACAATAGCTTGAACTCGGGGGGTGGAAGTTGCAGTGAGCTGGGATCGCACCACTGCACTCCAGCCTGAATGACAAGAGCGAAATTCCATCTCAAAAAAAAAAAAAAAGAAAGGAATAAGAAAAGGGGAAAAGAAACAAGGAGAAGTGTTGTCACAGTTAAAATTAACTGTTAGAAGAACAGAGTGATAGAAAGAAGCTACTACGTAGGGCCTGGCTCTAAGCTTCTTATTCTTGCCCTAGCAACCCCATCTGACTCCACAGCCGCTCTCCTCTGTCCACACCACGTCCCTTCCAGAAAATCAGCATCATTCCTTCTAAACCTAGATACCCTAAGATAAGCCGAAAAGCTCCATTCCCTTCCTCTCACCATTGATATCCATCAGCCAAGATTTATATCATGGAAATAAGAGGGTTTCTATCATGAAAACAACAGGCTATTTTTGTCTTGTTTTGTTTTACACACACAAAATTATACTACAACGATGAATGTGAGTCACCACTTTCCTCTGTGTACACGAGCTGGCCTCCTAACAGGGCTCCTTCTCCAGCTGCCCACGCCCAGCCTGACTCAGGAACCCCTGCTCGTTGTGGTGTTAGCCTGGGTGCCCTTCTGCCAAGCATGGAGCATCTTGATCAGCCTGCATCGTTAGAGTCTAGACTCTCTGAGGACAAGGACTGTGGCTGGCCCAACATGGCACACAGATGTACGACTGAGTGAGGACCATGCCCGCCCTTAGCCATCCCATCCACATGGCCTGAGGAAAGAAAAGAGACACAAGCAGCAGCAGGAGCTGCAGGAAGGTGGCTTTTAGTCCCCAGGTGAACGTTTCAGAAGAGACAGTTCTGGGCTCAGGCCGCGGTCGTGCCCTCGGGAGCGTCCTTCCAACTAGGACTCCATTCTCTCATCTCCTTCAGCCATGCCTCCAGCTCCCAGGCCTGTGGCGGGCCCCTCTGGAAGCCTCGGCCTCCAATGTCTTACCTCCTCCCTGATGTGTTCCACCTGCTCCTCCAGCAGCTCGTTCCTCTCGGTTAGGGTCTTGTTCTTCTTCAACAACGACTGGCCGATGCGAGCGGCCAATTCTAAATCCCGCTCTTTCTACAAAAGGAAAGAGGGAGAACAGAGATTCAAAAGACCTGTGTTTCCTGAAGGAGTCAATGGTGCTCAGTGTCAAATGAGGAAAACATAAGCATCTAGAAATAACAAAGGAATTAATAATTCACCATCTGTGTTAGCATTTGATGCCTGTTAAAACAGGCATAACCTCTGCCCACATAGTGTGTGAGAGCTACACAGACATCACACAAGGAAAGGGAAGCCTGACAATGTAATGAAAACAAATCTTTGTTCCTACAGGAAAGAAAAAAATGCTTCTAAAAACAATTATTTGCAACTGCTTTTGATATTTGTGCAGTCACTTGATAACCTGTCTCTCCACCTGAGGGCTGGGCTATTGTATTGCCAGGGCCCGGCACAGGGAAACAGTAGCTATTTGTTAAGTGAATGAATGAATAAATATAGAAATTCTAAAATGCTCTGACAATGAAGCCAAGAGCTGACACAGGGAGGCAGCCTCTTTAGCACACATTAGGCTGGAATGCATTGAATTCCTTATTTTTGCCTCATGTGAAACAAAAATGTTTAAAGTTACTCTCAAAAACAATTACATGCTTTTCTGTTTTTTTACTTAGAAAAGGCTACTTAGGTTTCATTTAAGAAAAAAACAACTTTCAAAACGGAGACGTTATGCATAAAATTGCCATCCTTCAGAGACAAAAACACTCTTAAGGGCACAGAATTTTCTGTTAGCTGAGCTGATGGCATCAATTAGGCAGAGCCAGTATACAGAGGAAAATTTGGAGTGGCATATAAAGTCAGGGAAGCCTCTGTGGGAAAAAAGACGTCCCCTGATAGTGGACAGACGCCATCAGCAAATGCAGACTTAGCGAGTTGCTACCAGTCAGATTCAACTTGGGTTTTGGCAAGGTGAGGAGAAGTCAGAAAAATTAAATCATTTTAGAAGTCTATGCTAATTACTCTGCTCATCTGGTTTGAAAGAAAGAATGGAAACATGTCGTTTGGGGTAGGAAAAATGCTGGGGAGGAGTCCTAGGTTCTGATCCAACACCTGCTATTAACTACCCACACGGTCCCAGGCAAACGGCTTTTGCTTCACAGGGATAAAGTACACTACAGATTGATTCTTTCTTTCTTTTTTTTTTTTTTTTTTAGACAGAGTCTCACTCTGTCACCCAGGTTGGATACAGTAGCACGATCTCGGCTCACTGTAACCTCCACCTCTCAGGTTCAAGCAATTCTCCTGCCTCAGCCCCTTGGGTAGCTGGGATTACAGGTATGTGCCACCACACCCAGCTAATTTTTGTATTTTTAGTAGAGACAGGGTTTCACCACGTTGGCCAGACTGGTCTCAAACTCCTGATCTCAGGTGATTCGCCCTCCTCGACCTCCCAAAATGCTGGGATTACAGGTGTGAACCACTGCGCCAGGCCAACAGATTCATTTTTCAGGCCACAGGTTTCAAACTCATTAGTGGGTTAAGAAACCATTTTAGTAACAGCAACCGACATTTTGTTTTAACTTAAATACAATGGCACAGAATTGAAAACACCAAAGTGCATTATATGTAATAAGAATATTATTTCATGTTTAAACTGTTGTTTGTCACATATTCACCTATATGAGTACTGGGTCACAACCTAAGCTGTGTTTCTTACAGCAGGTACTGGTCACAAATTGAACTGCTCCAGGTGAACTATCCTACTGTAAACTGGGAGAGTATGGGTTCCCTACTTGAACATAGGTTCCCTCAACTGTTAAATGAAGGTAGAGTAAAGGTGCAGGCTAGCTGAGATATTCTGGAAAAACTCTCTAGCTTTATGATTCACTGAGTTTTAGAATAAAGAGAAAAATCCGCTTTTATTTCTAACGTCTTGGATAGCCACCCAATTATTCCATGCAATAGCAGACATCTCCCTTTGCTAACCACAGGAACTTCACTGCAGTATGAGCGCAGCACTTGAGGTCAAGTACAGTTTGAGAAGACTGGATTCAACAGCACTTTGGCTCCCTCTTGCAGGATGATGGTCTCTCTCCTCCAGGCCTTCCACAGTCCCCAAACTGGCAATGCTGTCACCACAGTCCCACAAGCCAGCCAGGTATCACAGTATCAAAAATGAGCTGTAAATAGGCCAGGCACAGTGGCTCTCACCCGTAATCCCGGCACTTTGGGATCACTTGAGGTCAGGAGTTTGAGACCAGCCTGGCCAACATGGCAAAACCCCGTCTCTGCTAAAAATACAAAAATTGGCTGGGTGTGGTGGCGGGAGCCAGTAATCCCAGCGACTCGGGAGGCTGAGGCAGGAGAATCACTTGAACCCAGGAGGCGGGGCTCACTCACCCCACTGCACTACAGCCTGAGTGTCTGAGAGAGACTCTGTCTCAAAAAAAGAAAAAAAAAAAAAAAGAGAGAGTTGCAAATCCCCCAACTCGTTCCCACAATTTGTGCCTCCCCATCATGACCTTGCCTTTCTGGGAACACAGTACATGTGGAGACGGCCCTCTCACGGGGCAAAGGGGACACGGTGCATCTGCCCCATCAACAGAGATGCTCATCTCTGCACATTTATCCACACTGGTCAGTGTCTACCAAGAAGTTCCCTTGGCCGGGTGCAGTGGCTCATGCCTGTAATCCCAGCACTTTGGAAGGCCAAGGCAGGAGGATCTCCTGAGCACAGGAGTTCAAGACCAGCCTGGGCAACACAGGAGACCCCATCTCAAAACACAAAATTGAAAAAAAAAAAAAAAAAGGTACCTTATTTCATGGCCCTTTGTCATTTCTCAGACTCAACAGCTGTGCTTATTAGGTACCTAGAGGAAAGGATTCAAAGAACTGTGTGAGGGAGACTGCACAGAATTAAAGTCTCCAGAGGCTGACTGAAAATTAGCACCTAGTCCAAGTGGTTTCAGGTGGATTTGGTTAAAACTGCAATACCAATGTTCACTTCTCTTTGGAAGTATAGTCTCCAAAAATCTAACTCAAGTCTACCTAATGTCTCTACTAGAACTAGTTCTCAGACTGAACACTCAGCAGTTGCTTCATCAGTGCTCCTCAGCTCACTACCTGACTACCTGGTCTGCATTGCCTTCATGCATCCAGGCTGCCAAGTTCCAACAAGCGCTGATATTTTGCATGCCTTCGCCACATTTTTTGTTGGTTTTTGATATGGAGTCTCGATCTGTCGCCCAGGCTGGAGTGCAGTGGCATGATCTCAGCTCACTGCAACCTCCGCTACCTAGGTTCTAGTGATTCTCCTGCCTCAGCCTCCCAAGTAGCTGGGACTACAGGCACACGCCACCTCGCCCAGCTAATTTTTGTATTTTTGGTAGAAATGGCGTTTCACCATGTAGGCCAGGCTAGTATCGGACTCCTGACCTCAAGTAATCTGCCCACCTCAGCCTCCCAAAGTGCTGGGATTACAGGCGTGAGCCACTGCGCCCGGCCTTTAGCCGCATTTTGTACGCACATTTCAATGCAAACAAATCAAGCACACAGCATAATAATGAAGATGGCTCAGGCATGGCAAGGGACTGCCAGAGCACCTGAAGGATGCGGAAGGCTTCCAGCACACAAACGGCCAGAAACCAACAGGAATTGGGAGACAGGAAGGGAAAGAGAAACAAGTAGAGCAATGAGCTCAACAATGAAGTCCTTTGTCCTACCTGTCACACCTCAAACCCTGCACCTAAGGGCTGCCTCGCCTCTTCTTGCCCCACTAAGGACAAACACTTCCCTGGTCTATACCAGAAATGTAATCTTTAGAGTAATTTTAAAGAACACTCTCTGCCAGAAGAAAAAGCAAGAAGTCACAGCAAATTGTATAAAAATATACTTAGAATAAGATCTAGTATCTGATAGCACAATAGGGTGGTTACAATTAACAATAATTTATTGCACATTGAAAAATACCTACAAGTATAATTGGAATGTTTGTAACACAAAGGAATGATACATGCTTGAAGTGATGATATCCCTTTCTTTCTCCACCCTCCACCTTTTTTTCCTTTTTCTTTTTTTTTTTTTTTTTTGAGACAGGTCTCACTCTATCGCCTAGGCCGGAGTGCAGTGGCACAATTACAGCTCACCATAGCCTCAAACTCCTGGGCTCAAGCAACCCTCCCACTTCACTTTCTGAGTAGCTAGGACCACAGGCATGCACCACCATGCCTATCTAATTTTTGGAATGCAGGTTTGGGCAAAGTTTTCCTCTTCTTCAGTTACAGCGTCTAACTTTTTGTAGAGACAGGGTCTCACTATGCTACCCAGGCTGGTCTCAAACTTCTGGCCTCAAGCAATCCTCCCACCTCAGCCTCCCAAAGTGTCTGGATTACAGGTGTGAGCCACGTTGCTCAGCCTGATACCCTATTTACCCTGATGTGATTATTATGCAGCATATGCCTTTATCAAAGTATCTCATGTACCCCATAAATATATATACCTACTATGTACTTAAAAAATTGAAAATAAAAAGTTACATTAAAAATATTTATAGATAAAATGAAAATTTAAACAGAAACGTTATTGTAGTGTCTCTAGTTTTTTCTCTTTAATTTTACTGAGGCAACAAGCTGGTTGGGTTTTTCTTTGAGAATTATAAGAATGAAAAAAACCTCCCATTTCTCTAGCCAAAATATGATTAATGTTTACTTCTAAAAACAAGAAAACAGGTTGGGCGTGGCAGCTTATGTCTGTAATCCCAACACTTTGGGAGCCCAAGGTGGGAGAATCAGGAGTTTGAGAAGGCCAGGAGTTTAAGACCAGCCTGGGCAACATAGTGAGACACCATCCCTACCAAAAAAAAAGGATAAAAACAAGAAAACAGCTAGAAGATGGCCACTGGATTAAACTACAATGAGAAAAAGAGACCACAAACAAGTAATTTAGGCCCTTGGAAATAAGGTATTAAAAGAACTAGTTCCTTTATTCCCCCAAGAAATGAGGCAAGGTAGAGCTCATTCTAACTGCCTGCTCCCTCTCCTCACTATGCTTTAAAAGCATAGACTTAAAAAAGACTGTAACTTGAGTCTCAGCCCCTTTTTACCAATGAACTCTTGCACTGACTGACACACCCACTAGAGATTCCAAACAGCCTGCCGCCTACACTTAGCAACTGACTCATCTCATTCACCAATTTCAGGATAAAAAGCATGACTAAGGGGCCAGTGGAATCACCCTCTCTGTAACCGAGGAGGAGGCAAGCTCTGCCCAAAGGTGCATTCCAGACAGCAGCAAGCCCAGGTGAGCCACAGCATCCTCTTCCCCTTAAAACCAGAAGCGAACTCTCCACGCTGGTGGAAGGCTGTGCTTTGGGATCCTGTGCGAATCCCCCATTTGCCTGCCTGTGGCAGGCATGGAAATCATAGCAAGAGAACAGAAGAAACAGAGCCAAAGCCCAGGAAAACCACCGCACAGTGCAACAGCCACATGACTGGGACAGTTAGACTTTAACCAGGACACCCTCCTAGTTCCAAGGAAAGGCAGTAACTCAGGCATGAATCTTATCAGGACAGGAACAGAATGGCATTAGACATGGAACACAAAGACATAAACAGACGCTGTTGCCATGAAGACCCTTTAAAAATAAAACAGGCTGGGTACGGTGGTTCATGCCTATAATCCCAGCACTTTGGGAGGTCAAGGTGAGAGAATTTTTTAATTTAAAAATGTGAGAGATTCAAATAAACAGTGGCTGTAGTTTGCTTCTAATTTTGTTTTGTTTTGTTTTATTTTTTGAGACAGAGTCTCGCTCTGGTGCCCAGGTGGAGTGCAGTGACATGATCTCGGTGCACGGCAATCTCCACCTCCAGAGCTCAAGCGATCCTCCTACCTCAGCCTCCCGAGTAGCTGGGATTACAGGCACAGGCCACCATACCTGGCTAATTTTTGTATTTTTTGTAGACACATGGTTTGGCCATGTTGGCAAGGCTGGTCTCAAACTCCTGTGCTCAAGTGATCTACCTGTCTTGGCCTCCCAAAGTGCTGGGATTTATAGGCATAAGACACTGCACCAGGCCAGGAGGACTGTTTGAGCCTCAGAGTTTAATATCAGCCTGGGCAATATAAGGAGATCCCGCCTCCACAAAAAATAAAAAATAAATTGTTCATCCAGCTGGATGAACAAAACAAACAGGACTATGGGGTGACTCCTATGCCTGGGGCTCAGCAAGGGCACAGACTACCTGGGGATGGAGTTGGGGCCATCTTCAAAGGTCCCCGGCAGGCCCTGCAGCACAAGACTGAGAAGCAGGAAAGAACCAACGCAGTTAAATGCCATAGAAGGCCAAGGGCGGGAGAGCAGGAGCCATGTCCCCAGTGACAGTGAAGGTTCAGGACAGTGAAGAGGAGGGTTCAGGACCTTGAGCAATGGGTGGCCTTGACTACACAGCGAGGAGCTTTACAGAAAGGGTGAGCGGGTCACAGAGGGCATGGACGGTGGCAGCTGCAAGGAAGAGTAAAGCAGAGAGAAGCTACAATCTCACTGCTGAGGCCCCAAGAGCTTGAGTGGTGGCCGCCTTGGAATAAAAATAAAGGTACAGATTAGGACCCCTCTCAGAAGACTCAATGACCCGAACGGGGTGATGAGCGGGTGCCGGAAGCACTTTGTAAGATCTGGAGAGCACTGTTGGGGGAAACAGATGCAGCAGAAAGGGGTCAGTGATTAACCATTTTCAAAAGTCGGTGGTGCCAACCAAGGCAGCCTGCCACGTGGCTAACACCAAAGACAGCTGCAACTGGAGTGACACCCAAAGGCTGAAGGTCGGTCCCCCAAAATACCGCCCTTGACACCCTGTCACATAGCCAAAAACCCTGACATCACTTCTGGGGAGCTGATGAGTTTGTGACTTCCCCACGTCAGAGGATCAAACAGGAGTGGATGGCAGGACCAGGAAGAGAATGCTGGATGTGCAGCGGTAGAGACATGGGAAGAGAGACACACAAAAACGGTGGAAGAATGCCACACACTCCAGAAAAACCTCTGGGAAACGAGTCTGGCCCAGTTTCTGTCTGAGCTTCAACCCTGACCTCCCACTGGCTGAAAACAGTAACAATGATTTCTGTGTCCTCCACATCATAGTCACACGCCCCAAAATCATTCCAGATTCCAGATCAGAAGCAAGGGTCTAGAAGGCAGCACCTGTCCATTTAAGGCCTGATTCAGTGAAGGGGGCAGTGCATTAATGATGGAGACTTATTCAACAAATACTAAGAACCCACCATGTTCTGGCCTGTTCCAGGCATGCACATACACATATTATACTCATCTGTTTCTAGAGACCTTCATAATACTTAATTCTCAATTGCAACAGAATACCGAGAAATTCAGAAAACTACAGTCTCTAAAATACAGGCAGCTCACCTAATCTTAAGCAACTTTCTTAAATTTTTCTTGCCATGCTTATTTTACTTATTTCCACGCTGACACTGCACAATATTCCACTAGCCTAAGTAAAAACTTAAATACATTAGGAAGACACAGATATGATATATTTTTCTGACATTTTTTGGATGCACTTAAAATATATCATTAGTCAATGTTTCAGGATTTTTTATACTTACAACTGGATATTCTAACAAGTATTTAAACACACCACATTTGGTGCCATTAATATATTCCTTTAAAATATCTGCACACAATTACAGCTATAAAGGCCTACATAGCTACTAGTTCAAAAAGTAAAGCCATTAAATTATACCTCGAAAGAGACCAATTTCCAAGATTCCTCACTGAAACAGGTGATAAGGCATGCTTTAATCAGTATCCATGAAAACCAGTCAATTATAAACAACTCTTTTGCCTTCCCCTGGAGCACTTACCTCCTCAAGAAGCCGAGTGACAGCATCTATGTCATTATATGTCTTAGTCATCTGGCCAACTCTTTCAGCACATAAAACTGTAAGAAATAAAAATGACAATGAGACTCCCAATGTCACAAACCTGCCAAACAAATGACTCATCTAAAAAAGTGCCCCTAATGTTGTGCCTGCACATTAGACACAGAGGGTCACTGGCTCGCTGGGTTCAACCCGCAATGTACTCACCACCACCAGACTTCATTTCCCAGTTCCAACGACTGGAGGATGAGTCTGGGGGTAGGGGGACTCGTAACCCCTGTGAAACCTTGACATTGTGTGTCTGTGTGTATGAGCATGTGCTGAGGGTGAAGCAATGGAGTGGAAGGGGGTCTGGCCTCACAGATATTCAGCAAACTGAAGTAGGTGGGGTGGGGGCCAGTAGCACAGCCACCCATGTGTGAATGATCAGAAAGGCCTGTAGGATTTAGACTCCACTAACCATACAGACCCAACCATACGAACAGACTGGGATCCTTCAGAAAGCAGCTGTTGGCATAATTATTAAACAATAGTCTTAAACTGATAATTTCATAATGGCATAGCCCCCTCCTCCTCAAGTGGCCTACATTCTAAGGTTATGCAACCAGCTCCATACCATGAAAACTAGGTTGTTATTTTTTAAATATACATTAAAAAGACTACTATGATTGCACACACACACACACAGAGTAATATTTCATTACATGTACAATTTACTGTGGTCATACAAGGCTGCACACAAGCACTTTAGGACTATGGGTCTTTGTTCTTCTTCCGTTGGAGAAATGGGTTGTGAAACAAAAGAACGCTTTTGTCTGCTAAAGATACATCAGGGTTGTTTTATTTTAAATCAGTGACAAGGAACTGATTCGCCGCTCAACAAACACCAAGAAGGTAGCGTAAGTTTTATTCTATTGGGGGAGGAGTGAATATAAATGGATTTATGGCCAGCCAACGTGCAAAATTTTTTGAAACCTGTCACTTTGGGACTAAATAAATAACTTCTTAGTAATGTTTTGTAACTAAGACTTCAGTGAATAATTCTGTTAAGAGTCAAAGCTTTCCTAATGACCCACATTCAGTAACAGCCCATGCGACACATTTGGGAATTGAAGTGTATTACTAAGTCAAACTCAGCAGCATTACAAATGGCAAACAGCAACTGGAATTCAATAGGTCTCTGAATATTTTATTAAATGCAAGTAGAGATCATCCTAGTAAATTAGCTCAGAGAAATCGGATCTGTTGGAATGATTTTCTAACTTAGGGAGGAGACCTGAAATCTGGTTCTAAATCTGAAACCCTACCAAGACAGTGCCACCAGAGCCAGCAGACAAGACCCCTCCACCCAACACTTTCATGAGATCCCTCCTGTCCAAGCGTGGGGGGAAATATGCTGCCTCAGACAGAGCTGCCAGGGAGGGAGAAGCAAGGGAGATTTATAAGGGTAGCTTTAAACCAGGATCTAATTTGATGTAGATGAAGTCCAGCTCAAATTGCTCTAGATAGTCCATCAGCTCGAGGTCACACAAGTGCTTAAGTGAAGACTCCTATGCTACCAACCCGAGTTAGTCTTCTTCACGCACAGCTGTGATGGTCTGCAGGCGTGCAGATACAAACCCTGGGGCCCCCCAGCCAGCACGCCAAAGCATCTGCAGCACCCTTTATACACCAGGTAACAGACCACAGCAACTAAGTGGTCTCTGTGTTTAAATTTGTGTTGTCACTTGAGGGCCTGCTTATCCCCACTCACCGGCGCCCACTCTCCTCAAAAAACTGAGTCCTCTGCCTTCCTGGAAAAAAAGAAAACTGGGCTACCTTTTAACTAACCTGGCTCTATTATCTGTACAAGAAGATTCAGAGCTGCTATTTCTCTAACACTATATTATTTAGAGATAATACTCAAATTTTTAAGGCTAAGTTTTTGAATTAAGGTAACTGTAATTATTCAGATAGTCAGTCATGTGTAGATAACCACAAGCAGACAGAAGAAATAACACAGAGGGGGCCGGGTGAGGTGGCTAATGGCTGTTATCCCAGCACTTTGCGAGGCCAAGGCAGATGGACCACTTGAGGTTAGAAATTCGAGACTAGCCTGGGCAACATGGCAAAACCCTGTCTCCACTAAAAAAAAAATTTTTGTATATATATAAAATTTTATATATATTTTTGTATATATATAATTTTGCATATATATAAAAATTTTGTGTGTATATATATATATACACACAAAAATTAGCCAGGTGTGGTGGCACACACCTGTAGTCCCAGCTACTCGGGAGGCTGAGGCAGGAGAATCACTTGAACCCGGGAGGCAGAAGTCGTGCCACTGCACTCCAGCCTGGGCAGCAGGGCAGGACTCCATCTTGAAGAAATAATACAGAGGGATCCTGTATACCCTTTATCCAGTTCCCCCAATGGTAACATTCTGCAAGATCATAATATCCCAACCAGGATATCAGCACTGATACAATCCATAACTTTTCCTCAGAGTTCCCGTTTTACTTGCACTTATTTGTGTGCACATGTGTGTATTAAGCTCTATGTAATTTTATTACCTGTGTTGGTTCATGTATCTACCACTTACAAGGACCCCTTGTGTTGCTATTTTATAAAGCTTTAAAATATTTTAAAAATTGAACCCAATAAAATGCACACCTGTCTCTACTAAAAACACAAAAATTAGCCAGCCGTGGTGGCAGATGCCTGTAATCCTAACTTGGGAGGCTGAGGCAGGAGAATTGCTTGGACCCGGGAGGTGGAGGTTGCAGTGAGCTGACCTTTACTAAGCACAGTGACCATGGCCAGGCACCATTCATAACCCTCTATATGGATTATTTTATGTAATCTTCAGAGCAATACTATAAGGGGTAAGCACTTATATTAACACCATTTTACAACAGAAAACTAAGGCCCAGAGACGCTGAATAACTCACCCAATGTCACACAGCTAGCAGGTGGCAAATGTCAAAATAACAGACTCTCGGTAGAGGTAGCAGCTAACACCGATGGTGCCCCTATCATGTCAAGGGATTTAACATGCTTTCTCAATTAATCTTCACAACAACCCTGCAGGGTAGTCGCGATGACTACTCCACAGATAAGAAAACTGAGGCTCTGAGACATTAAGAATCTGGATGTTAAGGACCCCACTGAGGTCACAGAGAATGAGGCTGCATTGCAGAGACTGCACCGAGGCCAGTCTGGCTCCTGTACTAAAACGGAAGACCATAAAGGACACGAGAGCAAGGCACAAACCATCGATGTGTAGGAAGTGTGTAAACAGAGCGAGCAGCATTTGGGCCTAGGGGAAAGAAAGAACCCTGACCTTGGGTTCAGAGGCTTAGGTTTTCTCAGGAGACTCTATCCAAGCCAAGGGGCTCTGAGCAGCCACCAACTAACTTCTAGGTTTTAGATTTCCTGTTCCAAGAAATAAGGAAGCAAGAGTGAGACCAATGAAGGTGAAAAAATAATAAACCATGCCTTCAGACAGCATAAACACAGGTTATGCTTTTCAAATACCAACTTCCTAGGCACTAAATCTTCAATCAACCGTGGTCAAGTTTCTCTCTCTATAAGAATGTATTTCAAAGAGAAGTTCCATTTCTGACCCAAGGAGTGCTACCAAATAAATCCACTTCCACCCAAAAGATGTTTCAAAAAAGAAAGAAAAGCAAAATAAAGGAGCCACCATAAACCTCTACGATAATTTTTTTTTCTTTTGTTAGAGACAGAGTCTCGCTCTGTCGCCCAGGCTGGAGTACCATGGCGCAATCTTGGCTCACTGCAACCTCGGCCTCCCTGGTTCAAGCGATTCTCCCACCTCAGCCTCCCAAGTAGCTGGGATTACAGGTGCCTGCCACTATGCCCAGCTAATTAGTGTATTTTTAGTAGAGATGGGGTTTCACCAGGTTGGCCAGGCTGGTCTCGAACTCCTGACCTCAGGTGATCCACCTGCCTCGGCCTCCCAAAGTGCTGGCATTACAGGCATGACCCACCGTGCTCAGTCTCTATGATAATTTAATATAAGAAAATTATGGTCCATCTCCTAGAAAAAGAAGTTAAATGCAACTTGCTGCCTACCCACCATAGTAAAATACACACGCCTCACCTCTGACTAACACCAAACAACCATTACCACGCACCAAGCTCTGCACTGAACAAGGCAGGACACCTGCCCTCCTGGGGCACACAGAAAACAGGGCAGCCTGGAGGATGGGGCTCAGGGGGTTCGAAGCCTGACAAGTAGCTTTAAGAAGGGTGGAATTAAATGGAAAACCACTAGAGAGTTTTTGAAGGGGGGTTATGCAATAAGGTTTATATTTCAGAAGCATTTTGGCTCCAGTGTGCAGCAATGGGGGAGGGGGTGCAAGGCAATTTAGATTGACAAGCATTGAGGCTGTTGGATTAATGCAAGGAAATTGTAGGTGGCAAGGAGTGGGCTCTTATCCTGAGATTTAAGAACTAAAACTGAGTGGGAGGTAAATCAAAAAGCACTGATCAGGGCTTCTCACTGGGACAACAAGGACAAGAGTGATGTCCCCTTTCAAGATGGGCATGAGATGGAAAGTCAGAGGCAAGATGCGGTGCCCCCAAGAAACCACTGGCACTGGGACAGTAGTTGATGTCACTGTGTAATAATGTGCCAGGCAGAGGGCTGCCCACAACCCACAGTGGCAGGAGGTCTGCCTGACAGAAACACCCTCCTAGGAGCTGGAGGAGGGAGATTTTTGGTTTGGGAGAATCCACTTTGAGATAAGAGGAGAATCAAGTCCTTCTTCTTGGGATGCCAAGTAAAGTAAGGAATTACGAAGCCAAATTCAAACGAGGAGCCCTGGGCTGGCTGATCAGAGAGAGGGAGACATATGACTGGGCTGTCACAGCTAATGGGGACGGAGAGGGGGGATGGAGGTGGAGTGAGCTCCATGGAGTGCCTTAGTCTGAAAACAAGTAAAGCAGCCTTTATGCTAAGTTAAACCATGCTCAAAACAATTTTAAGAATAAATGTTGGCACCCATCTTCCAGCATCCAGGAGATGCCAGCCAAAAAACCCCAAACATACGGTGTGCAGGCCCAGAAGAGAACAGAAACATGCCCCTGCCTGATGCCAAGGAGATCTGGCCAGTGGGAAGCTCAGGAGTGACTGGAATTGAAGACCCCGAGGAAAACCCCATGGGAAGAAAACAAAGGTGGTGTGGCATTGGGGTTTCTATCTTGACACTGTCCAGGGCTTCTGAATGAGCCGGGAGAAGTGGGAAGGAGCAGAGCTCAGGGAGTGGTGGGGCTGGAGCAAAAGATCTAAGACCCAGGCAGAAGGCAGAACCTAGAGGCCTAACCCGAGGGGTGGGTAGGGAGAATCTCTACAGTTCCATCACAGCAACCTGCCCTCCCCAAGGGACCCTGTGTCTCTATGGTGTGTGTCAAATTAACAAGCTTGATAAAAGCTTTCTTGACATTTTGGTCTTATCAGTCTTCTTTAAGAAAATATAGTTAGAAAACCTCACTTCCCATTCATGTATTTTGGAGGAAAAGATTCTCATAACGTTGTTAGAACGAATAACTCTCATCACTACTTAACCTAATTCTGGTAACATTCCTCCCATTGATGTCAGCTCTACATATCTCTGGCATGAATAAATGAATATTTTACACACACATGTACATATGTGTGTACATATAAAAAGAAAAACCTCCCAAACCCTCAAGAAGACACTTATAACTCAAACACCAAGTAGCAACGGGTAGAAAAGATATTCAGGGCCACGCGCGGTGGCTCACGCCTGTAATCCCAGCACTTTGGGAGGCCGAGGCAGGCGGATCATGAGGTCAGGAGATCAAGACCACGGTGAAATCCCGTCTCTACTAAAAATACAAAAAAAAAATTAGCAGGGTGTGGTGGCAGGCACCTGTAGTCCCAGCCACTGGGGAGGCTGAGGCAGGAGAATGGTGTGAACCCAGGAGGCGGAGCTTGCAGTAAGCCGAGATCATGCCACTGCACTCCAGCCTGGGCGACAGAGCAAGACTCTGTCTCAAAAAAAAAAAAAAAAAGATATTCAAGACTGCCTGATATATTTGCATTTGGGGCTGTTTGCATTCTGCCTTACATATAGGTCATTTCTTTAATTAAAACAGTGTTTCCCAAAGTTTTATCAAGAAACTGAGCTCCACCCTCCCCTCAATAATTTTTCCTCCTATCTTCTACACCTTAGCATCAGTGTTTTTAAAAGTCAATTTTCTATAATTTTCATTATAAAAACTGCAAAGGGATTGAATAAACATTCAAAGTAGACACGTATCCCTAGCAATTCTGATATACCCAGTTGAAACAGAGCTGGTACTTAGGTGCCAAAGAAAAGAATGGTCCACAAACCAGTTGATTACCTCTCGCTTTTGATAGCAGCAGCAGCTGTCAGGATGAAAAAGCAATACTACATTTGGCACCTGATGCCCCAGGAAGTAAACTTAATAAGCACTTACTGTCTGCACTGTTCACAGGGGCAGGGGACAGAGGTTCAGAACCTGGGAGCCAACCTGGGGTCCCAGAACCTGGGAACTAAAAAGCTTTCCATAAAATTCTAAATGAGTCACCAGTCATCCAAGTTTCCAGGCATTACAAAATAGATGTCCTTTAAAGGTTTGTTAAAAGCTTGTAGCTTTTGAACTTAATTAGTCCCTGCTCTGCTTAATAATCTTCCCCAGCTCTTCTACCTCCTACAAGCAGCAGCCTCAACACACAGGACATACAGGGACCATCCCTACCTGGCCCAGCCCAACCCTCCCGCCTCGTCCCCTGCCACCCAAGCTCACTCTTCACCATAGCTCCTCCACACCCAGTGATGCCACTCTCAGATGTCTGGCCTCGCACTTGTGTGCCTGCCATTTCCTTCTCGTACGGACTGTCTTTCTCTCACTTCTCCATCTGGGAATTTCCTGCTCTTCCCACAGGCCAAAAAGAAGGTGCCTCCCTGTAGCTGACACCCTATCCAAGTGTCAGCTCTTCTGCCCACTTTTGTAAAATCTGTAGTTTTTACAGTCTGCCCAGACACCTAGACCAGGCTGATTTGGCAAAGCACTTTTGATCAGGGGAACATCTTCAAATGGCTGTTGTGACTCAGCTTACAGCAGCAATGCCCACTTATCTCTGCCAGATACAGTGCTGAGAGTAACTTATACTTTTATCCCCACTTTTTTTTTTTTTTTTGAGATGGAGTTTTGCTCTTGTTGCTCAGGCTGGAGTGCAATGGCGCGATCTCAGCTCACTGCAACCTCTGCCTCCCAGGTTCAAGTGATTCTCCTGCCTCAGCCTCCCTAGTAGCTGTATCACCACATTTTATATGACAGGGAAACTGAGGCTCTGAGAAGTCAGGTGAATTGCCTAAGGTCACGAAGACTTTTTAAAGTCTCCTAAGTATCTACTCAAGATAAATGGAACCATATATGCACACACAAACATAAACATATGTATATAAGCATTCATAGCAGCATCATTCATTATAGCCAAAAAAGTCCATCAATTGGTGAATGAATAAACACAGTAGGTATGTCCATACAATGGAATATTGAGTCATAAAAAGGAATGAAGTTCATGCATGCTATAGTATGAACCCAAAATCCTTATGCTCAGAAAAAAAAACACACGAAAATACCACATATTGTATGATTCCATTCATATAATGTATAAGAAAAGGAAAATTATAGAGATAGATAGATCACTTAAAAAAAAAAAGAAAGAAAGAAAATAGATCACTTTGCTGGGCACCATGGCTCATGCCTGTAATCCCAGCACTTTGGGAGGCCAAGGCGGGTAGATCACCTGACGTCAGGAGTTCAAGACCAGCGTGGCCAACATGGTGAAACCTCATCTCTACTAAAAATACAAAAATTAGCCGGGCATGGTGGCACATGCCTTTAATCGCAGCTACTTGGGAGGCTGACGCAGGAGAATCGCTTGAACCTGGGAGGCACAGGTTGCAGTGAGCTGAGATCCTGCCACTGCACTCCAGCCTGGGTGACAGAGTGAGACTCCATCTCAAAAAATAACAACAATTTTTAAAAAGTAGATCACTTGAGCCCAAGAGTTTGAGACCAGCCTGGACAATATAGCAAATCCCCATCTCTACAAAAAATAAAAACATTAGCCAGATGTGGTGGCATGCCTATAGTCCTAGCTACCCAGGAGGCTGAGGTGGGTGAGCCCAGGAGGTGGAGGTTGCAGTGAGCCAAGATTGTGCCACTGCACTCCAGCCTAGGTAACAGAGTGAAGACTCTGTCTCAAAAAAAAAGAAAGCAGATTAGTGGTTGCCAAGGATCAGAAGTGGGAAATGGGAGCTAACTGTAAACAAGCACAAAGGATCTTTGCTGGGGGAATGCAAAGTTCTAAAACTGAATTATGGTGATGGTTGCACAACTCAGTGAATTTAACGAAAATCTTTGAATTGTCTAGTTAAAATGGGTGATATTTAAGTTACCAAATAAATGACACTCAAGCAAGCATCCCCGAACCATGCCATATTCCAGCCACTTCCCTGTTACATGACAATGTAAAAACATTATTGTATTGTCTCAACCCTTGACTTGGACTTCCTTGGGTCCACAATGATGTTATCACATAGCAAAATTGTTTAGAAATGGCAAATCACCCACTAAGAAACTAGCACTGATAAACAGCACATAAAGGTACTAATCTGCCCCACTTAGACTAGACTATTTTAAAATTAGAAAATTGTTATTAAATAAAATTTAGTCAGATCACAGAAATAATTTCATGATACAGCCATAACTGAGAAGAATTTGACTTTGAACTCTTTTCCTAGGCATAAACCTCTTCTATCTTCTCCCAAGTTATAGCCACCTCCTTGAAGGCTTCGCCAAGTCTCTCACTTGCCTGTTGACCCTCAGTAATTTAGACTTGACCAAATAGTCCTAGTGAATTAACTACTAAGCCCTAAGACACACATTACTTGGTTTTTTTGTTGTTGTTGCTGTTGTTTTTGAGATGGAGTGTCGGCTGTGACGCCCAGGCTGGAGTGCAGTGGCGTGATCTCAGCTCACTGCAAGCTCTGCCTCACGGGTTCATGCCATTCTCCTGCCTCAGCCTCCCGAGTAGCTGGGACCACAGGTGCCCACCACCACGCCCAGCTAATTTTTTGTATTTTTAGTAGAGACAGGGTTTCATCATGTTAGCCAGGATGGTCTCGATCTCCTGACCTCGTGATCCACCCGCCTCGGCCTCCCAAAGTGCTGGGATTACAGGCGTGAGCCACCGTGCCTGGCCCATTACTTGGTTTTAAAAACAAAACAAAATGTAGCTATTTTGATGAAGACTTTGAAGTGGCCACTGGAACGGGGTGAGGGCCCACAGTACTTGGTAATAGAAAACAATGCTCATTTCTCAGCAATTACAATAAAAAGAAAGAACAATTTCTTTTTATTCTTATCTCAGTGTCCTCGTGTCAAAAATGGTTACAGCAGGGCAGGCAGAACAAACCCAACAAATGCTTACAAATGTCCCTTCCCACCTGGGCTGTTTAGGTCACATGAAGGCAGCTGAGTCTTTCTCATTTTGGGCCACAGTTGACACTCAAAAAGCAAAACAAAACTCTGTTCTACTTGCAAAGAAGAGCTCATTTCTAATCGACACCCCAGAGAGGGGTAAAAACAAAGCTCGGGTGCACAGTGCATGCCCTCAAGATGAGCATGAGTCCTGGTGAGTCTATCCCGGCCACAAGTCATCTGAACGCCAGACAGGCCTGAGGGGGCATGATAAGCCAGCGCCTCTTACTTGGGAGGAGCAGTAGCAGTCTGCCCGTTTGCTTCTGGCCTAGGACTACGCCACTTAATTGATGCCATCCTTTTAATGCATCTGTCTTAGCAACTCCCCATCTCCTTGTTCTTTGTGTCACTTTGTTTTTGCAGGCAGCCTTGTGGCCGGAACAGTAGTGGGGGCAGAGACCGACCCAGAGCCGTACGAACAATGGTCTGTACAGCCATTACCCATGTCTGTGTGGTGCCTAGTCTCTGCACTAGGAGGCAGGAGCATGGTGCCACTTGCCAAGGACAGAGGCCAAAACAGCACAGCTATGGCTTCCTTTTATTGCTTATCAGTATCACTATTAATGAAGTTGTAGTGTGACTATTCTACTGGCTCACTTTCCCTTGCCTTGCAGGCTAAGAGCAGGACACCAATACAAGTTATTTAAGAAGCAGAGAAGAATAAATGAAATGAGTATACTACTACTGGGTATCTACAATGTGCCAACTGCTTTCCTAGGCATTTTACAAGTATTATTTCACTTAAAACTCAGAAGAAGCCCACAACATACATATGAGCCTCATTTAACAAACCAGACAGAAAGGCCAGTGGCTCGTCCAAGGTCGAGAGAGACACAACCATGGACTTGGAGCAGGTTTGCTAGATGCTGTAATCAGCCACCCTGCCCCAGACTGGAACACCCAGTGTTGATCTATAGTGGCCATTTATCACCAAGACATTTAATAAGGCAATAAACACATGGTTCACTCTGGCACCCTCACCATGAGCCTGGCACTCTGTTAAGAGTTGTCTGTATGTCACCTCCTTTAACGTTTACATCCATCCTATGAGGAAAGTATTACTACTGTCCCATTTTAGACAGAAAGAAACTGCCCAAGGTCACAGAGCTATTATGGAAGGGCCTGATCTGTCTAACCCCTAAGTTGGAGCTCTCAATGTCTGCTAAGTAAATAAATGAATCGTACCCTCGAGGAATTCCTGACCTAGTTGAGAAGGTAGGGCACATGCATAAACTGGCATAACACAGAGGAGCAAGCAGGAAAGGTGTCAGGTAAGAGACACTGCTAGGCAGCTCAGATGATACAAGAAAGCTGGGGATGGCAGAGGGACACGGGACAGGCCCCAGAAATGGGCAGAGTGGCAAAAGGACCCCAAAATACAGAGAACGTGAGTAGGCTCTTTGTCCATGGCCAGCCTTGGGGTGATGCTGGTACCCCACTATTAGGAGAACCACCCAGAGAGACTGACCCCACAGGAGGCCTGCGTGGGGTAGCCATGGATACTGAGGACCAAATCCCAAGCGGAGACAAGGACAATGAAAACCATGAACCAAGAGACCTTTGTAACAGTGCTGCGGTAGGTACTGATGCGCCAGGTCAGTTCCTCCTTCGACACTGACCCATCGGGAAAGTTGTGCACGGCACCCTCGAGTGCTGCCGATGACACTACATTAACAAAGGCCCAGGACTCAGGCCCCTTCTCTGGGGCTGACATTCCCAACTCCACAGCCCACAAAAGCCTGACGCATCACAACCACCTCCAAGACACGGCACTCCTGGATCCAGTTATTCCCCCACAGGGCCCAGTCCTTTCTCTGCAGCCCAGGAATGCTCTCCCAAGCTGGAGAAATGTGCTCCATCTGTGCTGAATCTCCAGCTTCGCCTGGGAACCAGATGGAGAATTTGAACAGCCAGCAGGTGCAGCCACTGGACATAGACACAGAAGGCTCTGGGTTCCCACCACTGACTGGCATTTTTTTCACCCGTTTTTCCAGATGATCATGTCTGGTTAGTGTTCAACACCTCAAAACTGCCCTTTGTGCAGAAGACTGACTCTGCCCACTCACATACTCTTAGCAACCACCCCTAAGGAAAGTGGAATGCATTCTCTCTCCTGCAGCCCGTGTTCTCGGGGAACCTAAACCTGGTCATGAGAACACTCAGCAAACTCCAGACCATTGTGCATCTCTATCCAAATCATGCCTTCTCCTGAGCAATCCTGAATACCATTTGCCAGAAATTTAGTGATTCACTTTGCAAATGGGTAATAGGATTGGAAGTAACCTGATGAGAAGAAATTACAAAGTCAGG
Source organism: Homo sapiens (assembly GCF_000001405.40). Lineage (NCBI taxonomy): Eukaryota > Metazoa > Chordata > Mammalia > Primates > Hominidae > Homo > Homo sapiens. The sequence continues at coordinate 42,165,010 of NC_000003.12, read as the reverse complement.
CTTCTTGATGCATTTCATTTAAGAAAAAGAAAAAAGAAAAAGAACACTGGAAATTTGCCAGGTAATAGGCCACAAGGAAGTGACCATGAAACTTCTCTTTTCACCAGTGTTTTCCTCATGCAGCTGCCCAGGCACTGAGACAGGGCGGGACCCACTATTTCATTCATGCAGTTCAGCCCTCTTAATCTCATAGTGAGGAGAGGGATTGCGAAAAGCAGAAGAGCCCTCCTCTAAATATGTCACTAAGCACCTGAGATCAATTTTGCTTTCTCATTGTGCAAGTTTTCAGGAGCCAGAAGACCCAGGGCCTGGATATTTCCTCTCCCTGGAAAGACAGTGAGAGCCAAGCCCTCTCCTGCTGCCTGGTCTCCCAGGAGCACCCACCTCATGGGATAAGAGGATTCAATGAGATAATACAAGGGAAGGGCCTAGAACTCTGTCAGCTTAGAGCCTGGGCATGGTGAAACACAGAACCCCACAAGGCAGGGCAAAGACCCAGCTCTGTGCTTCGAGCTGAGGGACTCTACACAAGTGCAAACTATCTGAGCCTCAGGTGCTTTGCTTGCAAAATGAGAATGTTTACCTGAAAGTTTGTTTTAAAGATTAAATGAGTGACATGAGAAAGTGCCTATTATCCCATAAGGTGACCTGGAGAGAACAACAAATGTATCCTGTATCTGTAACTATCAGAGCAACTGAAATACTAATTGTATCTTACAGATTTCAACCAAAAGCACCTCTTTTAGGCAAGTTGACAATGTAGAAACACCTTGAAATCCAGGTAACACGGTTAGATCCAAATCCACACACATATTTTCACTACTCACAGAGTATTTCTGCTCCACATGGGACTGGCTTCCTGTGAACTCAGGACAAAGGTGGTGTGATCATGACAGAGAAAAATGGGGTCCTGCCCAGCTTGCTCTGAGATACACGTGTTTCCAGCAAAACTGGCCATGACACCAAACTTTCTAAGTTGCTATCTTTCTGATCTGCACCACAGCCTTGCTTCTTTCATGTCAGGAGCAAACCTTAAAAGTGAGTTTGTTTCATTTTACAAAGTAAATGAAGCATGTTGGCAAGTGTTTTTCTTTCGAGGTTACTGTCCTAAAAATACTGTTAACACCTCACCTACAGGACTGCTAAAAATGATTTCTTGGAGTATGAGGGAAAACTGGATAGAAACAAACAAGAGAAGGAGAGAACAGACAGTAATTATCTATCATAAGATGACAAATACAAGGCAAAATCTCTTCCCTTGAATCCGATTATAAGGCAGATACACTGTTATCTATGAGGTGTGGATTAGCACAGGACAATGTGCATTGGAATCACCCAGAGGGCGTGTTAAAACCCAGCTTGCTTGGTCCCACCCCAGTTTCTGATTCAGTAGGTCTGGAGTGGGACCCAAGAAGGTCCATGCCTTTTTTTTTTTTTTTCTTTGAGATGGAGTCTCGCTCTGCCGCCCAGGCTGGAGTGCAGTGGCGCGATCTTGGCTCACTGCAAGCTCCGCCTCCCAGGTTCAAGCAATTCCCTGCCTCAGCCTCCCGAGTAGCTGGGACTACAGGCGCCCGCCACCATGCCCAGCTAATTTTTGCATTTTTAGTAGAGACAGGGGTTCACCATCTTGGCCAGGCTGGTCTTGAACTCCTGACCTCATGATCCACCCGCCTCAGCCTCCCAAAGTGCTGGGATTACAGGTGTGAGCCACCATGCCTGGCCTCCAAGAAGGTGCATTTCTAACAAGTTCCTAGGTGATCCTGATGCTGCTGGTCAGGGACCCCACTTTGAGAACTGCTAGCATCATAGTTAAGAGCAGAGAGTTCTACAGCCATTCTAAATAGGCTGGGACCACTTAACTCACTGTGTGACTTTAGACAAGTTGTTCACATTTCCTCCCATAAACCTATAAAATGGGAATAATAACAGTATTTGACCTCGAATGTTTTAAAGGTTCAATGCATGAATCCACATAAAGGCACTGGCTGCACTTGAAGCAGCAGAGATTTAACATCACTGAAAATGGTGCCAAGTACTTAGGAAGTGCATAATGACATTCACTATCATCATCATCTGGCTCTTGGTTTTTTAAAAAAGTTTAATACATGTATCTACATAAATTTTCAGGAAAAGAAAATTTCTAACGAAAAATTTAACAGTGGCCCCTGATGGCTGCAGATGAGCACGAGGGTAATAAGACCTAGGCCTATAAACTAAAGCTGACCTCTTGCCTGTATAACCAGAGTTTGTCAAATATTTTGCTGACAGGAACTGGTCAGAAACCTGTTTATCAGATGTAGAACAAAAGGCAGGATTGACAAAATCAGTCACCCTCCACCAGACCCCTAAGATACCTAAACTTTCTCCCTACTGCTCAACTGCATATTTACCTTATGTACAGCATCGCTGTGCACCAAACAGAATTACAGGAAAGGAACTGTTGCTTCACTATCCTCTTCCCCCACCTTCTGTGTCACACGTATCCCCCTATTAGAAAATGCATTATCTATGGTGTCTCAAGCCGTCTACTTCAGGACACATTCTCGGTCTATACTGAGCCTGTGTTCCTGGGCTCAAGTCCTCAAGCCTGGATCAGAATAAACTGTGATTTCTCTAAGTTCTAGTGCCTGTTATTTCACTTAGTTGACAAAATATATAATGAGAGAGAGAAAGAGAGGGTCTCTCTCTCGTCATATATTTATATATAATATATATTTATATGTTTATATATCAGCACATATTTATATACATTATATACATGAAATGGGCACAACACAAATTTTTTTCCTCTCTTGACTAGGATATATGATACTGCTCCAGAATATTTTATAGCCTTTAATCTAGAATCATACAGTTCAATGACTGGTATTTTTAAAATCTTGCTAGGCTTTAAGGCAGCAGCTCATCTCATACTTTAACATGCGTGCCCATCATCTGGACATCTTGTTACAAGGCAGATGCTGACTCAGTGGGTCTGGGCTGGGGCCTAAGGTTCTGCATTTCTAGCAAGCTCACAGGTGATGAGGGCACTGGCTGCACTTGAAGCAGCAGAGATTAAAGGGGCAGGAAGCTAATCCAGCTAAATCTGGGGGAGCCCTAGTTCTACAAGGGCAGATGGATACCTTTCTCCTGATCCCTTCCAGGGACCTAACAAATCCTCAATCCCGTCACTCCTCTCCCCTCCCCCATCTCCTTCAAGACAAGGCCAGAAAGGCACCAGCCAGAATGCAGGCCTCAGCATTGGGTCCCTCACCCTCCCCTGGCTTCTCCCAGTTTCTTCCCTTCCTGCAATAAAATATTTGCAGCTGTCCTGGAGGGGAAGTGTTAACCATATTTTTAGAACAGTAACTTCAAAAGAAAAATACTTTCAGTATATGGCTGATTATAAATAATGTTGAAAACAAAAGTTCCAGCCTGGGCAACTTAGTGAGATCCTGTCTCTACCAAAAAATTTTAAAAATTAGCTGGGCAAGTTGGTGTGTGCCTGTGGGCCCTGCTACTCACTACTAGGGAGGCTGAGGTGGGAGGATCGCTTGAGCCCAGAAGGTCAAGGCTGCCGTGAGCCAGGATAACACTGCTGCACCGCAGCCTGGGCAACAGAGTGAGACCCCGTCCCAAAAAAAAGAAAAAAGAAAAAAGTTATCCCAAGACAGGAAAATAGACCATCCTAAAGCAGAAGTTTGAAACATATTCTGATTGTTTTTACTCAAGGGACCTAAAGAACATTAGTCATTGTTTAAACATCCTGATCAGCCCCCAAAGCTCCTTTCTCTGGGCTGTGGGTGAAAGCCCTGGAAGGCCAACTAGAAAGCTCATACCAGCATCTGGGCCTATCTTTACCTAACATCCTCCCTTTTCCCTGCAAAGGAGCATCTCTTTAAGAGAGCCGGCAGTGGGCTCCCAGATTTCAATGTCAGCCTTGGGCTATTCATTTTGAAATATTTCTAAGATTTAAAAAATCTTTATTTCAGATAAGTGATTAATAATTTTTTTAAAAATAAACACTGCCAGAACAAAAACATGCTTCATTTAATAAGACTGGTCTCTTGTCCATTAACTTATCAAAACCCAACCAGTCACAAGATAACAACTGAATCTCTTAAAACAGAATGCTGGAATGCCATGCACAAAAAAAAATTAGTGATATTAGCAACAACAAGGATGAATTTCAAAGACCTCAGTTAAGCAACAAAAGCCAGACACAAAGGAATACACCCTGTTTGATTCCATTACAAAGATCGGGAAGTGGCAAAACAAATCTAAGGTGACAGAAGTCATAATAATTGTTTCTGGGAAGGTAGATGTAAACTAGAAAGGGACCAAGGGACTTCCTGAGGAGCTGGAAATGCTGTTCTCTGGGTGAGGGGGTGGGGGCTCTTACAAGGACACCTTTAAGCCATTTGCATAAGATCTCTAACTTATACCTCAACTTAAAAAAAAACAAAAACAAAACAGTGCTATGAAATCAGCAAAACATTCAAGCCTATTTAGATACTAACAAGGAAAGGATCAAATCTGAGCCAAGTACAGAATTTACCCTCTTCCAAGAGGTCCTGGGTGTCATGCTGCCTGTGGGTTGGCTTCCTCTCTTCATCCTGGCAGTCGTATTCAAAACATTCTTCTTCCCCGCCCTTGTCTCGCAGGGACATTGCTGAAGTCACCCCAAAGCCAAAACATCACCCTAAGGGACCATCCTTGGGGGTGCCCCCGACCCCCTACCCAGAGGAGCCATGCAGGCCTGGGCCCCCAGGGCACACACTGCGCCCTGGCCTGGGCCGCAGACATGCCCTGGCTCAGCTGAAGTGGAGGGGTGTACACAAAGCTCCTGGCCCAGCATCACCCGGGCAGGACCCGGAAGGGGGTGGCTCCTATGAGCCTGGAGGAGGGGCGGGGTGGGGTGGAGCACTTGGCGGGGTGGGAATGCCCTGCTAGGCGCAGGAGATTCAGAGGAAAGCCCTGCAGGAAGGTACAGGATCTCAGCAAGCTCTCGGCCTCCTAGACCCTCTCCACCTTTCCTCCCCCAGCAGCAATGAGGAGTGGTAGCTTCCTAGAAGTCTCACAGCAACTGCATGGGGCAACATCAACTAAGCCTTGAGCAGGCACACCTGTTTAAAGGTGGGGCGCTGGCGGAGGAATTGTCCTGCTGAAGCACTGCCCAACACCCCCAGATGAGAGACTTCCTGTGGGCGGGCTTAAGATGTGGAGACAAATCTGACTGTGACAACTGCCTGACAGCGCTGAGCAGAGGAAGGAAGGGATCATTCTAATTTCTAGCAAAAGGGAAAAAAATGCAGTGACCATTACCTCGTTAAACTTAATTCATCCCAGTCCTTCTTTGATAATAACCTCCATTTTCTCTTTATCAATCTACATTTCATAAAATCCTGCTCTTACCCTAAATCTGTGTTTCCACAGCCAAATTTATAAAGATCTCTCTAATTGCTAGAACAAGGTAAGAAAAAAATCTAAAGCCTAATAGCTTGCAAAGTTGCCTGCAGAAAGAAGCCACAGTTTAATTGCACACCTTGATATCAATTCCTCTATACCATTTGATTTTGCCTGCAACAGTGAGAACGGCAGGTTCTTCCATCAAACCCAGTGAAAGGCAGCCCCGGGTGCTAGCGTCTCGGAGAATCACAGCTCATTCTGTAATCTCTGTGCTTCAGCCATCTCCCAGCTACACTGTGCAGGTCTCCTGCTCCTAACAGCTACACCAGGACACTCATTCCAACCTCCCGAACAGGCTGCCTCCCCCAGGTAGCCAAGAGAGATTTTAGCAGGGGCAAGGTCTTCATAAAACAATTTTCTACACAAGTTCGGGAACCATATCTCATTCGTCTTTGAATCCTTAGGGCCGAGAATTCTGCTCAGGTGGCTAAAAATGTCAGCTAAATTGAATTACTACCTCCATAAAGACTAATATGACATCATGTACAAGTGCCTCTAAATAGAAAACCAGAGATAATAAAGATTTTATTTAAAAGTCTAAGGACATATGCATCCTCTAATTATTATTATTATTATTATTATTATTATTATTATTATTATTTTTGAGACAGAGTCTTGCTTTGTCGCCCAGGCTGGAGTGCAGTGGCACGATCTCGGCTCACTGCAAGCTCCGCCTCCCGGGTTCACACCATTCTCCTGCCTCAGTCTCCCGAGTAGCTGGGACTACAGGTACCTGCCACCACACCTGGCTAATTTTTTTTTTTTTTTTTTTTTTGTATTTTTTGTGGAGACGGGGTTTCACCGTGTTCACCAGGATGGTCTCAATCTCCTGACCTCATGATCCGCATGCCTCAGCCTCCCAAAGTGCTGGGATTACAGGCGTGAACCACCACGCCCAGACCTCTGGTTAATTTTTTAGAACTTGAAAATTAGAGCTGTATTTTACCATGTTAAAGATGTGTTCTTAGCCAAAAAAAAAAAAAAAAAAAAAGGTGTAGAAATTCAGGCAGGGAGTTCAACATTCCATTTTGAAATACTGCATAAGCTTTAAATATAAACACACTCAAAAAATACTTATTTAATATTAATAAGCTTTATCGGATTAGACTAATTCAATTCAGATGACAGTGGGCACATCTATAAGGTGTTGTGAATGACACAAATGGTTATTCTGAACCCCTGAGAAGGCAGGAGAGAGGAAGAACCTCCACCTTGTGCGTGATTCATTCAGCAAGTATCAGATTGACGATAAGATGAGTAGGATATTGTGCCGGCCACAGTGTATATAAAGGAAAACAAAAGCTAATTTCACCAATTCAAAAATACTATCAAGTGACTTTACTCATAATAAATTTATTTATACTCATCTTTTAATTCAAATCTAGAGTATCGCTATTATGAAACATACAGAGACTTAGATATTCTAAATGATGTCCAAGACTCTATATATTACACAATATTTAGAACATGACTTCATTACTTTTCCCCAACCTTTAATTATAAAAATATTTAAAATATACAGAATAAAGAACACTACAGTGAATGCCGGTATGCCTCCATCAGAAATGAACAATGAATATTTTGTTTTTGGGGGGTACACAGTTCAGATTTACAGAAAAGTTACAAGAATAGGACAGAAAACTCCTGGATAGTACAAAAAGATTCCCCAAATGGTAACATTTACTACATTTACTTTCTCTTTCTCAACACTGAAACACTACTATTTTGTAACCCATAGATCTTATTGAGATTCCCTTCAGTTGTCCCAATAACATCCTTTATGGCAAAAGAAATCCAAGATCATGTGTTTTATTCAACGGCCAGGTCTCTTGAGTCTTCTTTAATCTGGAACAATTTCTGAGTCTTCATATTTCAAAACAGATTTTTTGAACAATACAGGCCAACTATTTTGTAGAAGGTCCCTCACTTTGGGTATTCCTGGTGTTTTCTTATGATTAGATTCTGTTTATGAACTTTCGGCAAGAAAACACAGAAGTGGTGTTACTTTCTCTTCAGTGCATCTTCTCAGGAGGCGTCTGCTGTGGAGCGGTCCCACTACTGCCAATGTTAACCTTTTTTTTTTTTTTTTTTTTTTTTTTTTTTTTGAGACAGGGTCTCATTCTGTTGCCCAGGCTGGACTGCAGTAGTATGATCATGGCTCACTGCAGCCTCGACCTCTAGGCTCAAGGGATCTTCCCGCCTCAGCCTCCTAAGTAGTTGGCACCACAGGCACATGCCACCATGCCTCGCTAATTTTTTTATTTTTTGTAGAGACAGGGTCTCACTATGTTGTCCAGGCTGGTCTCAAACTCCTGGGCTCAAGCAATCCACCCACTTCAGCCTCCCAAAGTGCTGGGATTACAGGTGTGAGCCACCATGCCTGGTCCCATCAGTAATTTTTTTTTTTTTTCCAGACAGAGTCTCACTCTCTCTCCCAGGCTGGAGTGCAGTGGTGCGATCTCTGCTTGCTGCAACCTCCGCCTCCTGGGTTCAAACTATTCTCCTGCCTCAGCCTCCCAAGTAACTGGATTACAGGCGCCCGCCACCACGCCTGGCTAATTTTGTATTTTTAGTAAAGATGGGGTTTCACCATGTTAGTCAAGCTGGTCTCAAACTCCTGACCTCAACTGATCCACTCGCCTCGGCCTCCCAAAGTGTTGGGATTATGAACGGGCATGAGCCACAGAACCCGGCCCCCATCGGTAATTTTTAAAGCTCCAGTTTTTAAAGCCCAATGTTTACTTTGATCATTTGGTTTCCTCACTGTGAAGCTATTATTTTTCCCTTTGTTATTCAACAGTGTTTCATGGTGATATATTTCATGGTGATATACTTTGAGACCACCAGTTTTAATAAGTCTTGTCTTAGTCATTTATGTGGATGGATGGGAAAGTGGTGAATTTCTAATTTCTAATTCCATCATTCCAACACTTATTAGTTGGCTTTTTATTGTAATAACTTTTTCTTCCCTCCCGTTATTTAGTCATTCATTTATTTTTATCAGTATAGACTCACGGATTCTTCCTTTATTCTATAAGTCATAATCCTTGACTACTATTATTTATTTTGATGTTCAAATTGCCCCATATTAGGCCAGTGGGAGCCCCTTCGGGCTGGCTGCTGTGTAAGACATGAAATTTTGAACACAGGACCACCCTAGACTCTTCATGTCACCCCATTTCTCTGGGTTTAGACACTCTTCACGATATCCCTCTCCCAATCTCTTCTTTCCTCCCCTCCTGCTGCAAGGGTGTGAGAGAATTCTGAAAACTCATGCACATCTGCCTTCACTTCACGGTTAAAGGCAGAGATGGGCCAAAGGGCATCTTCCCTGAGAGTGTAGTTTCTCCAAAAGTCAAAGCAAAACACAACCCCCAAAGACCGGCAAGAAAGCCTGGGAATCCCTGTGCCAACCAAGGGATGGAGAGGGCTGGGCCAGGCTGGACATGGAGCCTGGAGCTGGAGGTGTGAAAGGCAGTTAAGTAACAGATGTGTGTGCCGTATCAAAGGCACAGACTAGACACTGGGACCCACAGCAGGGAAGCAGAGAGTGAGTTCCTGATCCATCTCCAGGAACACTGGACAGGAAGACCAGTGGAGGGGAGGGTCAATCACCTCTTGCAGGGCGGAGGCACATCATTCTCTGTCTCCTGCTCACATCTACTTGACATACTCCATAGAAGTCATCTTCCCAAAGCTCTACCCTGTGTTGTCCAAAGAGTGGCCACAAGCCACTGGGACTATTTATGTTTACATTTAAATGGATTAAAATTAAAGTTTAAAAACCAGTCACACTAGCCATATCTCAAGTGCTCCACAGCCATATGTGACCAGTGGCTACCGTATTTGACAGCAGAGAATAGAACATTTACTGCATTACAAAAAGCTTCACTGGATAGCACTGATCTAAAGGGTGCCCCTTATTTTCAAGATGGGAGCTCTATATTTTCTTGGCTTCCACATCCTGCATCTCCCCTGCAGCCTCTGCTTCCAGCCTGGCTTCCCACCACACCTCAAACAGACAAAACAAGCTGCTAACTTCTGCCCACATAATGCTACTGCCTTAGCTCACCTATGAAGGGGACCAGACTCCCACCCCTACAAACAAAATATGCCTCTTTGACATAAGGATTATTTTGAGCAGAAGCAACTGAAGAACAGCAGATGCCGGAAAAGCTCTAAAAACGGAGCATAAATTTTCCTTTTGTAAAGAAATTTACATTTGGAAGGGTGTCTCCGTCTCCTGTACAATCTCTTATCTATGGACAAGGCACCCACTTGAATCTGCACACCTTATTAAACATGTCTTGAGTATCCCACGTTTCCAAGTTGCCTTCCCATAACTTACTCCCCAGCAGGAATCCCAAACCCGTTTTCCTTTGTCTCACCTTTTCTCCATACTTTGTTGCCCTTTGGGATGACACAGAACCCGCCAAATTCTACTTGCCTCTTTGACTCTTATTTCTTTGTGATTGCCAGTGCCTACTTACATAATTAAAACTGATTTTTCTCTTGTTAATGTTTTTTATCAGTTTGTTTCTCAGGGCACCTAGCTACTGAATCAAGCAGGGTAGAGGCATAAAGTTTTTCCTCTGCTATACCCTCAACGTCCCCACCTCCCTAGCCCATATCCTCCTATCTTTCAAGGTCTGGTTCAGCACTGCTCCCCATCTCCTTCAGGTATGAGCATCTTTCTCTCCACTTCACCTGTCCCATTGATGCTCAATGTTCCTCACTCACATTTCACTTCTCTGCTCCTAGAGAGCAGGGTTGGCACGACTGAGGGTCATGTCCCCAAAGACCTTGCTCATACAATTTAAATAAACAAATAAGGCTGGGCAAAGAGGCTCACACCTGTAATCCCAGCACTTTGAGAGGCTGAGACAGGAGGATCACTTGAGCCTAGGAGTTCAAGACCAGCTTGGGCAACATAGTGAGACCCCATCTCTACAAAAAAATTAAAAAATGAGGCAGGAGGATCACTTGAGCCCAGGAGGTCAAGGCTGCAATGAGTCTTGATCATGCCACTGCACTCCCGCCTGGGTGACAAGAAGAAGACCTTGCCTCTAAATAAATAAATAAATAAATAAGGCTGGGTGCAGTGGTTCACGCCTGTAATCCCAGCACTTTGGGAGGCCAAGGCAAGCAGACCACCTGAGATCAGGAGTTCGAGACCAGCCTGGCCAACATGGTGAAACTCCATCTCTACTAAAAACACAAAAATAAGCCAGGCATGGTGATGGACACCTGTAATCCTAACTACTCAGGAGGTTGAGGCAGGAGAATCGCTTGAACTTGGGAGGCAGACATTGCAGTGAGCTGAGATCGTGCCACTGCACTCCAGCCTGGATGACACAGCAAGACTCCATCTCAAAAAAAAAGAAATAAATAAATAAAACAAAATTAAAATTAAATAAACAAGAGCACCACAAAGCTCCAAAAACTTGGGTTCCAGGCTTGCTTTGGCTTTCTTGCCAAGTCTCTAGTCCTCAGCTCCTATGTCAGAGAGGACATTATCTCTATTTTACTATAGCCAGTGATAATAAAAACAGTTACATTATAAAACTGTTTACATTTCATTCTTTTTCTTTTTTTAATCCCCTTAATAACCACAGAGGAGAGTGCTGTGTGTGGAAAGAGAGAAGTCAACCTCTACCTTCACGGGCGCATCACACAATAAAACACAAGACAAAGAAATGGGGATCTGTTTGCGTCAACACGTAGGAAAATTCGAAAACTCAGTTCAGAAATGCAGCTTTTCAATTAATGCTTAAAATACCTCTAACAAAACTTCACTCACGCACAAAAAGAAAAAAAACACTCACGAACCAGCCACCGCCATCTTGGGTGACATTTCAGAGATCACTGAAATCAAGTGAGGAACAGAGCGCACCAGACTGCCCTTGCGTATACCATAAATCTTCATTATAGAGTAAGAAGCTGTAAGAATAACTTCTGCGACAATCTACCCGAGTTTCTTCATTTGTGAAATCAGTATGAACTAGACCACCTCCTACCCCAACATTCAAATCTATCAGGTTATAAAAGGGGGAGGTGAGCGGGGATGGAGAGCAAGTCTGATTACAAAAGAAACTGAAGCAACAAACAGGTGGTCAAAATGCTGTACCTTGTTCAAAATACCATTCCTTTTTTTTTTATTTTTTTTAAGACAGGATCTCACTCTGTCGCCCAGGCTGGAGTACAGTGGCATAATTATAGCTTCCCTCACCCTCCTGGGCTCAAACAATCTTCCCACCTCAGCTTCCGAGTAGCTGGGACTATAGGCGCATGCCACCACATTCAGCTAATGTTTTTATTTTTTGTACAGACAGGATGTCACCATGTTACCCACGCTGCTCTCAAACTCCTGGCCTCAAGTGATCCTCCCCCCTTTAGCCTGCCAAAATGCTGGGCTTACAGGCATGACACACTATACCAGGCCCCCATTAGCCTTTTCAAAGATTTTTTTTTGTTAAAGGCCTTAATAACTAGTACTATTTCTGAGAAAATAAAATTAAACACTGACCTGGCTCTTCGTCGCTTACAAAGAGCTATCACTTTATTTACACTCCATAAAGGTTCCAACCAGTGTTGTTACTCCTGTTTTCCAGATGGGGAATCTGAGTTCACAGAGGCTCACAGAAATCCCAGGATGTTCCCATACCACATGGCCACATGAAGTACAAAACAGGCCTCAAACACAGACAGCCAGCGCTCTTTCTGCCATTCTACCTATTTCTAGAGTAACTACAAAGAGGGCTGTTTCTTTAACATAAGGACATACACTGAACCCAAGTCCTTTTGAAAATTAAAAAGGTGTCATACTCTTTCTAAGCACACTTTAAAAAGTGGCCAGTGTAGCCAAGAAACAATCTAAGATCCCGAAACTGACCTAAATAATTCTTTTCCAGCCCCTCCCCATGCCTGAGGCTGCTTTCCATGGACATCAATCAGCACAGTTTCCCAAACACACGTGATGTAAAGAATCCCCCAAAGCATGTGCTAAAAATTTAGATTTCTCAGGACTTCTCCTAGTCTGATGTGAGTCTGAGAATCTGCTTTTTTAATAAGCAGATGACTTTCAATGATTTCCCAAGTTTTAGAGGTTCTGCACCAGAGATGGGATGCATCCAATCGGGGTAACTATGACCCTGTCTGACACCAGAGTTTAAACTGTAAACATTGAGTATGTATGTGCAAATTCTGCCAAGGCCATTGCTATTTTGCATTGATCGCTGGCTATTTCAAATCTCTCGTAAAAGTTACTTGAAGACACTGGGTAATCAACCCCTCCCATGTCTTATTATTATAAGCCCCTGTCCCATGCCTCTTATTATATCCTCCTCTGGGGGCGGGGGAGCAGGACAGGCAGAGATGGGTGCTGAATAGAAGACCCCCACAACAAACATTAATAAACAGGAGGAATACAGTTATTCAACACTGAATAAAGTTCTCCTAACCCTCAAAGATAGAAGAGAACAGTAGCTATCCCTTAATTCCAACTTCAAAAGAGGGGTCCTAATTGGCCTGCAATCTATATTCCCATCCATATACATTTCTTTTTCAGTGCTAACACTGCAATTTAAGTGTGAGTCAGTAGCTCTGACATAAATGATGATTCTGCATCTTTTTTAAAACATTTGACTCACCTTTTATTAGTATCAAAAGTTCTGTAAAAGCTTCCCTCATTGACGATTCAAATGCCAAATAATCAGAGACAAAGCAATGGTGTGTGTCTATTGAGTTGCAATAAAAAAGACAGAGGCAAATAAAAGACAGGTACATATAAACAGGGGCAAATTTCATTTCCAGACTAATCTGCCTGAAGCTAGGAAGGAACTCAACTAGTTAGAAATGTGTAAGCAAGTAACCACAAAATTGGCACATAATTGAAATCTCCTTTTTGTACGTTTCCTAAACCAGTTTATTTCTGGACTTCTGTTCCTTTATTCCCTACTTTGCTACCTCTTTAAATGGGAGTATGAAAATACCAGTGGTCCCAGTAAATTCTGTCTCAAAAACCTTCTTCCCTTCATCCAAAATGGGATAGATGATAAAGGACAAGTATTTTGCTCAACATACATTCAGACAATAACAATAATTCAGAAATAAATAAATCAATATATTTACCCTTGAACAGTTGAGCCATCTCCTCTTCTATTTTCCTTTGCTCTTAGAGGAAGACAGATCAGGGTCTCTCAGGGCCAAAAGACTCAACTGAGGAAGTGCTGGGTAAGAAAATCCTTCTGATGGATACCCAGATAAGAGCAGGCCTCCGCTCACCCTCCAGATTGACCATGGCAAGCGACTGGCTTTATTTCAGGGTGTAAAGGGAACTGGATGGTGTGGCATTTGGGTCATGGTATTAGGAAACCTTCTTCCTCCACTTCTAGGATGGCATCCACAGAGCTATGGCCCCACCTGACTAATCCACGGGGCCTCTGACAGCACCCTGCTGTAACCAGTGCTCCCTAATCCAATGGTACAGTGAGGATGTATTCAATCCCTTACTTTAAAAAGTTATAGAGGGTTCAATGAGTCACAAATCACCAAGGAAACTAGAAGGAGGTCAATGATGGTTTCCAAAAAGGAGCATCTCTAGAATTTCCTTTTGGAGTTAGGTAACAGAATGGGAACTTGCTTTTAGAATGAATATATTCCAAAGAAAAAATTCACTCATCTTTTCCCCTCATGACCCTGGGAACTGCCTCCAATCCTTGTTACTCAAAATAGTTAAAGATGTACACAGAACGAACATGACAATGTCTGCATCTAAAGCTGGGGGCCAGTGAGATTGAACTGGCATAGTTTTTCCACACATTTAAATACCATCCCCTGAGAAAGCCTTAACCCACAGTCGCGGCAAAAATCAGTGGATAAGAGATAATTATGTAGTTTTTCAGTTTACTAACTAGGCCAGGTCCCAGCCTGTTACATCATTCAGGTTAATCAAATGTAGTCAGGAATAGAGCATTCTGAAACTCCCGACTCAATTAAAAAGCACTTACCTTATCTATTAATGGCTCATATAGGGCTGGGAACATATCATCACTGGGGAACAGACCCTCAAAGTGTATATATTAATTGGGCCCCTTTTTTGTGAAGGCATGTGATATGAGGGTCACTTTCAAGACAAAATTAAAGACAGATTAACTGTGTAATACACAATTTTGATGTCCAACACCCCAGGAACCTGAGACCCCGCCCACTGTGATGTCTCTGAGAACGCACCTCAGTGCTGTTTTCTGTGTGCTTGAAACCTCCTGAGACCTGTCCAGCCACACAACTTGGCCTCCACCCAGTCTCCCTTGGAATGTGCCACACCCTCCCTGCACAAACCAAGGTAGTGACAGAAGGACACATTCTTTCCCTGCCCCTCCCATCACCTCCCCACCCCCATCTCTGTTGGATCCAACAAGCAAACTTCATTTGAATCACCCGCTAAGTGGTAAGCTGCTTCTGCCTTTTCTCCAGCCTCTGATGGTTCCCAGGTCTGGGCTCAGAAAAGGGCAGAGTCTTCCAGGCCTGCTGCTGACAGTCCAGGAAGCCACCTCCTGAACACACTATTCCAAGCCCCCAGTTTCCTATCCCCTCCAACAGCAAGAGCGCAGTGAACACATTTCCACTTGCACACATTCATGCATCAACAACACACTCACGTCTCACACCAGAGAAAATTCAATCCAATAGAAGTATAACACTTACAAGCCCAGCACACCAAAAACCATCTCCCCTTCTAAGCAAACAATCATACATACTGCAGGAGTCTTTCACGGTAAAGAGCCCTGCCCACCTGCCACCTCCTCCACCATGCCTTTGGAATTGCCAGAGCCAGTGGTGCTAGTTCTGGTACCTCCCACCCGCCAGCCGCCTGTCTCCCCTAAAGGTTTCAGGACACCCCCCACCCAGAAGGAGACAATACCCCTATACATCCCGGCTCTGTTTTGCAGGGGCCATAATTACCATCCGAGCATTCTTCATAATACCAGTCTAGTTCATAATAATCCGCTTCGATAAATTTCTGCATAGTCAGTAGTCTTGCAGAGGAAAGAATGGACTTCACAGCACCATCAACGTCAAGTAAAACGCTGCCATGCCTCCCCGCCCTTCCAGAATACTGGACAGAAGAATATCCCGAAACACACCAGAATTAGGCTGTACATTCTTAACGACAGTCTGGAGCCAAAACAGTAAAGTGGGCAATGAAAAGAAAAATTCTATGGGGGAAGGAGGGAGTAGGAGGAGCAGAAAGGAAGGCAATTTGCAGAGAGCTAACGGAGACCCTGGCAGCACTGCCAATAAAGCAGCACTGGACAGCAGCCCTGAATGGGAGTAGCCAGGATCGTCCTATCCAGACGCCTAGAGGGTGACGTCAGAGACACACACCACCACTGGCTGTCTCACTCAAGCCTCGTCTCCTGCTCGCCGCTCATCTTTCAATCTAACCGTTGCCATAGAAACTGGCCGGCTCTGAAAAATGATGCAGAGATGGAGGAAATGTCTTCCAAGGATGCTGGCAGCAGAGGCTGAGAGATGCCAGGCAGGGAAAAGAAAGGGTACAGGCAAGGGAGAGACAGAGGGGTCAGCACCATCATCACCTTCAAGAAACGTAAGGACAAGCTTATTCACCCTACTTTGGGTCACGATAGAAAGAAGACTCTGGATTTGAAATCTGCCACCTTTTAAAATCTGCAAATCATTACTTTTGGTTTCCTTTCCTCAACCTGATTTCACACATTAAACATCTTCTATAATTTTTGACCACCACTTAAAGGAAATGTAAATTACTTAGAAAATGGAAACATTTTCACTTAGATGCACTACTATTCTCTGCTCATGCTTTTGCTCAAACTTCTAGAAAAACAGCCTGTCACATACAAATAGAGGAGGGCGCCATCACAAAGGGCTTGTGCAGTACAATATGCTGTTTCATGGACACGTACATGTGTAATCAAGGCGTTAAAGTGCACACTAGAAGAAAAAAGTCCACCTGCAGGAAGTTAGTTGCCTCTGGGGAAGGAGTGAGGAAATGAGGTTTTAAAACTTTCCTTATAAATGCACCCATATGTTTTATTTCCTTAAAAAATACAGTTAATATTAGTTCTAAATGTTTGATATGTTTGAAATATTCATAATAAAACAAGGTAGTGGATAATAAGACAGATTCTAGGCTATCCTATAGGTTGAATTTCATTCCCTAAAGCAGGGTCTCTCAACCTCAGCACTATTGACATTTGAGGTTAGGTAATTCTTGCTGTGGAAGGCTATTCTGGGCATCGCAGGATGTTTAACAGCAACCCTGGTGCCTACCCACTAAACGCAGGTAGCACTACCCTCCACCCCCAAGATGTGACAACCAAAAATGTCTCCAGACATTGCCAAATGTCCCCTGGATATAAAACTGCTTGGTTGAGAACCTTGCCCTAAACCAAAACTACTTATTTACTTCATTGTCCTCTTGGCCAGGTACTGTAAGTATCTGTTGGTGTCAACAGCAGCATATATACAGATAATAGTGTGTGTGTGTGTGTGTGTGTGTTTCTATGTATGTGTATGTCTGCTTCTGTGTGTAAAATAGAAATTTAAAGGAAAATCACATAGACACACACATCTTATATAGAGAATCTTAGATGGAATCCATACTTTGTATCGATCCATCTCAATCTTCCTAAATCACTGGAAGCTGAAGAGCCTGTAACGTTGTGTTGTGAGGTCCTCAAAGAAATCTCTCTCTGCTCTGGGGTACCCTCTCCTCATGTTACAGCCATGTCTGGCCCTTATCATTGGGCCTTGCTTGCACACCTGGGCAGGATACCACATCAGACCTTCCCACTTGCCAGGTGGCTGGCCAACCCCATTTGGCCCAGCCTTTAGTGAGAGCAGGTCCTGTCCTCTTGTGGACTGCAAGGATCCAACCCTTTGGCACTCACTATGGATAACAGAGCCTCAAGTCCCGGAGGGAAAAGAGAAGTTAAAGGCAGGGGCCCAAACCACAAGCAGACAAAGAAACCATCCCCGCATGCTGCAGTGGAACCACTGATGCTGATGATGAATTTTGGCTAAAATTGTTAATAGGATTCCAGAAAAGTTCAGAAAATGTAGGAGACAAGGGAATGACACCATCCCTGGCCCTGCTGTCTCCTGGCTACCACTTACACCCTGGAGGACCTGTGCCCCTCTGTCATCATCTCTTCCTCCTCCAAGACACTCCCAACCAAACTGCACATTCTTTCTGGTCAAAGTATATATCAGATCCCATAGCCTCCCTCACTTACTTTATTCCCTCTCCCTGATCCCAACTTGAATATACATTTTCAGTTTTCTAGGACTTGTGACTATTTAAAGTCAGCAGAAATGATTTTAATTCCTTTCTTATAACTGCCCCTGCTATCTGACACATCTCATCTCTCCCTCTAGTCTTTAATATTGTCCTATCTCTGGCCATGATGGTGCCTCTCAAGAGCCCCACTGCAAGCTCCCAAACAGCCCCTCAGATGTTCACCTCAAGACAGGTGAATGGAGTCCGGTGTCCCGAGGTTTTCTGAGATACCTTAAGGTATTTCTAAAAAGATGATGATGGGCCTTATAAACAGGCAAATAGTTAACAACAAACTCCTAAAAAATCAGCAATGTTCGCCAGTTCAATCCAATTAGGGTGGGGAAGGTCCAACAAGAATTTGCAAAATGATTTAATAAAGGAACCAGAGGGCTGGTTGCATTGGCTCATGCCTGTACTTCTACCACTTTGGGAGGCCAAGAAGGAAGGATAGTTTGAGGCCAGGAGTTCAAGAACAACCTGGACAACATGGCCAAATCTCATCTCTACAAAAAAATTTTAAAACCAGCTAGACGTGGTAGCACATGCCTGTAGACCCAGCTACTTGGGAGGCTGAAGCTGGAGGATCACCTGAGCCCAGGACTTCAAAGTTGCAGTGAGATGTGATCATGCCACTGCACTGCAGCCTGGGTGACAGAGTGAGACCTTACCCCAAAAACTAAAAAAATAAAATAAAGGAACAGGAAATGCAAACTCCTCAAAGCATCACATGAAAGTCAGACAAACTTCCTAATAGCTGAACACATGGAGGTTCCTGGAGCCTCTTCATCTGTATCCTTCACAGTATCCTTTGTAATAAACCAGTAAAGGCATTAAAAAACATACATTTATGAGACAATGGTGTCTATGAAACTATGGATGATACAAGAGCTTCATTTGATATGGAAAAGTATCCCAATACTGAGGTCAGGAAAACCAAGTACGAACTCTGGAAGAATGGCAAGACAAGTGGGTGAACGGCAATATTGCTTTTCATCAAGAACAAGGACATCAGCTATTGAAGACGCATTTGGATACTTTTCTTAAAGGTGAGAGTAGACTGAAGGTATTTTTTCCTCCTTGTTGAGATGAAATGGTTTGCAGACCAAGGACACAATGTAGTTGGTGTATAAATCAGTGCACTTGGGATACAAGAATTTTTTACAGAGCAGAATCTTTCTTACTCAGAAGAACCAATTAGCAAAGTTCCTGAAGCCAAAGTATTTAAGAGTTCTTCAGAGAACATTTCATTGTACTGTTGCAGCATTTATTATCTTCCCCAAACACATATCGACAAATTTGACAGAATTTGGGATAGAGGAGCACTGGCTGCCATTAATCTAGGAGATTTCAAACACTATGCAGATACAATGTTGTCCCTACTGGGAAAAGGGTTTCAGTACCTCGAGTGTGTTCTTTCTTATGACCCAACTAAACATGCAGGCCCACTAGCTTATGTTCCACATGCTGAAATTGAAAGGTTGTTCAGTACAATATGCAATATTCATTGTCTTGAGATGATTGATGGTTTTGAAGAACAACATGAAAGTTGGCAAATTGACTACATTTTTGAAAAGTTATATCTACTTACAGAAAAGTAAATCAGATGTAAACAAAATCAAGTAACATCAACATGTTTTTGAGTTTCAGCAATTGAAAATTATGCTAAGGCATGAAAATGTAATGCATAAATTTTTTATTGTTTACAAATCATATCAAAGATCTTTGTTCAAAAACGCACATAGGTTTTTTTTTTTTTTTTGAGACAGAGTCTCACTCTGTTGTCCAAGCTGGAGTGCAGTGGCACAATCTTGGCTCACTGCAACCTCTGACCTTAGGTTCAAGGGATTCTCATGCCTCGGCCTCCCAAGTAGCTGGGATTAAAGGTGTGTGCCACCACACCCAGCTAATTTTTTGTATTTTTAGTAGAGATGGGGTCTCACCATGTTGGCCAGGCTGGTCTCAAACTCCTGACCTCAAGTGATCTGCCCACCTTGGCCTCCCGAAGTGCTGGAATTACAGGCGTGGGCCACCACGGTTGGCTCCCTTTGCCCATTCTTAATTAGGCAGTTGTTCAATTTTCAAAACTGCATATATCTTTTTAGAAGAAAATAGATACTAAAATGTTAAAGTAGCTCCTTTGGGGAGGCGAGGAGGTGGAAGATTATGACTGTGTGTCTTGCTTACAGACTGCAAGACTTTTTACCAATCAATCCGCATGTATTACTTGTATAATTAAAAAATAAAAGAACAATGCAATGAATATTACTTAAATATAATAGACATAGAAAAACTGACATTCTATGAAATTTAGAATAATTGAAGAAATGTAATACTTCAGCAGGGTTCAACTAATCCCAAGAGCTATATAAAAGATTAGCTTTCACTATAAACCTTTGTCTTTTACTGAAATCCTAGCCATCTCTTTGCAAATGTTTTCTCCAGTACAATTTTATATGTAACAGAAACAAGAAACAAATACATTTTAATGAAATAATACAATTTATATGGAACAATATATTCTCAAATTATAAGAATAAATTTTGTTAAAGTTAAAAAAAAATATACAAGGATACAAATCCCTTATTTGCTTGCTTTTTTGTTTTGATAGAAACCCCTTAAATAATACTTGGCACATTTACCTTACAGCACTATGAATTTTTTTAACATTTTATTCCTACCCCATTACCATAAAACAAGTAAAAAATAACAGATTTCATAGTTAAGAGCATGGGCTTTTGGAGTCAGATGGTCTGAGGTTTGGTACAGGCTCTTTGTTTTCCATGTCTGTGACCTTATTAGATAACATCAGTCTCATCTGCTAAATGGGGGTGATTATAATACATTCCACAGAGACAGGGGAAGCTATAATCAATTAGTGTATGGCAGAGCACTTAGCACAGTGCCTGGGACAAAGAGAGTTTGCAATAAATGTTAGTTGTGATCATCTTCATCACTCTAATCTTTCTTTTTTTTTTTAAGGGAAATAAGCCAGGAAATGAACAATTAAAAAGGGGGTACAAATTCCTAAGCTACAATTAGGGAAATGAGGTAGAAATGCCATTTATAAGCTTTTTCCAACATAACTGATTCAAAGGCACTGAGTTCACAGTAATGAGCAGGAGTGACAGGTGGGGTGAGGTAGGGAGCGAGGCACCATTTCTAAACAGTGACAACACATTATTGAGCACAGCTTGAATTAAGTCCAAAGCTGCACATATCCAATTCACTTTTTAAGAAAATAGGAAAGAAACAAAACAATGTATAAATAAGCACAAAGGAAACAGCATCATTTAGGGGTGATTTTTACGAGCTTCAAGCAATTTCAAAGTGAACTACACCAAAAGTATTTCATATGCTTGGAAAGACAAAGTAATCTGTCCATAGCTCTGTGAAGAGTTTCACAATTAAAATCCAAGTCTATCTGACATCAAATCCACTTTCCTTCACACCAAGAGTCCCAACACTCCTGAGGGTTACAGCCCTCCCTCGGCCCAGGTTTACTGCAGCCGAAAAAGCAGCCTCCTCCCTACCATGACCTGACACTCCTCCATCACTGCCACTAGAAAGTCAGGAATAAAAACAGGTCCCAGGAGCCGTCTCGGGTAAGCCTCACAGCCACTGGTCAGCCATTCCTTAGTCACCGCATCTTCGGCTGCCCCATTTAGAAAGTGCTGACTGTATACCTGGCATTTAATACTTTATATCTCACTTACTCCTCAGACCCCTGCGACCTAATGGCTCCCTCATTGTGGAGACAAGGAAAGGGGTCTTAGTGGCTTAAGTCACTTGCCCAGGATTGCACAGAGAATACCAAAAGCATCTGGATATAAACCAGGAATGATCCCCGTCCTAAGCCTTTTCCACTTCTCAATAAGTGAATGAAAAAGCATCCAAGGATTATTTGCTAATGGAATTTGAAAGAAAAAAAAAAAAAAGAAGAGGTACAATTAAAGAAGATAAAGATTCAAGTTAGCACCTCACAGAGAAAACAAATTGAGAAGTTTTTTTTTTTTAAAGAACAAAATAAATGATCAGGAAAGTGAGAGTTAAACTGAAAATATCTATGTAACTTCATGATATTAAAAACAAACAAACAAAACAACTCTTTCCAGCTCTGTCACACAAGTGGCTCAACAAGGACAGCCCTCCAATCCATCAGCAGCAAGTCAACATTCTGGTGCCCAGATTTAGGTTAGACCTTAACAGGGCTCCTTGTAGAGTGGCTGATTCCAAGTCTTCGGGCAGGGAAAAATCAAGAGGGACCTGCAACACCAGGTTTCAAGAAAGCAAAGACCACTTCAAAAGGTCTGAGGTAGAAGTGATAAGGTATATAAAAGCCATCTTAAAAGGACTACCATGCACGTACCATGCACTGTGTTGTGACAATTTGAATATCCAAAAGAGTACAGAGTTAATAACGGTTAGAAGAGACAAGGTGAGTCTGTAAAGGCCATGAATCTTCAATGACTATCAAAATGAAAAGGGCAACCAAGTGAACAGGGCAACTGATATATAAAGGAAGGGAGAATATATTAGGAAGTTATTTTTAATCCATTTTAGGAAGCAGCAGAGGTGGATGTGTATGACTGCTGTTTCTGCCACTAATACCTTTTATAAAACAGTGTACAAATATGTCTCTAAGTAGGATGGCTCTGAATAAGCCAACCCTACATGGAAGGAGGAAGCAAGTATCAAGAACAGAAAGGTCTGATGCTGTGGGCACAGACTATACTCGGGTAGGAGCAGGATCAGCCCCAGGGCTGTAAGGTGACGGATTGGCCAGAGGGCTCCAGAGGAGAGCTGACTGCCCACACTGGGGCCCCAAATTCCTAGAAAATAAAAGCTCAATAAAAGCTGCTAATGATAACAGTAAGACACTAACAAAACTCGTACATGTTTTCAAACATGTTCCAGGTGAAGTGTGTCATTTGGATGGGACACCAGGTCACAACCACAAGTCGCCAAAGATAAATAATCTGTAATTTCAGGAAAAGACATCAGGTTGAAGGTGGCCCCTCCAAAGATAATGTCCACCTGGAAGCTGTGAAGGTGGAAAAAAGGTCTTTGCAGGTGTAATTCATTTTCTTCTTTTTTTGTTTTGTTTTGTTTTTTAAGACAGAGTCTCACTCTGTCACCCAGGCTGGAGTGCAGTGGCGCAATCTCAGCTCACTGCAACCTCCACTTCCCAGGTTCAAGCGATTCCCCTGCCTCAGCCTCCTGAGTAGCCGGGAGGCATGCGCCACCATGCCCGGCTAATTTTTTGTATTTTTGGTAGAGACAGGTTTTCGTCATGTTAGCCAGGCTGGTCTCGAACTCCTGACCTGAAGTGATCTGCTTGCCTCGGCCTCCCAAAGTGCTGGGATTACAGGCATGAGCCACCGTGCCCGGCCCTGCTGGTGTAATTCAGTTAAAAGTCTTGAGATGACATCATCCTGGATTGAGGTGGGCCCTAAATCCAATGACAAGTGTCCTCAGAGGAGAAGAGGAGAAAACGCCCACAGAGGAGAGGGCAACGTGAAGACAGAGCAGAACCTGGAGAGATGCGGCCACAAACCTAGCAATGTCGAGGATGGCCGGCAGCCACCAGAAACTGCAAGAGGGGCAGGGAACAGATTCTCCCTCAGAGTGTCCAGAAGGAACCAACAGTACCAACACCTTGACTTTGGACCTCTGGCCTCCAGAACTGTGAGAGAATAAATTTCTATTGTCTTAAGCCACCAAGTTTGTGGTAATTTGTTACGGCAGCCCTAGGAATCTAACACAGCTGCTGAGATCGTATTTTCTTTAATATCTATTAAGATTACTAGATCACTGGAAAAATATAAAACAGATTCAGAAATTCACAAAGAAATGAATTAAACCCACAGTACTGATGCTTATATTAAGTGTGAGTATCAGGAGTTTTGCTGTCATTACTAGAACTACATGTTCTCTTTTGTAAGCATTTAAGAGAATCTAATAGATTTGGTCTGTGATGTTAAGGCAGATCCAATTAAACATATTTGTAATCAAATTTAAATGTTTAAAAGAATTTAATAAAATTTCTAAGTTTGTACTTATTAGTTGGGTGAGTATATGAATATTTCAATTTATATAATATATTAAAAAGATGAATGAACACTAACAATTGAGCAATAAAGTATATAAATGATGCAGTTATGAGTTTGCCCGAGTGTCTCAGACCTCACAGATATTGCCGCATCCCACCTTCCCCCATGCCTCACAGGTGATCAGCACAGGCATGCCCAGGCCCCGATGTGGCCATCTGAACAAAACAACTTCCCAATTCCTATGCATCCCCAGTGCTCCACCTTACTGCTAGCACACAGAGCCCTCCGAGGTCCCAACCCCCCTCTGGAACCTGCTTCCAGACTCCAGAGCTTTCCTCCCTGTTAGTCAGGGCACCTGTATGCCGGGCCAGCCAAGAAGCCTATGGCAGAAGAGAGGAAGACCCGGAAGAGGCTTCCTAACCTTCCGTCCTTGAGGGGGCCATAGGACTCACATGAAAGACAGCCTTACAAGCAGGACTTCCTTCCACTTGCTTCAGAAAATTAACTGAGCAGGGTGCTTCTTTCTGCAGAGTTCTCTTTCTGATCTTTATTTTATTCATTTATTCAGAGATGGAGTCTCACTCTGTCGCCCAGGCTGGAGTGCAGCGGTGCGATCTCGGCTCACTGCAACCTCCACCTCCCGGGTTCAAGCAATTCTCCTGCCTCACCCTCCCGAGTAGCTGGGACTACAGGCATGTGCCACCACGCGTGGCTAATTTTTGTATTTTTAGTAGAGACGGGGTTTCACCATCGAGCCAGAATGGTCTCGATCTCCTGACCTCATGATCCGCCTGCCTCAGCCTCCCAAAATGCTGGGATTACAGGCATGAGCCACTGCGCCCAGCCTGATCTTTATTTTTTAAAATGTTGCCGCTGCCAGTCACTGAGCACCCACGGCAGAAGGCAGACTGCTAATGAACAGCTTGCTGTCAACTACCCCCTCCCAAACCATCTCCTCCTCATTTCAGGCACAGGCACCAACCCACCTCCAGGGGAAGGTGGGGGAACAAAGCTTGGCTTTTAGAGAACATATCCAAAAGCAGGGAGATGGCATTTGGCAGAGCACTGAGGAGCCAACGTGCATCCTGGCCTCGATGTAGTTCTCATTAAAATCAACCCTACCTCTGAGAAGGACAGAGAGAAGAAAAAGGGCTTGGGTGTGGTAGCATCAGTACACGGCCTGCATGGTTCTGAGTCTGCCTCCTGCCAGCCTGGGAGGCTGTATGGGAAATCTCACACCTATGTCCAGCAAGTCACGTAGCAGGTGCCACAGGCCTCAAAACACAAGTGAACCAGAAGCTCAAACGGCCCCGTATTCCATTCACGCCAAAACTCAGCTGAACCACAGTAGCCTGGGCCCATCACGGGAGGTGGAGTGTGAGCTGAGCTGTCATGTCAATTTCCCACCTGAGTCCGTTCCAGCTTTGTCTTAGATATGCTGAAATAACATGAAAAAGAAAAATCTGTACAGAATTGCTTGCCAGGCATTTTTCTTCTTAAAAAGAAAAAAATAAATACTCAACATTGGAATCGGGTTTGATGACAAAAAATGAAACCTGGCAGGTGACAGGTGACAAAGTAAGTAAGCCCAGGGACCATGAGGGTAGGTCTGCTGACCAGTATGAGTACCTGGCTGCAGTGCTCACTAGACACTGTGAAAGGCTCCTGGTGCTGTCGTGCACCCTGGTATGAGGCTGCCTTTGATTACTTCCCCAAGACGGGCACCCTCAATTCCACTCAGCACCTGAGACCCAGGCCCACACCTGGGTGGAGGCATCATGACTGCATTTGGCTAATGTAGAGAAAGTGACTGTGCTCCAGGGTGTCTCTGCTTCTACCTTTGATCCTGCAGACGTCTGTGTCAACTAACAGTGGTGAAAAATGGGCCCAAGAAAGAGACCGCATACGTGAGCAGTAAGAGAAGAGAAGGCACAATTCTCAGGGCTCACTTAGGTCCTTGCCTGTAAACAAAATGGCCCCAGAGCTTAGGGATGACAGAAAGGACACAGCCAGAGTACTTGGGCATTTACACAAAAGAAATTCTTGATAACTACTTATAAATACATTATAATGTATACATCTTGCCATTAGCTTTGTTAGCAGATGATAATGAAAAGTTCCTGGGAATTAGATCCCCTTTCCAACTCAGCACAACCCCTACTCCACCCCAATAATTTATCCTTCCTTCCTTCATTCAACCCTGCCTCACCACGCACACGTCTAGGTGACAACAGACTCTTTGATGTTCCAAGAGGTACCCCTCCTCCAAACACACACACACACACACACACACACACACACACACACACACACACACCCCCTATGCTTTCTTTTAGGTCACCACCTCATAAAATAATAAAATTATGACCACACTCCCCTTCAGAAGGTCAGCACTGTGTGCTATTTATTCATTTAATTTATATAGGTGTACTGCATTTTGTGGTGTCTGTACTTTTTTTTTTTTTTTTTAATAGATATGGAGCCTCACCATGTTCCCCAGGCTGGTCTCGAACTCCTGGATTCAGGCAATCCTCCTGCCTCAGCCCCCGGGAGTGCTGGGATTATAGGTGTGAGCCGCCACATCTGGCCAGTGTCTCTATTTTTGTTTCACTTAGGATTTTAATTAAAATGAAGGCAATCTTTGGAAAGTGGCAACAAATAAAACGATCTTGTTATTCTATACATGAGTTTTAAATCTTGTTTTGTTTTTATGGAAAAAGATAAGGAAGGAGAAAGCTTATTTTTTAAATTTAAAAATATGTCTTTGCATTTTCGCTTATTTAAGAAGCATTCATTAGGCACCTATTCAATACAACGCCCTGGGAAGAGGATATTGGCCCATTCAAGCAGACATGGACTCTGCTCCATTAATTTACTCTCTGAAGATGAAAATTATTTTCGACGATTTGTAATCTACTAGAATTTAAGCCTTGTACATATCTATATCTTAACAAGAAAAGTCCTGTGTAATTTAAAACATGCTTAGAGAGTTAAGTGCATATGTCTATAGGGTTCTGAGAATACTTATAAGATGTTCCTACATTATCACCTGAAAGCAATTTAACAGCACTTGCATTTGAAAAAGAAAACCACACTACAATTTCTATAAAACAAAAATTAAAGGTCCCTATTCTCTTAATGCCTATTTTGCAATACAGAGAAACTCAAATTAAGAAATGGTCATAAAACAAAAAACAATTTTAAAAAACTTCATCATGGGATACCATTAACTAGAGAGTGAAAATCTCTCAAAGAAACATTCAGAGAACCATAAAATATTTAATGCTGATTAATTTCCAGATAAGAAACCGAGTCCCAATGCAGTGATAAGTGATTTGCTCAAGGTCACATATTTAGTCCGTGGATGATGGAGAAATGGCCCTCTAACGCAGGACTGGTGGGTCTCCAACCACTTTCTCTCCTCTCAGAGGCACTTGGAAGAAGAAAAGCTTCACTATAAAGCAGCGTTACCCAACCCACACAGAGATATCAACTACTCCACAGGGATCAGGTGCATCTATCAATTCTAGCTAAACTCCACAAATAGCATACGTTACTGCTTTCCCCCACAAAACTGCCCTTGGTCCAAAGTTTGAGAAGTTGATCTCTTGATAACTTTGAGTTTAAGGGAAAAAACCCATCTTTCTTGAAATGATATGCCATATTCACATAAACTTTAGTCATCACCTTCCTGACCATTACCTGTTTGTTATTTTCCAAACATTCACTAATGAATAACAACCTGCACAAACTAAGAAAGAGGTAAGACATCCCTCCTCAGGTATCGGATAAAAAAATCTTTAGGATGTGTTCAGGCTTCTTAAATAACCAAATTCAGTGTTTTCAGGCAAATTGCTTGTAAGTACTATCTGGCCTGATATCCAGAAGTAAAAGGGTATTCACCCATGTGTTATTTGGGGAAGAAACAGAAATAGCCTGGATTCCTAATAATAGATGAATGGTCAAATATAAATGACAGAATATTAAGCAATGCTGAAAATTGTGTTTTTCAAGAAATTTAATGCCAAAGGAAATGGTCAACATACAATATTTATTTAAAATGCATTATGTCCTTAAATAAATGTGTTGCAGAAAAAAAAAATCTAGAAAAAAATCTCACAAAAAGTGAGTGGTGGTTACTATGTTAGTCATCTTTTTGTTTTTATTTTCAAATCACCTAAAATCAGCATACTTTTGTGATAGAAATATTATTTTGTCCAGGCACGGTAGCTCACGCCTGTAATCCCAGCACTTTGGGAGCCTGAGGTGGATCACCTGAGGTCAGGAGTTTGAGACCAGCCTGGCCAACAGGGTGAAACCCTGTCTTTACTAAAAACACAAAAATTAGCCTGGTGTGGTGTCATGTGCCTGTAATCCCAGCTACTCGGGAGGCTGAGGCAGGAAAATCACTTGAACCCAGGAGGTGGAGATTGCAGTGAGCCAAGAACACGCCACTGCACTCCAGCCTGGGCAACAGAGCCAGACTTCATCTCAAAAAAAACAAAAAGAAAGAAAAGAAATGTTATTTATTTATTTATTTATTTATTTTTTATTTATTTTTCTTTTGTATTGAAACAGTGTCTCACTCAATTGCCCAGGCTGGAATGCACTGGCATGATCACAGCTCACTACAGCCTCGAACTCCTGGCTTAAGTGACCCGCCCACCTTAGCCTCCTGAGTAGCTAGGACTACAGGTATGCACCGCCTGGGTAATTTTTAAACATTTTTTTATAGTGATGGGGGTTTCCCTATGTTGCCCAGCTTGGTCTCAAATGCCTTGTCTCAAGCAATCCTCCTGCCTAGGCCTCCCAAAGCACTGGGATTATAAGTGTGAGCCACAAAAATATTATTTTTAAAATCTAACTTCTTTTAAAGATCATTCGTGTTCATTACAAGGCCAGGTACCAAGAGCTGAAGAACAGGGTAGGTGCCACAATTCTCTAAAACAGTAACACACATGCCTGCTTCCTCACTCTGAAAATCAGAAATGGACCCTATCTCCCAATGCCATGTCATCACCAATGAAGTCACAGAATCTTCCTTAAACCCACCAAAAAAGTAAACCAAAGTACACAGAGGTTCCATGATTTCTTTATGATGATAGAGAAACAGGTTTCAGAACCAGGACTGAGGTACAAACTTAGCATCGATGGATTTAGGAGAACAGGGGAAGGCACCTATGAGAATGGACAGGGTCATTGGTGAGGGCCTGGCGCATGTCCACCCCGAGTTTCTATGGAAGTCGGGCAGGTGGTAAGAACAGCTAGTGTGAGGATGGCAAGCACACGTTCAGTTTCTATGACATTCTGGCAACATATTCAGGCAGTAGAGAGAAACGTAGCCATCACCTGCAGAGAGGCAACAGCCAAAGCAAAGAAGATGTAGGCAAGAGAAGACCCCAAGCCAGAGCACTGACAGATGACCACATCTAACCACACCAAAAAGAAAAAGGGACTTAGCTAAAAACAAAGACAAAAAGCCAGGGATGACTAGTCAGACGAGGAAGAGAGCTGGGATGTTCCCACACACAGTCCAATTCCACACAAACACAGGCCGAAAGTAAAACTCCCAGTGGGAAATACCCTGGATGAGACTTTTCATGTTTTTTTGGTTTTGTTTTTCTTTTTTTGTAGAGATGGGGTCTCGTTTGGTGGCCAAGGATGGTCTCAATGCCTGGCTTCAAGCAATCCTCCCACCTCGGCCACCCAAAGTGTTGGGATTACAGGTGTGAGCCACTGTGCCAAGACTTTTCATATTCAATCATCACCGTGGTATTCCCTCCATCAAGAGAGCTCAGAAGATGACATCTCATAAGGAGGTTCCTTGTCTTGGCTAGAGGTCAACAAGGAGTACCTGGAAATACAGAGACAGCAGCAGCACATTCCTCCTTCAGCTGTGCCAGGTACTGGGCTCCACCCTCTGTACAGAAGAGGGAACAAAACTAACATGATCTCTGCCCTCAAGGCACTCCCTATACAGCAGGGGACAGTAGGTGAAATGAGCATAACATGGTAGGTAGGTAAGGTAAGGGCGGGTTCTGAAGTTACAAACACTACCTGGCATGAAACACAAGAAGTGGAGAGGTTTTCCTAACTAATCCCTGCTTCTCCAATTCCTCTGACAAGCCTGCACTTGCCATGGCCCCCAAAAACCAGCCAGGCATGGTGGCTCCTGTCTGCAATTTCATAGCTTTGGGAAGGAAAGGCAGGAGGATTGCTTGAGGCCAGGAGTTCGAGGCTGCAGTAAGCTATAATTAATGCCACTGCACTCCAGCCTGGGTGACAGAGCAAGACTGTCTCTAAAGAAAAAAAAAAGGCCAGGTGCAGTGGCTCATGCCTGTAATCCCAGCACTGTGGGAGGCCGAGGTGGGTGGATCACGAGGTCAGGAGATCGAGACCATCCTGGCTAACACAGTGAAACCCCGTCTCTACTAAAAATACAAAAAAATTAGCCGGGCGTGCGCCTGTAGTCCCAGCTACTCAGGAGACTGAGGCAGGTGAATGGCGTGAACCCAGGAGGCAGAGCTTGCAGTGAGCTGAGATCGCACCACTGCAATCTAGCCTGGGCAACAGAGCGAGACTCTGTCTCAAAAAAAAAAAAAAAAAAAAAAAAAAGAGACCAGGCATGGTGGCTAACACCTGTAATCCCAGCACTTTGGGAGGCCAAGGCAGGTGGATCACTTGAGGCCAGGAGCGTGAGACAGCCGAGGCAACATGGTGAAACCTTGTCTCTACAAAACATTTTAAAACTAGCTGGGCATGGTGGCATGCACCTGCAGTCCCAGCTACTCGGGAGGCTGAGACAGAAGGATCACTTGAGGCCAAGAGGTCAAGGCTGCAGTGAGCTGTGATTGCCACCACTGCACTCCAGCCTGGGCAACAGAGCAAGATTAAGGTAAGGTAAGGTAAGGTAAAAGGAAAGGAAAGGTAAGGAAGAAAGGAGGAAAGGGGAGGGGAGGGAAGGGGAGAGGAGAGGAGGGGAGGGGGGAAGGGGAAGGGGAGGGGGAAGGGGAAGAGGAAGGGGAAGGGGAAGGGGAGGAAGGAAGGAAAGGCCCACAGCCTGCTGATACTGCCGACCAGCTGACCACTGTCTCATGTGCCTAGGCATCTGGGCTCTTGTGAATTGAGCATTTTCCCAGTGGAAAAATGGTCATGTGTGTGTTCCCAACCTGTCTGTTCACGCCTGTTTTGCTTATTAATGTAATTATATCAATGTGTTTATTATTTCATCAATAGTATTAAAAGTATTCTTTTTAAAAAAATTTTTAGTCCATTTACATTGCTATAAAAAAAGTGTTACATCTGCATAAACTAACTTTAATATCTTGAAACAAGGATTAAAAGGCCAATTCAATTTAGATAAAACAATTGTAATATATTTGAAAAATTGTTTAAACAAAAAGAGGATTATGCACTACAACAAATCTAGTGTCTATGTCCTGCAGTGCTCGTAAAGGTAAAGCATTTAGCACAACGCTGGCAAGTGGTAAGCACTCAGTAGATGTGAGTCATTATTATAATTATTGGTTATCTTTACATAAGCAAATAAAGATTGATGAAAGCTATGAAGGCAGGAAAAAGGCAACGGAAGTGGGGGATGCCACAGATGGGGTGGTCAAGGAAGGCTTGTCATGGACAGCACACTTCTGTTGAGAACCAAAGAACAGAAAAGAAGCTGGGCACAGCAGTATGCACCTGTAGTCCCAGCCTACTCAGAAGGCTGAGGCAGGAGGACTGCTGGAGCCCAGGAGTTCGAGGCCAGCCTAGGCAACATATCAAGACCCAGTCTCGAGAAATAATAAAAACTTTAAAAACAAAACAAAAAAAGAAAAGGAAGAGGGGTAGCGAGGGAGCGGCATGATCCAAGGTCATGGGAGTTTGGTGTATTCGAGGGTCTGGAAGCACTGGTGGGGCTGCTATAGGGTAAGGAGAGGGTGGAACGAGGCTGGCTGGATAGAGCCAAGAGCCAGGTCACAGAGTCTCCGAAGACCCCGCATTTTATCCAAAGGGCAATGGGAAACAAAGGAGCGGCATGACCCAGTTGGATTTCAAAAAAAGACAAGCCAGGCTGCTGGGTCCAAAGAGTACAGCAGAGAAGCAAGAGTGGAAGCTGGGAGAGCAGTTACAGCTGTCCAGGGATGAGATGGCAGTAGCTTCATCAAGGGTGGCAGCAGCCAGGTCAGAGAACGGGTCTGGGATATATCTGGAGGAAGAATTAACAGGGCCAGTGGATGGCCAGGAGGATACAGAAATGGGGTAAACCACGTTGTATTTATTAAGACAAATGTGTGTGGAGGGGGAACAATCCACTTTCCGCAATGGATGAGTTAATAATCTCAGTATGTGGGTACATGAGGCTGAGGGAGGAAGGGAAGGTCAGGGTGGGCATACATTTGGCAGTCACCAACATGTGGCTGGTATTACAGCCTTGGGAGAGAGGATATAGACAGAAGCAGGCTGGGCACGCCAACATTTAGAGGAGTACATCACAGTCACCTGAGGATCAATTAGAATGACTATGCCTGACGGTGGGGCCTGGGGAGGATATATAGTCAGGCCTCTGTATCCACCACGGATCAAAAATATTCAGGGGGAAAAAAACAATATAAAATAACAATACAAAATTTTAGGCTGGACATGGTGGCTCACTCCTATAATCCTAGCACTTTGTGAGGCTGAGGTGGGAGGAATGCTTGAGCCAAGGAGTTTGAGACCAGCCTGGGCAACATGGTGAAAACCCTGTCTCTACAAAAAAATATGAAAGTTAGCGAGGCATGGTGGCATGTGCCTGTAGTCCCAACTACTGGGGGGCTGAGGTGGGAGGATGGCTTGAGTCTGGGAGGTTGAGAATGCAGTGAGCCAAGATGGCACCAAGGCACTCACTCCATCCCGGGTGACAGGAGAAGACTGACTCAAAAAAAAAAAATACACCAAACAAAAAAAAAAAAACAAAAAACATAGCATTTACAAGTAATACAAGTAATCTAGACTTAGAGTATATGGAAAGATGTGTACAGGTTAAATGCAAATACTATGCCATTTCATATCAGGGACTTGAGCATCCATGGATTTTGGTATCTGCAGGGGACTGGTTCCAGGGCTGGTTTTTTCCTTTTTCTTTTTTTGAGGCAGAGTCTCGCTCTGTTGCCCAGGCTGGAGTGCAGTGGCACGATCTTGGCTCACTGCAACGTCCACCTCCTAGGCTCAAGCAATCCTACCACCTCAGCCTCCTGAGTAGCTGGGACTACAAGGTGCATACCATCACACCCAGCTTTTTTTTTTTTTTTTTTTAATTTTTTGTAGAGATGGGGTTTCATCATGTTGCCCAGGCTGGTCTCGAACTTCTGGGCTCATATGATCTGCCTGCCTTGGCCTCCTAAAGTGATGGGATTACAGGCGTGAGCCACCACGCCTGGCCAAGGATTGTATTTTTTTTTTAAATTTTATTTATTTTTATTTGTTTGTTGTTCATTTTTGAGATGGAGTCTCACTCTGTCACCCAGGCTGGAGTGCAGTGGCACAATCTCGGCTCACTGCAACCTCTGCCTCCCGGGTTCAAGAGATTCTCCTGTCTCAGCCTCCCAAGTTAGCTGGGATTACAGGTGCACGCCACCATGCCTGGCTAATTTTTGTATTTTTAGTAGAGATGGAGTTTCGCCATGTTAGCCAGGCTGGTCTCAAACTCCTGATCTCAGGTGATCCACCCACCTCAGCCTACCAAAGTGCTGGGATTACAGGCATGAGCCACAGCGCCTGGCAGACTATATTTTTTAAAGCTCTAGGTGCATCAGGGTTGACAGCCACTGATTTGGAAGCTCAGAGGAAGAGGAAAAAGAAAGAACTGGTGAAAGAGGCTGGAAAGACTGTCCAGAGAGACAAAAGGGAACTCTGGGGGCAAGTGAGGCACTGGGAGCCAAGCCAGGAGAGTGACCAGAAGGGAGCGACCACTGTGTCGGCCCTGCTCAAGGGTCAAACAGGATG